>NC_000024.10:12283670-12893218 GCF_000001405.40 Homo sapiens
TCCAGGAAGGAGGAGGAGAGCTTAATGCTTGGGAGGAGAGATCTTATAGATTATGAGGACTGTAGACAGTGGTATTTTGGCTGAATGTTAGTGTCCTGCTTTCTACAGCTAAAATGGTTGCTGCTGTTAGTGCTCTAAGACAGATTGGCCACCCTTTGAATGTGCTGTTGAGTTGTTCAAAGAGGTAGGCTATAGGAGCAAAGGAAGGGGGATCTTCTTTTTTGTTGTCTTAAGAAACAAAGGGCTATTCACTGGTTTTGGGCAGTATAGAGAGTGAAAGTTTGGGAGATAGTAGGTAAGGACAGAGCCAGTGCAGTGATAAGATCAGTTTGGAGTTCACAGAAGTTGGGGAGTATGTTATGTGAGGAGTTTAGGGGTATATTGAAGGGGCCTTTGGCTGCTTTATAAAGGGGGTGAGCTAGGAGGGCAAAGTTGGGAATCCATATTTTTAAAAGCCTGATAGCCCTAGGAAGGAAAGGATTTCGCTTTTTGAGGAAGGTGGAGATAGGCTGTCTATTAAGGCTGCCCATGCCAGGGTCATTGCTTGGGACCCAAGGGAGAGTTGAACTTCTAAGTAGGTCACACGGTAGGGATGGAAAGCTGTGCTTTGAAGGGGGAGACCCTATAGCCTTTATTAGTAAGGAAATTGAGAAGGGTAGCAGTGTGAGTTTGGGAGTTTTTTAGGGAGGGGCTACAGAAGAGGAGGTCATCTACATATTGAAGAAGGCAGCTGGGGAAAAAGATCCAAGGAGGTGGGGTTTTGAGCTAGGGCTTGCCTGAAGAAATGAGGGCTATCCCTGAAGCCCTGAGGGAGGACAGTCCACATGAGTTGTGTCTGTAGGTTGTCAGGGACAGTCTGAGTGAAAGCAAAATGGTTTTGGGAATCAGGGTGTAGGGAAATGGTGAAGAAGGCATCTTTCAGGTCAACTGCGGTGTAGTAGGTGATGTTGGAGGGGACAACAGAGAGACGTGTATAGGGGTTAGAGACTACAGGATGAATAGGGAGGACAGGCTGACTGATAGCTCAGAGGTCCTAAATGAGTTGGTATGAGCCGTCAGATTTTTTAATAGGGAGGATAGGGGTGTTATATGGACAGTGTGTTGGTTTAAGAACATTGCGTGAGCAGAGCTTGTTTATGATGGGTGGCAAGCTCTTTTGTGTGTTAGGGAAACAGGGTATTGGGGAAAGTTGGGAAATTTAGAGGGGTCTCTTTTTTTCAAGACGGAGTCTCACTGTGTCATCCAGTCTGGAGTGCACTGGTGCGATCTCGGCTACTGCAAGCTCCGCCTCCCAGGTTCACGCCATTCTCCTGCCTCAGCCTCCTGAGCAGCTGCAACTACAGGCACCTGCCACCATGCCCGGCTAATTTTTTGTATTTTTAGTAAAGACAGCACTTCACCCTGTTAGCCAGGATGGTCTGGATCTCTTGATCTCGTGATCCACCCACCTCGGCCTCCCAAAGTGCTGGGATTACAGGCATGAGACACTGCGTCTGGCCTAGAGGGGTCTTTTAACTGAATTTTGATGGGGTCCTGGTGAGCAGCTGTGGAAGGGGTGGTGGTGTAACACAGTACTGGGTTAATGAGGGAGGTGGGTAGCGGGTGCTGGGGAGGGGGCTCAGGGGCCGGACTAGCAGAGAGGAGCAGGAGAGACTCTGGTTGAGGGGACAGGAAAAGGTGATAGAAGCTTTGAATTTGGCTAAAATATCTTGGTCTAGGATGGGGGTGGGGCAATGAGGCATGATAAGGAAGGAGTGTGAAAAAATATTATTAAATAGGGAACAACTAAGAGATTCAGTAGCACACAGACACAAGATGAGTCCCTCAACCCCCACAACAGAGACCTGGGAAGGGTAAGTGGGTCCTAAAAATTCAGGTAAAGCCGAATAGGTAGGTGGCCCCACTATCAATTAAGAAAGAGATTGGCTTACCTGCTATTAGCAGAGTTACCCTGGGCTCCCATGTAGTGATGGCAGATGGGGCCGGGGGCACTGGGCTCCATCAGTCTTCAGTGGCCAGGCCATGGGGCTGCAGCAGTATGAGTGCCTTTTTACTCTTTGCTTTTCCAGGGCCTTGAGGAACCGGCCTGTTAGCTTGCTTGTTAAGAGGGCAATCAGATTTCCAGTAACCAGTTTGTTGGGAGGCTGGCCAAGGCGTTTTTGGCACTTGCAGGTTAGGGCACGCTCAGGCCTACTGGCCTTCTTTGCTGCACTTAAACAGGGACCAGGAGGGTCACTGCTATTGGGTCTTTTGTGCCCCTAGGCAGCCTGGGTAGGCTGATGAATAGCTGCTGCTAAGAGCTGGTATTTAGCACAATCTCGTTGGGCTTTATCTAATTTATTTTGCTCATCTCTGTTGCTGAAGACCTTACAGGCCAGGTTAAGGAGGTCTTGTTGAGGGGTTTGAGGGCCGTCTTCTACCTTTCCGAGCTTGCACCATATGTCAGGAGCAGACTGAGAGATAAAATGGGTATTAAGAACAATCTTTCCTTCCCGGGAGGTGGGGTCAACATGGGTGTGTTTTTGGAGGGCCTCTGTAAGGCAGGAAAGAAATTCAGTGGGATTTTTGTTGGCCCTTTGGGAGATTTCTTTAAGTTTTTTAAAGTTTATGGCTTTATGGGCAGCTTTGTTGAGGACTGCGGCAAGGCAAGTGATCGTGCCGTTAGGAGATGCCCAGCCAGGATCTGTGGGTTGATAGTCCCAGGAGAGTTTTCCCGGGGTACTGCAGTGGCCCCCATGGGCTTAGTAGGGTCTTGCTGATGAAGATTGTTGGCATGTGCCTGAGCTGCAAGCCACACTTTTTTTTTTTTTTTTCCCTGGGAGGACTGCAGAAGAGAGGATAATTTGGAGATCATGCCAAGTGAGTTTGTACGATTGGGTAAAGTATTTGAGCTTTTTGATGGAAGTGTCAGGATTGGAGGAAAACGACCTGAGACGTTTCTTAATTTGGGAAAGGTTGGAGAGGGAGAAGGGAATGTGGATATGAACGATTCCTTTAGCCCTGGACACCTCTTGGAGGGGAAGTAAGGGGGCCGACTTGGGCGTGCTGAGTCTGAGAGCGGGTGTGAGGTGGAGATGAGAAGGAATCAGAATCAGAAGCTGGGTGGTTGGAAAGAGTGGGGAAAAGAGCGAGGGCAGGAGCGTAGGGTGGAGGGTCGTGATGATTGGGCAGAAGATTATCATGTTGACTGGGCCGGGAGAAGTCGGCAGGGTCAAAGGAGGAGGAATTGTCAGAAGGAAGGGGGAGCTGAGGATGTGTCTGGCTTGGAGCAGGTGAAGAGGATTTGGAAAGCGGAACAGGACTGACAAAGGGAGGGGTGGCTACGGAGGGCAAAAAAGGCCTGAATATAAGGGATTTCAGACCACTTGACATTGCGATAGGAAAAGTTGTCTAAGTCCCTGAGGATGTTAAAATTGGAAGTGCCATTTTCAGGCCATTGGGAGCCATTGTTTAGTTTATATTGCGGCCAGGCAGTGTTACAAAAAAGATGAGCCTTTTTGGCCGAATTTCGGAACGGAGGCTAAGGGCGTTAAGGTTACGGGGGAGACACTCGAGGACGGGATGTTTCGACGGAGTGGATTGGGAGGCTCCTATAGTGGAATGAGAAAGGCAGAGGTAGAGACGGGAGACTTGGCCAGAGACCAGAACGGTGGGAGAAGGCATCCCTTGTCCCATGGTTCAAGTCGGATAAGTGGATATCCCCCCGTTCAGGCGTCCCTGAAAGAGAGATACCGAGGGCCTAGAGGCTGGGAGGGGGGAACCCTTGGCCCAGCGCTGGGTCTTTCGGGAAGGAAAGAGCGGACAAGGGTTCCAGACTGAAGACAAAAGTCTCCTTTACTCAGGCCTGACACGGCCCCGGTGTTGGATGTTATTGCTAGCAATGGAAAAGCTGTATGAAATCCTCGGGTCTCTAGCAGATTCTGGAAGGAGAAGTTTGGCTAGGAGGAGCTGGGAAAGTAGAAGGGGAGAAAGGGAGGCCGAACTCTACCATCTTCCCGGGTTTCAGCACCAGGATGTAAAGGATCATTGGAAGGACAGTTGAGAAGGGAATGAGGCCAATAAAGCCAAGTTCAGGCAAGCTGATTTATTGTCAGTCCTGCGGGACTACCTCTTGAGAAAACCAGAGGAGGCAGCCCGACTTACAGACTGTAGGGTTTTATAGGGCCAGAACCAGGTTGGGGTGCCGGAGCTGAGTCGGGGGTGCAGGAGAACTGGGTCGGGGTTGGGGATCTGAGTCAGGGGTGCAGCTGTCTTGACCTCACCCTGGAGATGTTTCTTGCCGGCTTTGTTATGCGAGGTTAACACACATGTGAACCGCATCCTGTAACTGTCTGCACAGTTACTGGAAGGGTCAGTGAAGGAGGGGTTTCTCTTTTGCCCTGGGGGATCTGTGGAGAGAGTGCAAGAGACTGTATTGTAAGGTCTGTGGGAGGGGAAGGGAATGGTCTGGTCAGGGTGACCCTAACAGGGGGCATATGGAAAAATCTCTGCACCTTGCTTTTAATTCAGCTATGAACCGAAAACTGCTCTAAAAACTAAAGTCTATTAAATGCTATATATTAATGATAATATATTGATATTTATAGGTAAACATATAGAATGCCTACCCTGTCCCAGGCACTTTCTTCTTCTTTTTTTTTTTTTTTTTTTCTGAGATGGAGTCTCAGGCTGGAGTTGCCCAGGCTGGAGTGCAGTGGTGTGATCTCACCTAACCGCAACCTCCACCTCCTGGGTTCAAGAGATTCTCCTGTCTCTGCCTCCTTAGCAGTTGGGATTACAGGTGCCCACCACCACACCCAGCTAATTTTTGAATTTTTAGTAGAGATGGGGTTTCACCATGTTGACCAGGCTGGTCTTGAACTGCTGACTTCAAGTGATCCGCTCCCCACCTAGCCTCCCAATACACACTTTGGATATAGTAACTCAGCCCTCACCACAACACCATGAGGGAACAACTCCCATTACTTCCTTTTCACAGATGAGGAAACCAAAGCACAGGCAGTGACCACACTGAGAAGCCACAAGAGAAAGTGGTGAGGACTAGGCACTAGCAGGGGAAAAGACCTTCCTCTATAATTTAAGTGAGAAAAGCAATGTGTCTATTTAGTTATTTCAGTGCTGCTAAACAAACTGAGATAGGCACACATAAAGAGAAAGAAAAAGGAAGGCAGAAGAGGGGAGAGAGAGAAACACAGAGAAGAGAGAGGAGAGAAACACATAGAGAATGAGAGCGGGAATGAGAAAAACAAGAGAAAAAGAGAAAAATGCGAGAGGCAATCAGAGTCAGAGAGAGACAGAGAAAGAGAAAGGTACAGGGAAAGAGAAAAAAGAACCATGCAGAAAAAGAGAGAGCAAGAGAGAGGGAATCAGATGGAACAGACAGAAATACACAGAGGCAGAGACTGAGAGAAAGAGGGGGGCCAAACACACGGATAATGAGACAGAAACTGAAACCGTGACAGGGACCATTAGAGAGATGCAGAAGACACTGGAGAGAGAAGGAGTAATACAGAATGAGAATCACAGAGAGAAACAGAGAGAGAGGAGACAGAAACACAAATAAAGAGAGAGGGAGAAAGAGAGTGAGATATAAAGGAGAGAAAGAGGGTGACACAGAGAGGAGAGAAAGACAGTAAGAGAGGAGAGAGAGAAACAGAGTGAGACAGAGAGGACAGAAAGACAGACAACAGAAAAGATGTGAGACAGAGAGGAGAGGAACAGAGTGAGACAGAGGAAAGAGAAACAGTGAGACAGAGAGGACAGAAAGACAGTGAGACAGAGCAGAGAAAAAGACAGTGACACAGAGGAGAGAGTAAGATGAGAGAGAGAAAAAGAGTGAGACAGAGAGGAGAGAAAGAGACAGAGGAGACAGAGTGAGAATGAAAGTAAGACAGAGGAGAGAGACAGAGGAGAGAAAGAAAAAGTGTGAGACAGAGGAGAGAGTAAGAAAGAAAGTGAGACAGGAGGAGAGAGAGAGAGGAAAGAGAGAAGGAAAGTGAAACAGAGGAGAAAGATACAGAGAAAGACAGAAAGAGGAGAGTGAGAAAGAGGAGAGAGAGGAGAGGAGAGTGAGACAAAGAGAGAACTACGCACACAGAGGGAATGAGAGAAGGCTGAGGCAGATACTCTCACATGTTAAGTTGGAGTGAGATGGAAGATGTCAGGGATTTTTCTCACTGTTTTTCTTCTCCTCCTCTCTGTGTAAGCTTCCCAAGTGCACGGGACTTTTCTTGCCTCTGAGTTTCCTTCTGTATCCCTAGAGCCAGGAACAAAGGCTGCCACCTGGGATGCACTCCTTAAATATAAGTTCAAGAAACACAAGGGAGAGCAGATGCTTTTTCTTTGATGCCAAGGCATGACTTTTATAAGCAAGACAATTTGACGCTCACAGAATTTCAAACAGCAACAAACACACACACGCATTCCTGCTTGCTCTTCCCTCTGCAGGCTCCATGAGGAGGCAGGGGCTAGACAGCTGGTGGTTGTTCTAACAGAGTCCCCAACACCAGACTTGGGAGTACAGCCACACGAAGCACCCAGGAAACCCACAGCTCAGGAGTGCAGCAAATGCTTATGCTTGAACATGACTTATTACCCACAGTTATGATGGCCATAAATAATGATTCCACAAGACAACATTTACCACCCACAGAAACTTCATGGAAAAACCACTTCACCATAAAGAGCTCAGTGACAAAATAAACAAATAAAAACACAGATTTGTACAAAGCCCAAGAAAAACCACACAGAAAATGACCGTTGTATCTGGTAATGCTCCAAGCCAAAATGGAAAATGTTGGAAGTGAGGGAATGCAAATAACTTTCGGAATCTATGATCTTTCATTGCCCATCCACTCAAATTTTTGGAATCTATGATCTTTTACTGCACATTTGTCCAATTTTTTATGAACTTTGAAAAAAATCTATGTTCAAAAGTTTAAAACTTATATAATTTTTATAATATATTGCCCATTTCTTATGCTGTTTCTAAATATTCTTCAGTGTTTTGTTTTGTGATTCTTTTTTTCCTTTAACTGAGACCTATTTCTTTAAATCTTCATGGTGGCCTAAGTCTTCTTATAACATGAGGTTTTTTCAAGTTTTAAAAAACCCAGGGTCTGGGTGCAGTGGTTCATGCCTGTAATCCCAACACTTTGGGAGGCTGAGGCAGGTGGATCACCTGAGGTCAGGAGTTTGAGACCAGCCTGACCAACGTGGTGAAACTTCCTCTCTATTAAAAATGCAAAATTATCCAGGCGTGGTGGCTCAGGCCTGTAATCCCAGCTACTCCAGAGGCTGAGGCAGGAGAATCACTTAGAACCTGGGAGGAGGAGATTGCTGTGGGCCAAGATCGCGCCACTGCACTCCAGCCTGGGCGACAGAGCGAGACTCCATCTCTTTGAATCTGGGGAAGAACAACTACTATTAAATCATGAAGGTCGACATCAATTCTAAGTTCTACCTGGACAAATAGATGCAAAACATGAAATTATCATGCAGTTCATGCTCAACAGAGATGTTATGGAGCCCTGTATAAAGCTATTGTGTAGGCACATTCTCTGTTGATTTAAATTAACAAAGAACGTGCTCATATGATGGATGTTAAATTACGTCGGATGTTCAATTACATTGACCATATAGGGAATGTGATGGGGTCACACGAAAACATTGTTTAACCCCATTCTGTCTAAGATTCCACAACTCCAAGATGAGGGGTACATCTCTAATACTCAGGAGTGTCTGGAGAAGTGAGAATACAATAAATATGTAAGTCTTTGGTTAGGTATGGTGGCTCACCTGTAACACCAACCCTTTGGGAGGCCAAGACAAGAGAAAAATTTGAGCCCAGGAGTTCAAGACTGACCTGGGCAACATAGTGAGACTCCATCTCTACAAAAAATTTTAAAAATACAAAAATTAGCTGAGCATGGTGATGTGTGCTTTTACTCCCGGCTACTCCAGAGGCTGAGGTGAGAGGATCGCTTGAGCCCAGGAGATCAAGACTGCAGTGAGCTGTGATCACGCCACTGCACTCAAGCCTGGGAGACAGAGAGAGACCCTGTCCCCTGACAAAAAAAAAGAAGAAAAGAAAAGAAAAAATATTTATATATATAAGTCTTGTCCCCTAGTCGGCACAAGTTTGTGCATCTCCCATTACTTCCTTCTTACCTCTTCCTTCGTTGTTTTAAGATGATGGATTTAAAGTGCCCCAAAATGCTCTTTATTGGGCATTAAGTATTAAAGTATTGTATGAATCAAAATGTTCCACCTTTTTCTAAATTTGGCACTAAAAATGGGGGCATATATTTGCGATGATCTTCATTCTTGCGTTATTTAATGGTCCATAGAATTGCATGTATTTACTACATTATAAACAGTGTGATAAGTTGATGCAAAAGAATGATGAAATAGCAAAAAAAAGATGAAAAAATTATCTGGGTATGATGGTGCATGCCTGTGACACCACCTACTCAGGAGAATCACCTGAGTCTGAGGAAGTCCAGGCTACAGTGAGCCATGATCATATCACTGCACTCCAGCCTGGATGACAGAGTGAGACCCTGACTCAAAAAATAAATGAAATAAAATAAAAATACAGTACAAATAGTGACATGCTTAGGGCTAAAGATGCTGCAGGATAATAGCTTGATAGTTTTGTAAATCTGCCCAAATTTAAAAATTAAGTTGTAATTAGCCAGGCATGGTGGCATGTGCCTGTAATACCAGCTACTCAGGAGGCTGAGGCACAAGAATTGCTTGAATTTGGGAGGCAGAGGTTGCAGTGAGCTGAAATCACACACTGCACTTCACCCTGGGCAACAGAGCGAGACTGTCTCAAAAAAAAAAAAAAAAAAAAAAACAGTTGTGGATACAGCATTCACACCTGCTGAACATTTATTTTGACCAATAAATGATTTCTCAATGTACAAATGCAAATCAAGGAAGTTCAAATTATCAGAGGACATGTCAGAACTTCTCCCTAAATAAAATGTCTGTAAAAGTGTATTTCCAAATGTGGACCATCTCACCTACAGTGCCCTCCCCTGGAATTTAATATGCAACTCATTATGAATGTTGGGAGCTTTCTCATGATGTCAGGCTAGTTCCTGGGCATAGTTTCCAGGAAATGAACTTTCTGCAACTGTCTCACCCCATGCCAGAACTTGCTGATTTGCAGCCTGTTCACCTCTTCCTGATTCACATCTGCTAATTCTATAATATATATGGTAAATCTATACTATATATACATACCATATATATATACTCACATCATATATACACATACACATATATACACACCCTATATTTATATACACACACACACCCAGTCTTTCTCAGCAACAATAATCAAGAAAATAATTTCCTTGATAGACAAGCAGGATGAACTTCAGAGAGACAGGTTCTTTAAAACATTCCTAGAGATGCCTTCAGTGTACAATAATTATAATTCTAAAATATTTTTAGTGTGTGATAGGTGAAAAAGAATTGCAGGTGTATGCATAAAAAAGGCAGTTGCAATCAGGGAGATAGGTTTGATACTGTTTTGTTTTTACTTCTTTGAATGTATCTTTTTTTTTTTGAGACAGGATCTCACTGTCACCCACGCTGGAGTGCAGTGGTGTGATCATAGCTCACTGCAGCCTCAATTCCTGGACTCAAGTGATCCTCCTGCCTCAGCCTCCAAACATGTGATTATGGATGTGATTGGCTGTGCCCAGGCCGAATGTATCATTTTTATAGTAGAATATAATTTGAGCTGTTTCTTTTTAATCAGTGATTTGAAAAACTATTAAAGAACCTCTGTTGGTAATAGAAGAAAATTACACCCATGCTTAAGATAGGATATTTAAGCTACACTTAAGGAATCAAAGCTTTTTGGTTAAAGTGGACTAGCAAAGCCAAAATATGTAGGACATGCAGAAAAAATAAATGAAGTATTCCAAGTGTTTCAATTTGACAAAATGTAGGTGAAAGTATTCTATTGCTGAAGACTAAAATGAATGCTGAAATACAGCGAGGCATAGACCCTGTCATAGGATATGATTATATAGAGTTATGCATTTTGGTGTCATAACAGAAGTTTGGTGTCATAACAAGTTTGGTGTCATAACAAGTGCAGTTGACAAGGCAGCTTCATTTTATAATGACACCACTAGAATAGAGAATCTCAGAGATGACTCAACAATAAGTGATTAAAATAAAATTAGTTAAAAATAATGTAATGGGTGACAATAGAATACAAGTTTTGTTTGTTTGTTTGTTTGTTTTTTGAGACAGCATCTTCCTTGGTTGCCCAGGCTGGAGTGCAGTGGTATAATCTTGGCTCACTGCAACCTCCAGCTTCTGAGCTCAAGCAATCCTCCCACCTCAGCCTCCCAAGTAGCTGTGATTACAGGTGTGCACCACCACACCCAGCTAATTTTTAAAATTTTTGTAGAGACAAGGTCTCGCTATGCCGGCCATCCTGGTCTTGAACTCCTTGGCTCAAGCTATCTTTGGCCTTGGCCTCTCAAAGTGCTGGGATTACAGAAGTGAGCCACCATGACTGGCCAATTTTGTAATCTCAATCAATCAATAAAGGAAAGTGGACACCATCTCCGACTTTGCTCCTTTTTTCCTAAGAGATAAAAATGAACACACTAATAACTTTGGAAGGCAAAAATTTTCTCTTCTTTGTGATCAGTGCTTAGAGGGAAACATTCATGACCATCCCCTAGGCTGTCCCAACTCCCTGCTCACTAAAAGTCACTAGGAAGGGTGACATGTGGAAATAGCTTCAAAAGACCACACCTGTTCCATTGGCCTTGAAGTTAGATCATCTATTTCTGCCTCTGCTAAAAATGTAACTCTATCTTTGAAGAAGCTCCTTCCAGTCTCTTAGTCTCTGTTGCCACATATGCAAGACACAAGGAAGGTTCTCCCCATCTAAGTGGTGTATGTGCCTGCATGAAAAGAAATAGAACGTGGAGCACAGTAGATGCTACACTTTAAAGATCAGTTTCTCCCTCAGTCTCCTTGGGAACTGCATCTTCCTCACAATCAAAACCTGTAAATTCTACACGTTTTTCTCAGTTTTAGAGTTGAAGGCTGTGAAGTCAGGAAACCAAAGGGAAGTTGCAGTGAGCTGAGATTGTGCCACTGCACTCCAGCCCAGGCCACACAGCGAGACCCTGTCTCAAAAAAAAAGAAAAAGAAAAAAATATATATATATATACATATGTGTACACCTACCATGTGTATACTATATATAGACAAAATACATGTGCACCATATATGTCTATACACCTCTGCACACTATATATGTGTTACATATGCCATATACATAAATCTATACCATATTTACATACCATATATATATGCACTCACACCATATATACACATACACATATATACACACCCTATATTTATATACACACACACACACCATAACCATCCATATATATTCATATAGTATATATGGGGTGTGCATGTGTTTGTGTTTCTGTGTATATGTAATATACACTGCATATAAAATACTAGTCCACCATATACATCTATACAAAATATATATACCACATAAATATATATCCCTCTCTCTATAGATACATACCCACCATGTACACATAAATCCAACATATATGTACAAGACATATGTGTACACACACATATATACACACATCAATCTACACACCATGTTTTTACACCAGATATATATGCACCATTGATATACCATATATACTCCATATATAATACACACTATATATATACATACACATATTTTGTGTGTATATATATATTATATACACACTCCATATATAATACTATATTTGAAGAGGTTTATCTAAGGAACATTACTCAAGAGACTTCCTCCATAAATAAAACTAATTCAGCTAATGAAATTCTGCTCACTAACCTGATGGTATGGGGGCTTTGGACGGAGGTAACAAAATTTTGCATGTGACAAGGGTATAAAGATTTGTGGCCAGATCTCAGAATCTGGCACTTGTAGGCATATGTCTACAAATTTCTGATAGGCAGCCCTGGATAAATATTTTTGTTAGGCAATCATAAATAACTAATACAATGAGCAGACACATATTTGTAAAAAATAATAACAGTAATGATTATTTTAATAAAAAATAATAAAAATATATAGCAGGAATTTAACAGTGTTATTTCTGGGTGATAGGAATATAGAGTCTGGTTATTTTCTTCTTACTATTTTTTCTATATTATTATTTATTTTATTTTATTTTTTGGAGACAAAGTATTAGTCTGTTACCCAGGCTGGAGTGCAATGGTGTAATCATAGCTTACTGCATCCTTGACCTCTTGTACTAAAGTAGGGACTACAGGCACATGCCACCACACTCAACTAATTTTTTATATTTTTTGTAGAGATTGGGTTTCGCCATGTTGCACAGGCTGGCCTTGAATTCCTGATCTAAAGCAATCCACCTGCCTTGGCTTCCCAAAGTCCTGGGACCACAGACATGAGCCATTGCACCTGGCACTATTTTTCCATATCTTTGCTTTTTCAGTTTTTCAAAATGAAACCCTAAAAAGTAGGATGAACAAAGTTTGTCCAGAAATCCTTTTATAAATGTTTGCCTCATTTTGTCTACTAGCAACTAGGGGTCAGTTTGTGCTCCTGGTGCTATCAGAGTTCCTACCTCTCACTTACATGCAAACATGGGCATGTCTCATTGCTTATTAGCCTCCTGTACTCGGATGTGCACAGTTCAACATCAATGACCACTCAAGTTTAATTTGTTCCATAGCATTGCCAGGGTGGCATGACTGCCCGTTCCTGGTTCATCCTGTCCCTTGATGGGACTCCCTATGGCCAAGATGAGAAAGTAGGAAGAAAGAAACCAGTCAGGCAGGCAGTTAGGGTGAGTCTTCACTTGAATCCTTTCAAACAAAAGAACAACCTGAAGGAATTGCAGATAAGGGAACTTGCACAGGGGACTTGCCTAAGACATGCCCACAGCTGCACAGATATGAAGGGGTGCACAGGTGACTTGCCCAGACATGCCAGCAATGGAAAATGCTGTGCTCTAACACATGCGCAGTGAGCAGGATAAAACAGTATAGGGTAACTCAAGCTAAGGGCCTGTGTATGCACTAGGAGGATGTTGTGGAGCTACCAGCAATTTGCACCATATGCAAATAAGACACCCTGCCCTCATAGGTTTCTTATAAAGGCCTTTGCATTCACTGTGAAATAGTAACCCTCTTACAGGCCCCCACTCTGTGATGGTCAGCTTTCTTCTTTTCTTGTTGAAGTTTCACTCCAACCTCACCATTTTGCCCATGCTCCTTAATTCTCTCGGTCGTGAGAGAAAGAACTACAGGTGATACCTTACAATGAGAGACTGCTACATTGCAGTGCATTGGCGAGAGTATAACAAAGGGGCTTAGAGCCCAAAGACTTACAGCCAATTTAAATGTCCTAGGACAGATGGGAATGAAGGCAGACAGACATTCATCGACCTTTAAAATTCTTTAAGCAATACAAAAGCCCAAAAGCCAAACATGAGGTTACAAAATTAACTTATCTTCACCTTCTATGCATCAACCTACTGTATTCTTGGTTTTATTTATAGACTTGTAGCTGTTAGCTACACAAAATATAAGCATGGTTAAAACCTTTTACGCTAAGGAATTTAGACATTTTTAAAACCTTTTAGCCTAGGAATTTAGAGAATTTTGTTGTGCTGTAATGCTTTTTACATACTTTTTAGCAATTTGTCCTAAGTTGGCTGAAAATTATATATATATCTGTATATATATATATATATATATAAAATATGTGTGTGTGTGTGTATATATATATATATACACACACACACATAAATCTCATACCTTGGAGTATTATACCAGGGAGGCTTTGTCATAAGGTACCTTTATCCTCTCAGTAATTTTCTTTTAATTCTATGGGAAGCAGGAAATTTGTTATGGTTTGGATGGATGTAAAGGGTTGGGTAATAACCCAGGAGGCAAAAACAGCTTGTTTCACCTGCTATTTAGTCATCTGTGTATCCATCCTTGATTTGGAGGGTCTGAACTAACTCTATCTCTCAAAATCGGCTGCTACAGTCTCAGGCTCCCATCTCTTCCATGATAGTCCCTGGGTCTAGAGTGAGGGTGCTTGTATAGTTTTAGCAGCAGGGCACTGGCAATGAAAAATAGTTTGGGCCCAATGGGATGCCAAATAAGGGAGATTTACAGGCTTTCTCAGATTATCTCTGATCATCAGAATACCATGATTCTGGTTTTCTCCGAAGCAAAACAACAAGAGATAACATTCGTAATTTTGACCATGAAGAGAATTTGTGTGTCACAACAGAAAAAAATAACTTTTTTCATTAGGTTGCCAACTAAAAGCATCATGAATAAAATTATAACCTGTTTCATCTTCAGAGAATTCTTGTAGCCAAGAAATAATTCATGATTCCATCTGCATTTAAAAACAAAGGTCACAGCCGAGCACTGTGGCTCGTGCCTGTAATTCCAGCACTTTGAGAGGCCAAGGCAGGCAAATCGCTTGAGACCAGGCATTTGAGACCAGCCTGGGCAACATAGGAAAACCCCATCTCTACTAAAAATACAAAAATTAACAGGGCATAGTGGCACACACCTATAGTCCTAGCCACTTGGGAGGCTGAAATAGGAAGATCGCTTTAACCCAGGAGGTAGAAGTTGCAGTGAGATGAGATCGCGGCACTGCACTCCAGCCTGGGAAAGAGGGAGATACCCTGTCTCAAATGAATAAATAAGTAAATAATAAAAAACAAAGGTCAGGGCTGGAATCTAGTAACAGATGGTTATAGTTGAAACAACTTTTCTGTCTCTCTAGCCCTCCTTTTCTACTGAAGAAAAAGTATAGGAAGAGCAATACGTCTGCAAAATAAGTTTTAGGCTTATTATACTTGAGTATTTGCATAAAGCGCAGCAAGAACTGATTGGTCATATGGGCTCTTCTCAGGCTGGATTTGCTGGAACTTTACCTAAAACTACATTATTTTAGTCAAAGCCTTGGTCAAATAACCAGTGTTCACAATTGTGTCCTATTTCAAAAGAAAACAGTCCTACTAAACTCATGAAAACCACTATATATGGTCATAACATAAGAATAGTCAGAAATAGTTTCCAAATTGTGGAGAAGTCAGGTAGAGAGAAATGTAAATTTTGCTCACAGGAACATGCAATCCAATCACTCTAAACTGTAAATATCTCAAAAGAAAAAAAAGATGTTAATGTTTCTTTAACCAGAGCAACAGCCTTCCAAACAAGATGTTGTTTGTTTACCTTGGAACTGCAATTCACATGCAAAGACGTATTTATTGGGCACTGTAAAATCCAACAGCTCCTCACATAGGTACACAGTCAGTCTGAAGAGGAAAAAGAGGCTCCCTCTTTGTATGTTATCTTTGCATTCCCCAGGTAGCAGGTCCTATATGAACCATTTATATGTCATCACGGAACTCTTTTGGACACCATTATTTCCATTAGCTTCAGTTAACATCCCATAGCAAGCGTGTAATTGCCTCTGCTGTCAAAAAGGGTCAAACTCTGTAAACTAATCTCAGATATTTCTTCTGAGCCAAATATGAGTGACTAGTGGCCCCTAGCACAGGCCTCAGGAGATCCTGAGAACGTGTGCCCAGGGTTGTTGAGTTACAGATTGGCTTTATGCATTTTAGGGAGACATAAGACACCCCTCAATACATGTAAGATGGACATTGGTTCAGCCAGGAAAGGTGACACACCTCAAAGTGGGGGCTTGCAGGTCATAGATAGGTGCATAGATTTTCTCATTGGAAATTGGTAGAAAGAGTTCAGTTATTGTTACAGTAGGTAGCTAGTCAGGCATAAGCAGGGCAGGAAAGGCTCTCCCCAGCCCCACCAGGAATGTCAGGCGAGCATCAGGCGGTTATTAAACTGTCTCTCTAAAATAATAATTGGTCACAGTCAGCACCAGGGAAAGGCTGTCTCCCAGTAAATAGAAAACACCTAAAGCTGGTGGTTAGCAGCTTCCCAATACGATCTCAGGAAGTGAGTGAGTGGGCTCAAGCATGCACACTGAGAAGCAAAACGGTGGAGTTTAACTGGTCTATAACCTTCTAGGAACATTCAGCTGGTGAAGGAAGAACGCCTCAAGTGAGCATGCGTCCAACTCCAGTAAACACACTGCGCATGCTCCCCTCCCAAGTGCTGGCAGGCCACTGTGCATGTGGACAGCCCAACCCCAAGAGAAGACTCAGCGGAGAAGGGACACAAGACTCCAGAAGCATGCCAACCTATAAAACCCCAAGTCTGAAGGTCAACCGTACACTTGATCTCTTAGGTCAGCTACTTGGCCGTCTTCCAAGTGTACTTTCCTTCTTTTCATTCCTGCTCTAAAACTTTTTTTTTTTTTTTTTTGAGACGGAGTTTCACTATTATTGACCAGGCTGGGGTACAATAACATGATCTCGGCTCACTGCAACCTCTGCCTCCTGGGTTCAAGCGATTCTCCTGCCTCAGCTTCCCCAGTAGCTGGGATTACAGGCACGTGCCACCATGCCTGGCAAATTTTTTTGTATTTTTAGTAGACATAGGGTTTCACCATGTTAGCTAGGCTCGTCTCTAACTCCTGACCTCAGATGATCCTACCGCCTTGGCCTCCCAAAGTGCTGGAATTACAGGTGTGAGCCACCGTGCCCAGCCTCAATTTTTCTTAAACTTCTCCAATCTGAGGCAAATGAAGAAAATTGGCATGGGGCCCCTTAATGTTGGGGAACCAATTGGGGTTCCCTGTGGCCCACCCAACCTTTGATCATGTTGTAAAGTCTTTTGTTTTAACTCCATCAATTTTCCTTTTCTTTGTTTCATTTCTTAATAATTATCTAAGGATTCCAGCCTGGCCAACATTGTGAAACTTCGTCTCTAGTAAAAATACAAAAAAAAATTTGCTGGGCTTGGTGGCAGATGCCTGTAAACCCAGCTACTCGGGATGTTGAGGCAGGAGAATCGCTTGAACCTGGGAGGTGGGGTTGCAGTGAGTCGAGACGGCACCGTTGCATGTCAGCCTGGGCAATAAGAGTGAAACTCCATCTCGAAAAATAAAAAAATTAATAATAATAACAAAATAATTATCTAAAGATTTCCATCCTTCTGGCATGAGCCCTTTGACTCACTTTTCCCTTCCCTGTTTTTGTTTGTTAATTTATTAATTTTGTTTGTTAATTAGTGAAAGGAAACCAAAATCCCCAAGCCAAGGGGAAAACGCAAGCTGGGAACTGCATCAGAAAAACCTGCCTCCCATTTTCTCCTAAATAAGACAGCTATGAAGACAAAAACAAACAAACAAACAAACAAACAAAAAGCTACATACCTCTTTCATAATTTGCCCACAAAGAAATTTTTTGTGGACCTCAAGATCTTTACCCTAAAACAGTTCTGTTCAATTTCACCTTGGCTTATCTTCACAGATGTGGGTCAAAGGAGAGACAGAAGTGAAAGTCAGCCCTCTCTGCTCACCTGAGACAAATGTGTATCTGATAGATTCCCCTGCACTATTGTTTACGCAAACATGCAGATTCACTGAACAGGCATCAGCCACTATTCCTCTACCCACCACCCCCAACCCCCAACCCCCATCACATGTAAATTATGTAATCTTATCAAAGACTGAAAAGAATGTAAACTTTTGTGTCTTGTCCATCCATGACCTGGAATCCCCCACTTTGAGTCATTCTACCTTTTTGGACGGAACCAATGTACATGATACATGTATTGATTGATGTCTCATGTCTCCCTAAAATGTAGAAAACCAAGCTGTATGCAGACCACACTGGGCACATGTTCTCAGGATCTTCTGAAGTCTGTGTCATGGGCGGCCATAGTCACTCATATTTGGCTGAGAATAAATCTCTTAAAAAAATTTACAGTTTGTCTCTTCTCGTTGACACCCTAGTCTTTTGGTAGCATCTGTAAGACCCATGAGGGAAAGCTACAACTGCAAATTTGATAAGGTTTCTCAAACCACTGTTTGATTCTGCAAGAGTCATGTCACCTGGGGTGCTTTTGTAGAAGGGGACCCTTGAACCACAACATTTATAGAAA
The DNA here is from genome assembly GCF_000001405.40 of Homo sapiens. Classification (NCBI taxonomy): domain Eukaryota; kingdom Metazoa; phylum Chordata; class Mammalia; order Primates; family Hominidae; genus Homo; species Homo sapiens. The sequence continues at coordinate 12,301,764 of NC_000024.10, forward strand.
TAAAGCTTTCCTTTCCAAATTTATGAACTTCACAGTTCTTCAGCTAGCATCATTAATACACTGAGAATCTATTGTGAACCCAAAATATCTGAGACAGGTCTCAGTCAATTTAGACAGTTTCTTTTGCCAAGGTTGAGAATGTGCACCTGTGACACAGCCTCAGGAAGTCCTGACGATATGTGCCCAAGGTGTTCGGGGCACAGCTTGCTTTTATATATTTTAGGGAGACATGAGACACCAATCAATATGTGTAAGACATACATGGGTTCAGTTCAGTAATTCAGGACAACTTGAAGTGAGGGCTTTCAGATTAGAAGTAGACATGAGACAAAAGGTTACATATTCTTTTGAGTCCTTGATCAGCTTTCCACTGAATGCACAATTTAGGCTGGCTCCGTGAATCTGCACTTTTACATAAGCAATGGGGCAGAGGAAATTGTCAGTTAAGTATTTGTCTCGGGAGCCTTGGAAGGATGACTTTGAGTTCCATCTGTCCTTTGTCCACAAGGAATTTCCTTAAGCACAAATTGTGAGGGGGGTATGTAGCTTCTTATCTTTGTAGCTGTCTTGTTTAAGAATCAAATGGGAGGCAGTCTTGCCTGTTACGCTTGGCTCTCACTCTGTCTTTGCCTGCCACCATCCATGAAAGATATGACTTGTTCCTCTCTACCCTCCATCATGATCGTGAGGCTTCCCCAGTCACGTGGAACTGTAAGTCTAATTACCCCTCTTTCTTTTGTAAATTGCCCAATCTCAGGTATGTCTTTACCAGCGGCATGAAAATGGACTAATACATTGGGTAATGGGCATATTCAGCTGGCGAATATCCCGGTCATCATGAAGCCAATCCCACATGGCTTGCATATGAAGCACATCAGCTGCTTTATCTAGGGTGCTCCACTTTGCATTTTATAGGGAGGGCTGGGCAGTCCCCTTTTCAGGATAAACAGACCTTGTAGTGGTGTTTACCTAGTCCACCAGGCTGGCCATTTCCTCAGGAAAAACTTCCTGTGCATCTGGGCCCCATACACTCATCAGCAAGTGTTTAATAGTGAGTGAGCTGCAGGCCCTGCACCAGCCCAAACATGCTCTTGCTTTCTGTGGCATTTAAAAATTAAACATATCGGTGGGCAGAGTGGATCATGCCTGTAATCCCAGCACTTTGGGAGGCCAAGGTGGGCAGATCACCTGAGGTCAGGAGTTCAAGAGCAGTCTGGCCAACATGGTGAAATTCAATCTCTACCAAAAAATAGAAAAATTAGCCGGGCATGGTGGCGTGTGCCTGTAATCCCAGCTTCTCAGGAGGCTGAGGTGGGAGAATTACCTGAACCCAGGAGGTGGAGGTTGCAATGAGCTGAGATCATGCTGCTGCACCCCAGCCTGGGTGACAGAATGAGACCCTTTATCAAAAAAATAAATAAATAAATAAACATACTGTACTTAAAGTAGTCATTCTTACAACCCATTTTAAAAAAGGGAACTCAGGAAGCTGACGATACCAATCTAGAAGATGAACCAATTCCTTTTCAAGCTTGTCCAATCCACAGCCCACGGGCTGCACGTGGCTCAGGACAGCTTTGAATGTGGCCCTACACAAATTTGTAAACTTTCTGAAAATGTTATGAGATATTTTTTGCCTTTTTTTTCTCATCAGCTATCATCAGTGTTTATGTATTTTATGCATGGCCCGAGACAATTTTTCTTCCAATGTGGCCCAGGGAAGCCAAAAGATTGAACAGCCCTGTAAATACCCTCTGGGTTTAATAGCTACTTGGTTTTGCCCTTCCTCCACATGTCTATCTTCTTGGTAATCACAGGTCTCAGGGGTAACTATTGGTTGGCCTGGCTGAATTTTTCCTTTCGTAGGAAGCTTTGAGGTACTTGGCCTGATCTGAGACAAACCCACATCTGAGCTTGGTGCCGCCTTCACGCCCAAGCCAGCGCTCTTTTACTTTCATTTTAGCCACTACAGAGGCAGTAAGCAAGGGATTGAATAGTTCACTTTTTCCTTATTAATTTGCATTTCCTTTACATCCAGTGAACTAAATTCCCTGGGAGTATGAGTAAGATCCATCTCTAAATTCCTCTGGTGGCTCTGACCTTTAGTGACTGAAGGCAAGTCAGCTGCATCTCCTTACTGATAGAAGAACTAGAAAGAAACGATTCAAGCAGATAGTGAGGGTAAAAGAGTCCTTGGCAGAATTTCCCTTTTAACAAAAAGCAGCCCCCACATCATTTCTTCTTTAACAAAGAGCAGGGTGGAAAATCAAGCTGCAGGCATAGATAAGCAAGCTGGAAGCTTGCACAGGTAAATGCAGGCAGCTATGCCAATGGAAAAGTGCTACCTGGGGGCCAGGCACGTTCAACATGGAGGCTCCACCTTCCCTTTTCTTTGTCACAATGTGTACAGTAAAAAACCAGAGGCCAGGTGTGGTGGCTTATGCCTGCAATTCCAGCACTTTGGGAGGCCAAGGCAGGTGGATCATCTGAGGTTAGGAGTTTGAGACCAGCCTGGCCAACATGGTGAAACCCCGTCTCCACTTAAAATATACAAAAATTAGTCTGGCGTGGTGGTACACACCTGTAATCCCAGCTACTCTGGAGGCTGAGGCAGGAGAATCACTTGAACTAAGGAGGCAGAGGTTGCAGTGAGCTGAGATTACACCACTGCACCCCAGCCTGGGCAACAAGAGCGAAACTCCATCTCAAAAAAAAAAAAAAAGAAAGAAAGAAAAAAGGCAACATGGCACTAGCCAGGTAGAGAGTCCGTCTGCATAAGAAAAGAATAGGTTCTGAGGTGGGCAGATCACCTGACGTCAGGAGTTTGAGACCAGCCTGACCAACATGGAGAAACCCCAGCTCTACTAAAAATACGAAATTAGCCAGTCGTGGTAGTGGGCACCTGTAATCCCAGCTACTTGGGAGCCCAGGCAGTAGAATCACTTGAACCCAGGAGGCAGAGGTTGCAGTGAGCCAAGATCACGCCATTGCACTCCAGCCTGTGCAACAAGAGTAAAATTCCATCTCAAAAAAAATAGGCCAGCTTTTCTTGCCCTATACAGATGACACACCTAGTCCTAACCAGTTTTATGTGCCCCATGCAAACGGTACACCTGATCCAACCAATCTTTTGCATCCTATGTAAATCATACACCACCTCCTCAAGCTCATCTATAAAACTTGCTGCATGCCAGCACAGAAGCAGCAACCCACTTCTCCAGACTCTGCTCTGCTGCAGATAGCTCTTCTCTTTCTTTTGCCTATTAAACTTCTGCTCTCAACCTCACTCTGTGTGTCCACGTCCTCATTTTCTGTGGCCATGAGACAATGAATCTCGGTTATTTACCCCAGACAATGAGGCTGCTTTATTACCATGTGTGACCAGGTGGCCACCCAAAAATCAAAGGTGTGGTGGTGGGCACCTATAGTACCACCTACTTGGGAGGCTGAGGCAGGAGAATGGTGTGAACCTGGGAGGTGGAGCTTGCAGTGAGCTGAGATTGTGCCACTGCACTCCAGCCTGTGTGAGAGCAAGACTCCATCTCAAAAATATATATATATATATTTATGTATATATATGTACACATATATTTGCATGCACATAAACACATCTAAACACGCATGCACACTCATAGAAAGATCCTACAGCTTTTACTTCAGAACTCTAGCAAGAGATGTCAACACAAACTTACCAGTTTATACAAACAAAAAGGCTGGATCCCAACAGTGACTTTTATCTTAACAGCAGTAGAAAAGTAACAAAAGGGCAAGAAGCAGTGTTTCATGCCAGTAATCCCAGCACTTTGTGAGGCTGAGGCAGGCGGATCACTTGAGGTCAGGAGTTAAAACCAGCCTGGTCAACATGGTGAATCCTGTCTCTACTAAAAACACACTGTGTGTCACTACTGAGTCATTCTACCCTTTTACATGTGAACCCAGGAGGTGGAGTTTGCAGCAAGCGGAGATCATGCCACTGCCCTCCAGCCTAGGTGACAGAGCCAGACTTTGTCTCAAAAAAATATTTTTTTTGAAGAGAGTTTTTCATTTAACCAATGGTTCACAACACCGCCCGAAGAAGGTCCTGAGAACAAGTGCCCAAGGTGGTTGCGTTACAGCTTGTTTTTACACAATTTAAGGGGACAGGAGACATCAATTAATACATGTCACATGTACATTGGCTTAGTTCAGAAAGGTGGCATTCAAAGTGGAATGGAATCCAGGTTGTAGGTGGATTCCAAGATTTTCTGATTAAAGACCTGTAATCAATAGAAAGGAAATATCTGGGTGAGGATAAGGGGTTGTGGAGACCAAGATTTTTATTATGCACATGTAGCCTGCAGTTAGCAGGCTTCAGAGAAACTGGATAGTAAATGTTTCTTCTTAGACTTAAAATGGTGCTAAACTCTTGCTTAACCTTTCCTGGATCAGAAAAAATAATAATATTACAGTGGAGAACACCAACAGACACCACTTAATCCAGGTGATCAAATTTAACATCACCAGGACAGGACATAAAGACATCATGCACTCCATAACATGACACACTGAAAACTTACATCAATTCTGATGATTTTTTTGCCAAAAATGCATAACCTCAGTCTAATCATGAGAAAACACTGGACAAAACCAAACTGAAGGCTGGGCACAGTGGCTCAAGCCTGTACTCCCAGCACTTTGGGAGGGTGAGACAGGTGGATCACCAGAGGTCAGGAGTTCGAGATGAGCCTGGCCAACAAAGTGAAACCCCATCTCTACTAAAAATACAAAAATTAGGCAGGTGCAGTGGCAGGTACCTCTAATCCCAGCTACTCTGGAGACTAAGGCATGAGGACAGCTTGAACCTGGGAGGCAGAGGTTGCAATGAGCCAAGATCACACCACTGCACTCTAGCCTGGGGGATAGAAAGAGAGTCTGTCTTAAAAAAAAAAAACAAAAAAAAAAAACTGAGGCGTAATCTATAAAATAATTGACCATTACCTAGATTGGATAGTGGAACAGAATAATATCACATGCATCCATTTATTTTCAACATTTTTTTTTTGGTTTTTAACTAACCTGCCTCCTACACTACTGTATGTCTGGATTTTATGTTTATTTTCCCATTCAGAAAGTCTACTTTTTTAAAAAGGAATTTTAATCCATTCATGTTTATTATGATCACTGTTATATTTGGATTGAGTCCTGCAGCTTTGTTTCACATTGTTTTCCCTTTTTTACATATATCGGATTTTCTGCTTCTTTGGTGTAATTCTTTCCCACCCACCTCTGATTTCATGAAACAAGTTTTCTTCAATCCACGCATTTCCCATTAAGGCTCTGAAACTTGTAGACATCTTTTCTAGTTTTCTGGAGGTAATGCCCTTTCAACTGTCAGCACACATATTTAAGCTTATATTTTCTATCAAATATAAAGATAGTCATTATCTATGTCTTCTTCCCAGATGAAACAAAAACATGAACATATGCTCATTCTCTCTTTCTTCTCTGCTCTTTCAATTACCTCACGTGTGAAATGTTAATTCCAGATTATTTTCACAACTGTGCACTAACACATTCAGACATAACTCTGTTTTATACATTTATTTATTCAGCACTGCTTCCTGTGTACTCTCTTCTTTTTATTGTTAGTAGTGGTAGTAGTAGTAGTAGTATTTTGAGACAGGGTCTTGCTCTGTCACCCAGGCTGGAGTGCAGCATCAATCTCCTGGGCTCAAGTGATCCTCCCACCTCAGCCTCATGACTAGTTGGGACTACAGGCATGTGCCACTACACTCAGCAATTTTAAACAAATTTTTAGTAGAGATAAGAGCTCACTATGTTGTCCAGGCTGGTCTTGAACTCCTGGACCCAAGCGATCCTCCAACCTCAGCCTCCCAAAATGCTATGGTTACAGGCATGAGCCACTGTGCTTGGCTACTCTTGCCTTTCTTAGATTACATTCCATTTTGCTGGAGTCAATCAACTAACTTTTTCCTCAAAGGTCTTTGAGGGATAACATTTTTGAGCATTTGCAAATTTGAAACACCCTGTAAAGACCAAAAATGGCACATTCATTTCTTCAGCCTCTCCATACCTAAGGTGATATGGTTTGGCTGTGTCCCCACCTAAAGCTCATCTTCAGTGGTACCTCCCATAATTGCCACGTGTTGTGGGAGGAACCTAGTGAAAGATAATTGAATCATGGGGGTGGTTTCCCAATACTGTTCTCATGGTAATGAGTAAGCCTTATGAGATCTGATGGTTTTATAAGAGGTTTCCCCTTTCACTTGGCTCTTTTTTCTCTCTTGCCTGCCACCATGTGAGACATGTCTTTTCCCTTCTGCCATGATTGTGAGGCCTCCCCAGTGATGTGGAACTGTGAGTCCATTAAACCTCTTTCCTTTATAAGTTACCGAGTCTTGGGCATGTCTTTATCAGCCGCATGAGACTAATACCTGAGGAATATGTTCCTTCTGGCAAACATGCAGGGCAGCAAACACAAGGGCGCTCTGGGGCTATTTCTTACATCTCCCTCCTACCACCTTAACAATTCTCCAAAATATTGCCGTGAGTTTTGGAAAATATAATAATGAAGGAAGTGTTTGCCCCCATCAACGCATTGCCAGCTCTCTGGCAAAACCACAAATCCCAGAAAATCTCTTCTCAGACATCTTCCAGAACTCACGTCTTTAAGGTTAATGGTAGGAGGCTTCCCATGTGGGAACGTCGCTGATGAAGACTCTGTCTGTCCTTCACTCTCTCTCAATTCCCACAGTCCTCTGAATATGTGGCTTTTCATGTCCCAGCATGGGATGATAGACAGATCAGGGCAGATGGTTTGAGTAAGACTCCTACTTCAGCTACCTCATGTTTCTTATACATTCATTGACACCTCTTATTTTGTCAGCATTTTATTTTTATTTTTAATTGACAAATTTTATATATATATATATATATATATATATATGGTGTAACATGGAATGCTTTGATATATGTTCGCAATGTGAAATGATTACATTAGGCAAGTTAATAAATCTATCCCCTCCCAGGAGCAATAAGTTTAGTGATCTATTGCATGGAATGATGACCATAATAAGTAATAATGCATGGTATATTTTAATGACCACTTCTTCCTAATCTAAGTTCTGGGTTAAGAAAATTCAACCTCAGTCTTTCTTGTAATAAAATAAAATTACTGTCATCTTAAAGTGCTCGTTCCAGCCTCTTCTGAGTGTTTTAGCATATTTATCTATTTAATCTTTGCAGCAACTCTATGAAGCATTTGCTATTGTAGTCATTTTAAAGTTGAGACACTGCATACAAAGAAGTTAAGTGACACTTATTTTTCCCTAGCCAACAAATAGAACGAACTTGAAAAGCAGACATTCAGTTTTAGAGTCTGCATGTTTCACCATCAGTTTTTATTTCTCTAAAAATGCTGAATTGTGGAGGACAGATTGGGTACTTTGACTCTCTAAAATGGACATGTTTTGTTGGTACATATGTACCCTCATATCCCCTGGATTAACATAAAACAAACCGAGTCTTTTCCTTATGGCCATTTCCTCCTAATGGCTGAAGAAAACATCAATGACAAGTCTCTAGCAAGAACACCTGCGCCACGCTTGAATGATGAAACGAGTAGTTGAGAAATGTTTGTCTAGCGCCTCCTAGTGGCACATTAGTGAAGTGGGGGCATAATTTATTGGTTCATTCAGGTCAAAGTCTGCAGTGTCCCTACAATGTAAAGAGGGATAAGAAATAGCAGAATCGGGGTTGGCGCGGTAGCTCATGACTGCACTCCCAGCAGTTGGGGAGGCAGAGGCGGGTGCATTGCATGAGGTCAGGAGTTCGAGACTACCCTGGCCAACAGAGCAAAACCCTGTCTCTACTAAAAATACAAAAAAGTAGCTGGGTGTAGTGGCAAGCGCCAGTAATCCCACCTACTCGGGAGGCTGAGGCAGGAGAATCGCTTGATCCCAGAAGGCAGAGGTTGCAGTGAGTCAAGATCATGCCATTGCACTCAAGCCTGGGCAACAAGAAGGAAACTCCATCTCAAAAAAAAAGCAGGGGGTTGGGGGGAGAAAAGAAATAGCAAAATCGGGCTGGGCACTGCGGCTCTACTCCTGTAATCCCAGCACTTTGGGAGGTCGAGTCGGCGGATCATGTGACATCAGAAGTTCTAGACCAGCCTGGCCAACATGGTGAAACCCTGTCTCTACTAAAAATACAAAAATTAGCCAGGCATGGTAGTGTGTGTGCCTGTTATCCCAGCTACTGTGGTGGCTGAGGCAGCAGAATCGCTTGAATCCGGGAGACAGAGGTTGCAGTGAGCCGAGAATGCACCACTGCAGAATCGAATAAAGAAAAAATGATGGATTTGGGATGATGTAGGGATTTGTTAGCTGCATGCTGTCTCTCTGTCTCTTTCTCTCTCTCTCTCTCTCCACACACACACACAATTTGAGAACAGCATTAAACACAAGTAATCCAGGGGAGCTCTGAGTGAAATAAGTAAACTTCAAACTTCAAAAATTGCAAAAGATGTTGTTATTGCATTTGCTTGTTAGGTTGTTTTTTAGAGTTTTGTTTTGTTTTTAAGACAGGGTCTCCCACTGCACTCCAGCCTGGGTGACAGAGCAAGATTCCATCTCAAAAGAAAAAATTAAGTATGGTAAAATAACACATAACCAAATTTGCCATTTTAAATCATGTTTAAGTGCACATATTAGTGATACTAAGAACATTCATCGTTGCTGGCACGGTGGCTCCTGCCTGTAATCCCAGCACTTTGGGAGGCTGATGTGGGTGGATCATTTGATGTCAGGAGTTCGAGACCAGTCTTGCCAACATGGTGAACTCCTGCCTGTACTAAAAATACAAAAATTAGCTGGGTGTAGTGCTGTGTGCCTGTAATCCCAGCTACTCAGGAGGCTGAGACAGGAGAATCACTTGAACACAGGAGGCAGAGGTTGTCGTGAGCTGAGATGACACCACTGCACTCCAGCCTGGTTGACGGAGTAAGACTCTATCTCAAAATATAAAGTATAATAAAATAAAGAACATTCATTGTTGGCCACACGTGGTGGCTCACACCTGTAATCCCAGCAGTTTGGGAGGCCGAGGCAGGAGAATTTCTTGAGCCCAGGAATGGTGAGAACAAGAAGCAGAAGCAGACAAAGGACCAAATTGAGACTAGCTAAAACATGGAAGCAGCATTCCATAAGACATGCTCAATAGCATGCCTTGTCAGTTTACCATTGCCATGGCAACATCTGGGAGTAACTGGCCTCTTCTATGGCAATGACCTGAGCACTCAGAAGTTACCACCCTTTTCGTAGAAATTTCTGCATAAACTGCGCATTAATCTACACGCAATTAAAAGTCGGTATAAATATTACTGCAGTAGTGCCCTGACCCCTGCTCTCTGCAGGGGTAGTCACACTACCACCTCCATAAAGCTGTCTCTTCCACCACTGGCTCACTCTTGAGTTCTTTCCTGAGGGAAGCCAAGACCTCTCCCAGGCTAAGCCCCAATTTGGGACTCACTTGCCCTGTTTCCATCTGTAGATCTTCTCTTTGTCTTTTGTAGTCTGCAGTCACACATGCTTCAAATTTTGGATTTATATTTGTTTATTCTGCTTAGAATTACTTCCTATGCGTATTGCCAAATGCCTTTCTTCAATTAAATAACAGTTTTAGCCATGTTTCTTTATTTTTTTCTTAAATGTTGACTCTTCACCATTTTTTCTTATTTTATGTTTAAGGAATGACAATTAAACTGCAATTGATGATGCTTACAACAACATTTGTAATAATATTTATTGACTGCTTATTCTACACAAGGCAATTTCACATTAATTAATGCATGTAATCCTCATAGCTTCTCTGTAAAGTAGACACTGGTTTTCCTCATTTTACACATGAAGAAACCAAATCACAGGAACATCTCCATGATGATATTGGAACAGGAATTAAAAGAAATTAAAGAGTGTGTAAGCAAAAACTCAGTTGTTTGTAGGAAAACCCAATTTCCCCTGAGGAAGAGAAAGAGCTGGAGTCCTTTAAAATTAACTGGCTGTTTTTCTGTCTGTGGCTAGTGAGCCTTCTCTCTCCCTTTCCAGGCATTGTGAAGATGCTGCTTCTCTAGCTGAGCAGCTGCAAAGTCACTGGATGGATAATCTCAAGTCATAAAACATGTTGTTTCTTGAAAAGTAAGAAATTATGTAATGCATGTCTTAATTGAGTAACTGTCTTTGTTTCTCACTTCTGTAATATGCTTCCCCCTGCACAGATCTCCCCCTGCCCCCAGAAAATGCTTAAAAGGAGCTTGAATCTTTGTTTGAGGCTCAGTCCTTTGGATGTTAATCTCACTGGGTCGGTGCACCTAAATAATTAAATAACTCCTCCTCAACCCCTCAGTCTCTCCGATTCCTTAATTATCCCACTGCATTTCTGGTGGCCCAGATGGGGGTTGGAGATGAAAGATTTACTGTCTCCTTTTCCTGTGGGACTAGAGCCCCAGGGCCTGGAAGACCCAGCATCTAAGGTGTGCCACGGGGGAGCTTCACCCAGATGGAAACCACCTTTCCTGGCATTCTAGCGCCCTGCCCAGCAGTGCAACAGGACCAGGGATGGAGCTGCAGGACAATACCAGCACTTCAGGAACCGCGGTAAGGAGTAAGAGCTCAAGGCGGGAAAGCCCATCCTATCCCATAGGGACAAAGAGGAGCTTGATCACCTCCTGGGGACCGATCACAAATCCAACCAAGAGTGGCTGGGGGTAGCAGGAGTGGCCTGCCAATTTGGATGAACCTCATGTCCCCCTAACAAGTAAAGTATTTCACTGGTGGAGAAAATGGGCCGATAGAGCGGCGAGTAAGAACTTGGAGCTTCCTTCCTTGCAGGAAGCTTCCTTCCTTGCAGGTAGCTTCCTTCCTTGCAGGAAGACCTTGCTGGCAGGGTGGCAAGAGTGATTTGCCACCCCAAGTGGGAGTGCATGGGTGTATGTGGACCTACCCAGGACATGAGAGATGCTCTTTTCGTCCAATGAGGAGTCCTGGGGTAGGCATGATGTCTGTATGTGTATGAATGTGGGAGCCTAACCAGGCTCACCTGGGACACGGGAGAGGCCTGTTTTGCCCGATGAGGAGTCCTGGGGCAGGAAAGGTGTGTGAAAGAGATGGTCTCCATAGAGGCCAATGTGGGGAGTAACGTGGGGAGGCACAGATCCCTTGGCATGGGCTATGTGCTCCGAGGCAAGTGCAGGGGAAACCAGACCTAGGACATTTTATGTGGCTGACAGGACCAGCTCCATGGCTGCGGTAGGCTGTGAGAGTGGAAGGCACATTCCTGGCTAAGCAGCGTCCAAAACTCCTGTAATAGCACCCAGTCTGGTGAACCTGAGAGTGAAAGTGCATTACAAAGGAGGAAATGGGAGGAAAAGCGTCGAAACTGACTCCTTTTGAGTGCATGATAAAGAGTTTTAAAACAGGATTTACAGGTGATTATGGGATGAAACTGGATGCTCAAAAGTTAAGGACATACTGTGAGATAAATTGGCCTGCTTTTAATGTGGGGTGGCCCTCTGAAGGTACAATAGAAAGGGAATTAATTGGCAGTGTGTTTAAGGTGGCCACTGGAGTTGGAGGACAATCAGGATATCCAGACCAGAGTCCCTAAATAGACTCTTGGCTCAGTGTGGCACAAACTTGCCCCAAGTGGCTACAGCCCTGCCTAGAAGGATAGTGCAAGGTATTAATGGCTCAGGCAGCCCAACCAAAGGAAGCAGAGGAACCTAAAGCCCCTAGAGTCTCTCAAGAAAAGGAGTCCCTGAAGCCTCAGCTGAAACTACTTCTTCAGTTTCCACCTGAGGAAAGGGAATTTCCGCCCCCATATATGCCGCCAGTCTACCTGTCTTTGGCCAGTATAAGGCAGGAGGCAGAGTCAGGAGCATCCACAGAGTCAGGCTGAGAGGAAAGTGAGGCCCAGTCTCCCCCAACCCCAGAGGAACAAAAGCCTCCCTTAGAAAAAAACCAGGAAGATGGACAGAGCAAGGCAGCTGGGTGCCTCCGCTCAGGCTGACCACAGGCTTTGCAGATGCCACTTCGAGAGAACAGGACACAAGTTTATGATGACCAAGGGCAGATACAAGGAGGCTCTAGGCTTTATGTTTATCAGCCTTTCTCCACTACTGATCTCTTAAATTGGAAACAGCATGCCCCCTTGTATGCAGAAAAGCCTCAGGCTGTCATTGATTTGGTGAATTCTATTATTATAACACAAAACCCAACCTGGCCAGATTGTCAACTACTTTTGCTAACTTTAATACAGAGGAGCATAGGAGAGTTAATCAGGCAGCTCTCAGCTGGTTAGAAGGGGAAGCCCCAGAGGCCACCCGTAACCCATGCCAGTTCTCCGTGGAGCGATACCCAAATGAGGACCCTAACTGGGACCCAAATGAGGCTGGGGACATGGAACAGCTGCATTATATAGAAGGGCACTCCTGAACAGGATAAAAGCAGGAGGAAGGAAGGCATTGAATATCCATAACATATCAGAAGTGGGCCAAAAGCCTGATGAAAGCCGCAGTGCATTCTATGAAAGGCTTTGTGAGGCATAGAGGCTGTACACTCCAATTATTCCAGAGGCTCCTGAAAACCAAAATATGATAAATATGACCTTTGTCAGGCAAGCTCAGGGAGACATAATATGAAAGCTTCAGAAGTTGGAAGGCTTTTCAGGGAAAAATATTAGTAAACTCCTGGAAATAGCAAACAAAGTATTAAAAAACTGGGAAGAAGAGGCAGAGAAAAAGGAAGAAAGAAAAACGAGAAATAGAAACAAAGAGACAGCTCAATTTCTGCTGCACTAGCAGAAAGTAACCCTGGACTTGTTAGAGGGTGAGGCCGAGGCAGAGGCCAAGGAACAGGGCAGACAAGACCCAGAGATGAAAGCCAGTCCCAGTTGGACAGGAATCAATGTGAAAGGTGCAGGCAAATGGGCCACTGGAAAGATGAGTGCCCTGAAAAGGAAAAGGATGATGATGGTCAGTGGTCTAACACCCAAGTGCGGTGTTAGGTTGCTAGCAGTGGTACTTCCAAGGCAGATCCCGATCTGATCGGCTTGGCAGGGGCTGAGAATTTAGAGGACTCAGACAGACCAGGCTCCATCCTTTTAGGCCTTGTGGAGCCTATGGTCTCTATGGAAGTAGGGGGCCGATTAATGAATGGATTTTTTGGTCAATACTGGTGCTGATTTCTCTGTGGTAACTCACCCAATTAGCCCCTCCTCAAAGAACTGTGCTACTATCGTAGGGGCCACAGAGGCCAAAGAAAAGAGACCTTTTCGCAATTCCAGGAGACACGTTATTGAGGGATAAGAAGTGCAGCATGGTTTCTATATAAGCCAAATTGCCCAGTGCCTTTGTAAGGGAGAGACTTACTCCAGAAACTGCAGGCACAAATTTCCTTTACACCTGAAGGGAATACGACACCGGAATTTGGAAAGTCTAAGGCAATGGTATTGATTCTAACTGTCCCAGAGGCTGAGGAATGGCAGCTCTCTGAACTGTGTGCCAGAAGGATACCGGAGCTGGACCTACACAGTATGTAGGGAATGCTTTTCAAGGTTCCAGGTGTATGGGCTGAGGACAATCCTCCTGGACTTGCTGTAAACAGACACCCAGTGGTAATAGAGCTTAACACTCATGCTGCCCTGGTATGAGTCTGTCAATACCCCCTACCCAAAGAGGTAATTGAAGGCATAACACAACATCTAAATCGGCTCTATGAACAAGGGATTATAGTAAAATGCAAGTCCTCTTGGAATACTCCTCTGCAGCCTGTGCACAAGCCAAATGGTGAATACAGGCCAGTGCAGGACTTCTGGGTGGCAAACAAGGCCACTGTCACTATCTATGCCATAGTACCCAACCCATACACCATGTTAGGACAGATTCCTGCTGAGGCCATGTGGTTCATGTGTCTAGACTTAAAGGATGTTTTCTTTGCTTGAGACTTGCTCCCCAAAGTCAGCCTATATTTGCCTTCCAGTGGGGGCAATTGTAATATACCTGGACAAGACTGCCACAAGGATTTAAGAATTCTCCCATTATCTTTGAGGACGCTTTGGCTACCAACCTTGAAGCTTTTGCACCATTTAGTGACAATTCTGTGGTATTACAATACATTCATGATTTGCTATTCGCTGCCCCCAGGAGGGAGGAATATCTCCAAGGAATAGAGAGGCTTCTTCACCTGCTGTGTGAAGCTGGTTACAAAGTGTCCAAGGACAAGGCAAAAGTCTGTTTTCTGGAGGTTGGATATCTAGGATTCATGGTATCCCAAAGCCTGCACAGGCTTGGAAGTGCATGCAAGGAGGCTTTATGTGCATTGCCCACCTCAGTTACAAGGCAGCAGGTCAGGGAATTTCTGGGTGCAGTGAGATTGTGCCAAATCTGGATTCCAAACTTCTCCCTTATAGCAAGGCCCTTATTTGAGGCTAGCAAAGGAAAGGAAAGAGAGCCCCTCCTATGGGAAAAAGAATAGGAAAAGGCCTTCAAGGATATAAAGGAAGCTCTCATCCAGGCCCCAGCACTAGGGTTGCCAGATGTTAAAAAACCCTTCTTTTTGTATGTGGATGAATGAAAGGGAATGTTATTTGGAGTCTTAACTCAGTTGTTAGGCTCTTGGTATCAGCCAGTAGCATACTTTTATCCAAGAGACTGGACTTGGTGGCCTTAGGTTGGCCCATTGCCTCAGGGCACTGGCAGCTACTGCGATCCTTATAGAAGATGCCAACAAGCTAGCCCTAGGTCAGAAGATAATATTCCGGGTGCCACACACTGTAGTCACCTTAATGGGGCAAAGAGGACGTCGTTGGCTGTCCCACTCTAGAATGCTAAAGTATCAAGTGCTTCTGTGTGAGAATCTGCGGGTAACACTACAGACTAAATGCCTTGAACCCAACTACCCTGCTGCCTGTGGAGGAACCCAATTGGAAACATGGTGGGTTGCCTCAATGCTGGCAGGACCTTCCCCACTGTTGCATAAATATGGTGGATGAAGTGTTCTTGAGCTGGGAAGATCTCAGAGATACCCGCTTGGAGAGCCCAGATGTTGAATACTTCACTGATGGTAGCAGTTTCATAACAGATGGGGTGTGATATGCAGGGTATAAAGTAGTAACACAACACTCGGTAGTTGAGGCTCAAGCCTTAACTTCTGGGACTTCCGCTCAGAGGGCTGAATTAATAGCATTAACTAGAGCACTGTTATTGGCCAAGAGGAAGAAAGTAAGTATATATACTGACTCAAGATATGTTTTTGCAACCCTACACGACCATGGGGCAATATAAAAAGAGAGAGGACTATTGACTACTGAAGGAAATGATATAAAAAATAAAGAAGAAATTTTGCAATTAATAGAAGACATATGGGCTCCAGAGAAGGTGGCTGTCATTCATTGCAAAGGGCACTAAATCAGGAAAGGCTATGAGGCACAGGGCAACAGATAGGCAGACCAAGAGGCTCAGCAGGCAGCAATGAGCAAGGTTTTACCTGAAGAAAGAACTCCAGCAATGCCTCTCCTTATAGAGCCCCCTTTACTTGAGGTACCCAATTACTCTTTAAGTGAAAAAGCTTGGTTTCATCACGAAACAGGAAACATATATTAAAGATAGTTGGTGGCTGTTCTCTGACGGGAGGCTAGCCATCCCTGAAACAATAGCCCCAAGGTTTGTGAAGCAGATCCATCAAGGAACACACATTGGAAGGACGGCCCTAGAGATTTTGATAGGTCAGCATTTCTATGTACCATGGCTGTCTGCAATCACCCATGCTGTTTGTGAACAATGTCTATCCTGTGCCTAGAATAATCCAAGACAAGAACCTACTTGATCCCCTGGAATACAGGAAGTGGGAGCTGTGCCTTGTGAGAACCTGCTTATAGACTTTACCAAGTTACCTCAAGCAGGAGGTTACTGGTATATGCTAGTGTTTGTTTGCACCTTCTTGGGATGTGTTGAGGCCTTCCCAACCAGGAATGAAAAGGCACGAGAGGTGACAAAGGTAATATTAAAAGACATCATACCAAGATTTAGGTTGACTTTAATCCTAGGATCAGACAATGTCCTGCATTTGTGGCAGAGTTAGTACAACAGTTGACTTAACTTTTAAAGATCAAATGGAAACAGCATACAGCCTCCTCACCACAGAGATTAGGGAAGGTGAAACAGATGAAACAGACACTCAAACAGCTACTAAAAAAGTTTTGCCAGGAAACTCACTTACAATGGGATCAGGTCTTGCCCATGGTCCTCCTCCAGGTCAGGTGTACACCTACAAAACAAACTAGGTATTTGTCCTATGACATATTGCTCAGAAGGCCATCCCCAATCATTATCAAATTAGAGGTGATTTAAAGGAGGTAGGAGAGTTAACACTTAAGAGACAGATGCAGGCTTTAGGAGTGGCAATGAAGGAGGTGCAAAGCTAGGTAAGAGAAAGGATACCTATAAGTCTAACAGACCTAGTGCATCCACATAAGCCAGGGGACTCTGTCTGGGTTAAAAGGTGGAATCCAACAACCTGGGGACCCTTAAGGGATGGGCCCCATATTGTAATCATGTCTACTCCCACTGCTCTTAAAGTTGCAGGTGTCACACCTTGGATTCACCATAGCTGGCTGAAACCAGCAGCAGCAGTGACTCCGATGAAACCAGTGGATTAGCCAACAAGACTCAGATCGCCCCACCTGAATAGTCCTACGGCAAAACCCAACCATTGGTAAGAAGGACAACTGTCCTGCTCCAACCACACCAGAGGCTGGTCAGTCTACGCATGGCTGAAGCTTGAAGATCCTGCAAGCTCTGCTCTAGTCACGTCCAGGGAGCTAACTAGTGAATGCACAGCCGAAGCTAAAGGTCATCTCTGTATAAGTAAATTTGGATACAATTCATAACCCTAGTTATAATTCTGTTAATACTGATTGTTCTGTTGTTACATTACCACTGCAAATGCTGCCAATGTCTATGCCCAGAGGGAGGTTTGCCATGTCCATGTGCAGTGTAAGCATGTTTCTATTACATACACTGATGTTGTTATCATTTCTGCCTATATTAAAAGGGGAGGAATCTCTAGAAAGATGCCCACACTGTGTACATACTACCTGGGTAAGGAATACCTTAGTTAAAACTCTACTGTACCATACCTACAGTACAGGAACCAAGTTAGGAACCTGCGCATACAACCAGATCACCTCTTCAGTCTGTGACCCAGGAAATAATCAGCTGCATGCATGTCATGACCCTAAGCGCTTACCCTATGAATTCTGGTTTGAGGTACACATTAACAGAAGGAGAAAAAGAAGGAGAGCTAATAGCTTGAATCAAAGAAGGCCCTCCATCCTACAAAAGATCTACTTCTTTGTACTTTGATGCCTGTCATGCCACATATGTTTATAATCCTGTAAAACCAAAAGCAGTCTGCAATGGTTTAACACAAGACAGGATTAGCAACAGCAGCCCTAAACATCTGTACTGAGAACCACAAATTGGATGCCCAGACTGTAACATTCTGTGGTCTATGCTAACACAGCTCCAACACTTATATTCAGGAAGGACTGCTCTGCTAAGTAGTATGTCAGCCAAACCAAATTGTAAGACAAGGACATGCAGTCCTTTAAATTTTACTATCATATAGCCAGAGCTACCTTTCTGGTCTACAGGACAGACAGCAGCATTATGAGTTGATAGACAAGGAGCAGGCCTTGGAGTTCCACTACTAATTGTCAAAAAGACTAGAAGGACTCAAATGTGTCCAACCCTGCAATTCTGGGTCCATAAGTCATTCTGTAAGCATTTTGATCAGTCAGTGCCTGAGCTTCCCCTATCAACCAAAAACTTATTTGCTCAACTAGCTGAAAACATAGCTGGCAGCTTAGGAATTTCCTCATGCTATGTAAGTGAAGGAACTCATATGGGGGACCAGCGGCAATGGGAGGCAAAGGAATTAATGCCACAACATAAATTCACTTTGCCTAATCCTGCCAGTGAACCAACAGCCTCAGCTAGTGTTTGGTTGTTAAAAACCTCCATAATTGGAAAGTACTGTATCGCCTGTTGGGGAAAGGCTTTCACAGAGGCAATGGGAAAAACAATAAGCCTAGGGCAACAGTATTATGATGAGAGTAAAAACAAAACTCTACGGAGAAACTCCCAGAACGACTCCTAGTTACCAGATCCAAATGCTTTCTCTTGATTCTCTACCCTAAGCCACTCTTGGCATCAGCTAAAGATTCCAAATGCTTGGAAAGCACCCTCTGGCCTATATTGGGTCTGTGGAGCATGGGCATATCGGCAACTGCTGGCTAAATGGACAGGGGCATGTGTGTTAGAAACAATCAAGCCATCCCTCTTTTTAATTCCTCTAAAGCAAGGGGAACTCTTAGGGTATCCAGTTTATGATGAAAATAAAAGAACTAGAAAAAGCATAATGACAAAAATAGACACAAATGTCAAAAAGGATGCAGACATAGGAGACTGGAAGGATAATGAATGGCCTCCTGAAAGAATCATTAAATAGTATGGGCCCGCTATCTGAGCGCAAGTTGGGTCATGGGAATACCGCACCCCAATCTATATGCTCAACCGCATCATAAGGTTGCAGGCAGTCCTTGAAATAATAACCAATGAAATGTCAAGGAAACTAGATTTATTGATAACACAAGCAACACAAATGAGAAATGCTACATATCAGAATAGATTGGCTTTAGATTACCTCTTAGCCTCAGAAGGAGGAGTATGTGGAAAATTTAATTTAACCAGTTGTTGCCTAGAAATGGATGATAATGGCCAAGCTCTAATGGAAACCACAGCTAGAATGTCCAAGTTGGCCCATGTTCCAGTTCAGACTTGGTCTGGATGGTCCCTGGATTCCTTGTTTGGAGGATGGTTCTCAATGTTTGGGGGATTCAAAACCCTCATTGGTGGGTTTTTGTTTATTCTTGGCATCTGCCTCATCCTCCCTTGCCTTTTACCCCTGTATATTAGGAGTATTTGTCAACTATAGAGGCAGTAGTAACCCGAAACACTACCATGCTATTGACGGCATTAACCAAATATCAGCCACTGCCAATAAAAGAAACAGCTCAGCTCCGGGAAGAGATGGCAAATAGTGGTGCTTTCTATTAACATCTTTGTTTTAAAAAGCACCAAATGGGGGAAATGGAAGAGGAATTGAAAGAAATTAAAGAACGTGTAAGCAAAAACTCAGTCGTATATAAGAAAACCCAGTTCCCCCTGAGGAAGAGAAAGAGCTGGAGTCCTTTAAAATTAACTGCCTGTTTTTCTGTGGCTAGTGAGCCTTATCTCTCCCTTTCCCAGGTATTGTGAAGACCCTGTTTCTCTAGCTGTGCAGCTGCAAGGTCACTAGGCAGATAATCTCAAGTCGTAAAACATGTTGTTTCTTGAAAAGTAAGAACTGATGTAATGCATATCTCAATTGAATAACTGTCTTTGTTTCTCTCTTCTGTAATATGCCTCACCCTGCACAGATCTCCTCCAACCCCACAAAATGCTTAAAAGGTAGCTTGACTCTGTTCACAGCTCAGTTCTTTCGGTGTTAATCTGACTGGGTCGGTGCACCTAAATAATTAAATAATTCCTCCTCAACCCCTAGGTCTCTCTGATTCCTTAATTATCCTGCTGCAAATACTCAGAATTTATTATCACTCTTTAGTGCAGTAAAGAAGTTTTGCCCATGGTTCCTGAACAGGGGACTATGGAGTTGGATGAATGGGAGAGAATTGGAAGAGATTTTAAAAAGGCGTATCAAGATGGAGCAGTGACAGATACCATGGAGGGTGCTTCTGAGGTGACAATGGCAGAGGTGCCCAAGGAAGCCTGAGGCTGCTCTCCCAGTCATGACAAGGGCAGAGAGGACCACAAGCCCATCCCTTCCCTGAGAGGCCCTTCTGCTGCCACTGTCCCATGCCCCCGTGTCAACCCCAGGCTGAACCCCAGGCCCTGGGCTGGCCCACAGCCCCCAGCCTCACAGTTGCCACCACCAACAAATCAGAGCTGCCCAGCAAGATCAGGAAGTGTGGGGAGGCAGCCTCCAGCTCTGGTGCAGGGCTGCAGGGGCAGGCAGGCTGTGAAGTGCCCAAGGCACTGGCACCGTGGGAGAGAGGGGGGCAGCTGAGCACCCAAGAGTGCTCCTGGCAAGTGCATGACTGGCTGTCGGAGTTCTGCTGCAGCTATGTCACCTGGTGCAGTGGCCCAGCCACCTTCCCTGCCTGCTGCAGGCCCCAACCATTCCCACAGAGCTTCCCTTCGGGCAGTGCCACCATCCCTGCACATGGGCTATTATAAACCCTTCTACTTCCAGTCTACTGTACCGGGCCTGACCTGGGGACAGCTGCTGGCATCAGCACCCCTGCTCCAGTTGCAGGCCTGGGACCCTGGGCTCCTCATGTGTAGCCATCAGTCCAGGCCACTCCAGTGATGAAGGGAGGATCTACAGCCCCTTTGAGAAGCCCAAGTGACCCTCGGTGACAGGCAGGCAGAGAATACATTATTCCATCCTTGGGCCACAGATTTATGACAGAGAAGATGGATTTCTTTATTCTTTCCTTTGTGAAAACAACAATTGTCTTAAGCATTATGCACCTCAGTGGGATAAATGATATCTCTAAGTTTGCTATGCATTATATAATGGAAGAAATAGATGAAGACAGATCAATGGAAGACTTGCAGAAAATAATGGTTGTGGCTCTTATATACAGATTATTTGTTTGTTTTATGAGATAATTTGCATTTGGGGAGCAGGTGGATCTACCCCAGGGAAGTTCCTGCTGGGGCTTCGAGTTGTGACATGTGATATATTAGTAGTGCTTATTGCACCAAGTCAGGTTTTAGTGATTCCTTCCTCAACTGTTAGCATTACAATGTCTGCTATATGAGCTTTGATCAAAAATTTTTGTATAGCTTCTTTTTTCCCTGATTGCATCACACTGCTGTTTTTTCCGCATAATTGAATAGCCTATGACATTGTAGCAGGAACCATTGTGGTAAAAAGAAATGGGGTCAGATGATGCCCCCCAAAGCCCTTATTACCACACAGTATAGTAACAAGACTAAATTATGTATCAAGGCCATCAGTATCCCTGGGTTACACTAACTTATGATTTAGAAATTAAAGCAGTCATTCCAGTGTGATGCAAGTGACTACTCTGAAAATATCGATTTTACTTGAATGCCAAAGAACTTTTCCAGAAGAAAAACCTATTAAATTCAAGTATTAAAATTTTTAGATCAAAAAGGCAAATGATTTTATAGACAATGGACTATATATACTTTCTTAAGATCTAAGAATTTGCTGAAAGTATTTTCAGCTTTTAAATCTCCAAATGAAACTTTAAAGTTTATTTTGGTTTATCTCAAAATAATGGAAAATGTCCAATTGTGTTTTGTAAACATGTATGTAACTCACCTTTTAGTTCACACTTCCTAGGGAGCCACCAGAGAAGGTCCCCACAGAAGTTAGCGGACCCTTACCCTCAGGAACAGTCAGTTTATTTCTTGGAAGTTCTAGTCTAAATTTAAAAGGTGTTACTGTGCATAAGGGATTAATTGACTCTCACTATACCAGAGAAATTCAATTAATTATTAGTTCCTCAAATCTGTGGTCTGCCTCTCCAGGGGAAAGAATTGCTTAGTTGTTGCTGTTACCTTACATGAAACTAGGAAGCAGCACAATGAAAAAAACAGGAGGCTTTGGTAATACTTAACCCGCAGGAAAAGCTGTGTATTGGATTAATCAAGTGTCTGACAAAAGACCTATTTGCACAGTAACTATTCAGGGAAAATATTTTGAAGGACTAGTACATACTAGAGCTGATGTCTCTAGTATTGCTATAAATCAATGGCCCTGGCACTGGCCTAAGCAAAAGGCAACCATCAGTATTGTTAGAGTAGAAGCTGCCTCAGAAATTTTTCAGTTTTCCTTGATTTTACCATGTCAAGGGCTGGATGGTCAGGAAGAGACAATTCAGGCTATCATTACATCTATTTCTGTTAATTTATGAGGTAGAGACTTATTGCAACAATGGGATGCTGAAATTTCTATTCCTATGGATCAGTAGAGTAATAATAGTAGACAAATGATGAAAAATATGGGATATCACCTGGGAAAAGGACTATAAAATGATAATTGGCCAATCAGAATCTTTAGAATTAAAAGGGCCAACAGATTGGACCAGATTGTGGTATCATTTTTCGTTAAGCCTCCAACTCCCATTCCTGTTTGGCTAACTGCCAAGGTTTGGGTGGAGCAATGGCCGCTGAGACAGAAAAAACTGGAGGCTTTAAAAGAACAGGTGCAGGAACAATTGCAAAAGGGACATACAGAGCCTGTTTTCTCCCCTTGGAATTCTCCTGTATTTGTCATTAAGAAAAAAATCAGGGAAATGGAAAATGTTAACAGATTTAAGGGCTGTTAATCCTGTGATTCAACCCATGGTTGTGCTACAACTGTCTCCAGAATTGGTTCCTTCCAATGGGTTCTTGGCTTTGCTAACTTCAAGAATGAAGCTGCAGACCCTTGCGGTGAGTGTTACAGTTCTTAAAGATGGTGTGTCCAGAGTTTGTTCCTTCAGATGTTCAGATGTGTCCAGAGTTTCTTCCTTCTGGTGGGTTCATGGTCTTGCTGACTTCAGGAGTGAAGCTGCAGACCTTCGCAGTGAGTGTTAAGGGTTCTTAAAGGTGGCACATCCAGAGTTGTTCATTCCTCCCAGTGGGTTCGTGGTCTTGCTGACTTTAGGAGTGAAGTTGCAGACCTTCATGGTGAGTGTTACAGTTCTTAAAGGTGGCGCATATGGAGTTGTTCATTCTTCCTGGTGGGTTGTGGTCTCGCTGACTTCAGGAGTGAGGCTGTAATCCTCTGCAGTGAGTGTTATAGCTCATAAAGCTAGTGTGGACCCAAAGAATGAGAAGCAGCAAGATTTATTGTGAAGAGCAAAAGAACAAAGCTTCCACAATGTGGAGGGGGACCCGAGCGGGTTGCCACTGCTGGCTTGGGAGGCCAGCTTTTATTCCCTTATTTGGCCCTGCCCACATCCTGCTGATTGGTCCATTTTACAGAGTGCTGATTAGTTCATTTTACAGAGTGCTGATTGGTGCTTTTACAAACCTTTAGCTAGACACGGAGCACTGACTGGTGCATTTTTACAGAGTGCTGATTGGTGTGTTTACAAACCTTTAGCTAGACACAGAGTGCTGATTGGTGCATTTACAATCCTTTAGCTAGACAGAAAAGTTCTCCAGGTCCCCACCCAACCTAGAAGCCCAGCCAGTTTCACCTCTCACAACCAGGCTGCCCTCCCCAACAATGATGCCTAAATAGTGGCCTCTCAGTAATAGATCTAAAGTATTGCTTTTTTTACCATTCCTCTAGCTGCCCAAGATTATGAAAAATTTGCTTTTACTGTTCTAAAGAAATTGTGCAACACTGTTCTGCCTGCCAAGTCCTGCATCAGCCACATCAAGGAACAGGAGTTAACCCAAGAGGTTAATCTCCAAATTCCATTGGCAGATGGATGTAACAAATATTTCTGCTTTTGGAAAACTGTCCTTTGTTCATGTTTCAGTAGATACCTATTGACATTTTATCGGGCCACATGTTAAACAGGGGAAGCTACAGCTCATGTTAAAAGACACCTTTTATCTAACTTTTCAGTTATGGGAATCCCAGAAAAAATCAAAACCGATAACAGCCCAGGATACTGTTGTAAAGCCATGGCTATATTTTTTCAACAATAGAACATTACCCATACAGTGTCCAGAATTTATTCCTTCCAGTGGGTTCTTGGTCTCGCTGACTTCAAGAATGAAGCTGCAGACCCTCATGGTGTGTGTTACAGTTCTTAAAGTGGTATGTCCAGATTTTGCTCTTTCAGATGTTCAGATGTGTTTGGAGTCTACTGCCGTACCACCCTAAACGTGCCCGATCTCGTCTGATGTGTTTGGAGTTTCTTCCTTCCAGTGGGTTCGTGGTCTCACTGACTTCAGGAGTGAAGCTACAGACCTTCGCGGTGAGTGTTAGAGCTCTTAAAGGTGGCACATCCAGAGTTGTTTGTTCCTCCTGGTGGGTTTGTGATCTCGCTGACTTCAGGGATGAAGCCGCAGACCCCTGCAGTGAGTGTTACAGCTCATAAAGGTAATGTACACCCACAGAGTAAGCAGCAGCAAGATTTATTGTGAAGAGCAAAAGAACAAAGCTTCCACAGCATGGAAGGGGACTCAAGCGGGTTGCCACTGCTGGCTTGGGTGGCCAGGTTTTATTCCCTTATTTGGCGCCACCCACATCCTGCTGATTGGTCCATTTTACTCAGTGCTGATTGGTACATTTACAATCCTTTAGCTAGACACAGAGTGCTGATTGGTGCATTTACAATCCTTTAGCTAGACACAAAAGTCCTTCAAGACCCCACCCAACCCAGAAGCCCAGCTGGCTTCACCTCTCAATACTATGGGTATTCCATATAACTCACAAGCACAAGCAATACTGGAAAGAGCTAATCGTACTTTAACAACTCAAATACAAAAGCAAAAGGGAGGGGACCAGGAATATAAGACACCACATATGCAATTGCATTTAGCTTTATTAACATTAAGTTTTTTTAATTTACAAAAAGATCAACCCATGACTGCAGCTGAACAACACCTGATGGGACAAAAGGATAAGAAAAAGGCTGGACAAGATATATGGTGGAGGGATGAACATACAAAGAGCTGGGGAAAAGGAAAGATAATTTTATGGGGAAGAGGATTTGCTTTTGTCTCTCCAGGTGACAATCAGGTACCTGTGTGGGTGCCCACCAAACGTCTGAAGATCTACCATGAATCACAGCATCTAGTGGATCCACCTGTACAGTGCAAATTGAAGAGGTTTAAGGATTGCTTTTAAGCCTCAATTTGTGTTCTCTGTGCTTTTTGCCAGAAGGGGCCTGCTTCTCATTATCAATGGTAAGTTTTATCCCATGGTAATTAACCAAAGAGGCAGAGGCTGAGTTACAAATGCTTCAACAATGGCATGCCTCCTGGCTACAGCCACAAAAGTTTTTGCTTCTGTTTCAGTAGATTTACTAACATGGGGGTGAAAGTATGCTTGTGTTTTTGCAGGAGACACAAACCATGTAGGTGCCCTCAAGATGTGTACAACCATGGAACAGGGGACTGGAAGGACCCATGGATCCCAACCACGGACCAGGTTCACCAAGCCATGCTGAGAAACTACTGGAGTGCCAGGGTTTTACCTATGCTTAACTGATCAATGCTTTTTAACTGAACTCCTCTCTACCGTGAATACAAGAGACCCTAATAGGCAGGCAAGAGTATCATCACCCCTATTCAGCAAGAAGAAGTTATAGAAGATGGACCTTCATCCTCCTGAAACCGCTAACATTAAAGGTTCTCTTGTAAAAGGGAAAGGGGAGATATGTAGGAAACGTTCAAACCAGAGCAACTCCATTTTGAATAAGGTCTAAGAAAAATGAAGCTGGATCACCAACCGGCAATTAAGGGCTACACAGCCTGCAATTGCCTTGCTCAATTAATTTTAAAAAAGGCCACCTTATGCTAATAATAATGACAGCTGTGGTGGTTTTTATGAAAAAGAGAAGGGGGGCATGTTGGGAGAAAAGCTGAGTGTTGGGAGAGAAGCTGAGGCAGGGCTTGCATTTCTGCTAGACTTGCTGGCTCCTTGCTTCTAGCACTCCCATTATCTCAAGCAGCCATATGTTTCTCATTCATTTGTACACTGTTTCCTTTCAACCCCCACATCCTCACCACCTGTTTATTTGTTTGAGCAGCAATAAATAGGGTGGGCTCCCAGAGCTCAGGGCCTTCGCATCCTCCACACTTGCAATGGCCCCCTCGTCCCACTTTCTCTCTCCAACTATCTTTTTCTCATTCCTTTGACTCTGCTGGACTTTGTCACCCCCACGACCTCATGTTGGGTCTGATCACCCCTACAGAGGGTCTTTTATGGATGCCTCAGAGAGCCAGCAGTACATTCCTTGGGGACTTGCCTGATCTGTTCCTGGGATAACCTAGCTTGGTTTCTCCAGAATTCCTGTTTTTGCTTTTCAGACTGAATCAACTGTGCACATGTGTGACCCAGACGTTCAGTGCTGCCAAAACAGCCAGTGCGTGTCTGTTTTGGCTGGAAGAAGACGTTTCTTCTGAGGAGCAGCCTCCCTGCTAAATCCAGCTGGCCTGGCCCTGACAGAACTGCATGTCAGGTAACTGGACTTTCTTGGGCTTTTTCTTACAGGCAAGCTTTTGCTCCTGCAGAGATGCTCCACGGCTTATTCTCAACAGAACACTCGTTTGCGCCAAACTGCGTCTTTTCAAACTGCATCTTTTCTGTCAATGTTTTATAAGCAATTTCCTTTCAAAATAATAATAATAATCAATGAAAATGTCAAGTACATATTTTACATGGGAGATTTCTAAACGTAATGTGTAAGAAAAATCAACAAGGGAAGATGTACCAAATGGGAGGCATTGCATCCACACTAGATTCTTGTCTTAGAGATGCTGAAGGTACATGCAGTGAACGTTGAGGAGATACTGGAGATGAAAAGCAAAATTGGGTTTGGGAACAGGGCCCAGGCAAAGCGCTGAAGACAGGCTTACTGCCCAGGGCTAGAGATCAGGGCAGGAATGGAAGGTTGTGATTCCTTCTCCCTGGAAGAGAATCAAAGGCTACCTTGTCAGTCTCGCATGGGTGTTTCCTCATCTGCTTCTTTTATCTTTCTTTTTATTGTATTGTATTATATTTTATTGCATTCTATATTTTATCATTTTGTTTTATTTTAAATTCAGACAGGATCTTGCCATGTTGCTCAGGCTGGTCTCAAACTCCTAGCCTCAAGTGATCCTCCCATCTCAGCCTCCCAAAGTGCTGGATTACAAGTGTGAGCCACCATGCCCAGCCTCTTGTAACTTTCTGAAGATATCTTGTATCTTTAGAATAAAAAATAGAAAGTTTTATTCAGTAGCAAAAACTCAATCTGGAGCAAAATGTGTAACATTCTAAAGGTTAAAGTGCAGAGTTCTTTGGAAAAGAAAAATCTGCTTTTATTGTGTCACTAAATAGAGAAATACATCACTTCAGAGTTAGGCCACAGACTTGATATCTAACCGTACGTCATATGACTTTTTAACAATGACTGAGGGTCGTTTATTTAGACACCAATATACCAGCCAGATAAAACAAATACAACCAGTCATGTTCCCCAGGCAAGTCAGAAGCAGCCCATAATATGCTTTTCCTTGAAAAATGATGTACATATACATAATGTATATATGTATGTTTTATATATATATGTGTACTATACATGCACATATAAACATTTTTATTTAAAAATGTACATATATTAATGTTATGTATATATATACACATGTTTTATATGTATGTGTATATGTTGTGTAAACATGCATGTGCATGTTATGGATATATGTATTATATGTTATCTACATGCATGTACATACATTATATACATGTACATTTACACATGTGTGAACATAAGCATGTACATATATGTATATATGCTTATATGTTATACATTTATATTTACATGTGCATTTATAACATGTATTTATATGTATGTGTACATATATGTACACATTTAGGTATATGTACATATATGTTTAAAAGCATGTTTTTATATCTATTTTATTTATTTTTACAAAGAAAAACATGCATATTTTAATAATGAAAAATTATGCAGCTAGGCACAGTGGATCACGCCTGTAATCCCAGCACTTTGACAGGCCAAGGTGGGTGGATCACCTGAGGTCAGGAGTTGGAGACCAGCCTGGCCAACTTAATGAAACCCCACATTTACTAAAAATACAAAAATTAGCCGGGTGTGGTGGCACACACCTGTAACCCCAGCTACTCCAAAGGCTGAGGCAGGAGAATCGCTTAAACCAGGGAGGTGGAGGTCACAGTGAGCTGAGATAGCACCACTTCACTCCAGCCTGGATGACAGGGTGAGACTCCATCTCAAAAAAACAAAAAGTTATACTATATTATATATAATAAATATGAATAGATAACTTAAAATATAAGTGAAAACATTCCTTTAGGCCCCCTGTGAGGAAATGATTTAAGATTTGTTGCCAAAAATCACAAAGTAAAAGCAATTACCATTAAGGCACACACCTGTGGCAGGGAAAAGAAGCATTTCTGATGTCCCTCCTAATACTAATTTTGAGACACACCATCAAAACCGTTTACTTGTAAAAATGAGTCAGTCCAGAGTGTGCCAGCGTTTCAGCTCCTCATCCTAGAAGTAGAGTAGTTTCCACCCCCACATAAGGTAGGCTATGTGACTTTTCACAGACCCAGCATATGGCTGCACATGAAGTTGTGAAGAGACGGCAGGTGGAACTCTATGAAACCCTGTCCTTGTAGGTCATGGATGGTTGAATAATAGGGACCATTGCATAGGGTTACTTTCCATAGAGTAACTTCCCAACAATGATCATGCAGTGCCTCAGAAACTGCTTCCTGCCCTCTTGGTCTTGGTCTTTTCTTTTTTTGGGAAGCAGTCACTCTGTCACCCAAGCTGGAGTGCAGTGGCACAATCTCAGCTCAGTGAAACCTCTGCCTCCCGGGTTCACGTGATTCTCCTACCTCAGCCTCACCACTAGCTAGGATTACAGGCATGTGCCACCACACCTAGCTAATTTTTGTATTTTTAGTAGAGACAGGGTTTTGCCATGTTGGCCAGGCTGGTTTTTAACTCCTGACCTCAGGTGATCCGCCCACCTTGGCCTCCCAAAGTGCCGGGATTACAGGTGTGAGGCATGGCACTCAGCCCATCTTTTCTATTTTTTTACATGAAGCATTGCTTGAAAATAATCCTTTTTTTATCTTTTTCTTTTTTGCTTATTTATATTTTTTATCTTATCATTATTATTATTATTATTGACACAGAGTCTCGCTTTGTTGCCCAGACTGGAGTGCAGTGGTGCCGTCTTGCCTCACTTCAACTGCTCACTCCTGGGTTCAAGCAATCCTCCTGCCTGAGCCTACCGAGCAGCTGGGATTACAGGCATGCGACACCACGCTTGGCTAATTTTTGTGTTTTTTTTTTTACCATGTTGGCCAGGCTGGTCCGGAGCTCCTAGGCTCAAGTGATCCACCCAACTCGTCCTCCCAAAGTGGTAGAATTACAGGCATGAGCCAAGCTACCACGCCCGCCTTTTTCTTTTTGTTTCTTTTTTTTGAGACGGAGTCTCATTCGGTCACCCAGGCTGGAGAGCAGTGCCACGATCTCCGCTCTCTGCAAGCTCCGCCTCCCGGGTTCACGCCATTCTCCTGCCTCAGCCTCCCGAGTAGCTGGGACTACAGGCGCCGGCCACCACACCCGGCTAATTTTTTGTATTTTTAGTAGAGACAGGGTTTCACCGTGGTCTCCATCACCTGACCTCGTGATCCGCCTGCCTTGGCCTCCCAAAGTGCTAGGATTACAGGCGTGAGCCACCGCGCTCGACCCTTTTTGTTTGTTGTTGCTGTTTTGTTTACTTAAATTGTTTTTCTTTTTTCTTTTTATCTTTATTATTTCTTATTTACTTCGTTTACCATTAAACAGATATCTTCTTTTAAAAACAATTTTTTTTGAGACAGGGTCTTGCTCTGTCACTCAGGCCGTAGTGAAACTGCAGCTTCAACCTCCCAAGCTCAAACAATCCTCCCACCTCAGCCTACTGAGTAGCTGGGACTAAAGGAACATGCCACCATGCCTGGCTAATTGTTTTATTATTTGTAGAGACAGGGTCTTGCTATGATGCCCGGGCAGGTCTCTAAGTCCTGGGCTCAAGCAATCCTCTTGCCTCAACCTCCTGAAGTGCTAGGATTATAGGAATGAGCCACAATGCGCAGCCTAATTTTTTTATTTTTGAAGAGATGATGTCTCGCTTTGCTACTCAGGCTGCTCTGAAACTCCTGGCCTCAAGCAATCTTCCTGCCTCGTCCTCCCAAAGCGCTGGGATTATAGGCATGAGCCACCATGCCAGGCTGGATATGATCATACTATAGCCAGCAGCCTGTGTTAACAGCATAGGCAATCACTTAAAAACCTAAGGACACTGGCAGAATATGGTGGCTCACGCCTGTAATCCCAGCACTTCGGCAGGCCAAGGAGGGCAGATCACTGGAGCTCAGGACTTTGAGACCAGCCTAGGCCAAATGGCAAAACCCCGTCTCTACAAAAAATAAAACAAAATAAAAACCTAAGGAAACTGACCACTGGTTTGGTAGACGTGGGCGTGGCTTTGAGATTCCCCCATGCTGCGATGTGGGGGGAGTCTGCTCTGTCTGTCCTAACTCTCTCTGATCTTCTGACTTGGGAAAAACAAACTCGAAGTCAATCATTCCCAGCTCAAAGCCTTGTGCGAGTGCTCTCTGCCTTCACGTTTGCTTCCTTTGGGAGAGAACCTTTGATTGGGGATTCAGGAGGGGCCCGAGGAGCAGAGGTGAGTCCTGTGAATGTTCATTTGTGCTTGAATGGGACTCCATCCCCAGGCATAAGGTAGTGTGGTGAACAAAGAGTTTCCCATTCCCTTTTCTGTCTCAGAATAATTGCCCAGATTGTTTTTATAAAGCAGAAAAGTACCTACTTTCTTACGGGCCTAGGAATGTAGCTCTTTCCTGGAGAAGGGGAATCTGTTTTCTAATCTGCAGGAGAGGCCTTGGGTAGGCCTAATGCTCTGGGTCATCTCAATGTCACAGTTTCCAAAATTAAACTCATTCAAGGCTTTTATCACCATCCCTTTATTTATTTAACTTTTTGATTCATGAAAAAAATTTCATCTTTTTACTTATAAATACATATCATTGTGGGAGAAAGAAAAATTAGGCCGTGCACCGTGGCTCAGGTCTGTAATCCCAGCACTTTGGGAGGTCAAGGCGGGTATATCGCTTAAGCCCATGAGTTTGAGACCAGCCTGAGTAGGAGAGGAAATCCCACCTCTACATACAAGAAACAATAAATAAACAAACAAGAAACAATAGCCAGGCATAGTGGCATATGCCTATAGTTTCAGCTACTTAGGAGGCTGAGGTGGGAGGATTGCTTGAGCCCAAGAATTTGAGGCTGCAATGAGCTATGATTGCATCACTGCTCTCCAGCCTGGGTGACACAGCAAGACCCTATCTAAAAACAGAAAAAAAAAAAAAAAAAAGAAGAAGAAGAAAAATTAGAAAAAGAACATTTTCCTAAAGCTCTACACCCAGAGATAAACTATTGCTGGGCAGCATTGCTGCAAACCATCTTCCCCTATTTTCTGGTGGTTTTGGGTTTTCTAAAATCTGAGACAGCTCTAAGATGATTTAGAAAGTCTATTTTGTCAAGGTTGAGGATGCTGCCATGACAGACACATGCTCCATACATGTGTGGAGGCTGATGCTCCACAGCCTCAGGAAGTCCTGATGACATGAACCCAAGGTGGTCAAGGCAAAACTTGATTTTATACATTTTAGGAAGATACGATTTTATACATTTTAGGAAGATATGTAATTAACATCTATTTGTACAGTATTTTGCCTGTATTTATTGTTTTCTGAACATTGGCAGTGTGTCATTGTAGGTCAGAAAGCAAAGCTGAGGGTATTAAAATGCTCCTTTGGTTTTCTCTCCATGTACAATTTTAAATCAGTCTCTTTCCCGGTAAAGATGCTATTAGGTTGGTGAAAAGTAGTTGTATCTTTTGCTATTACTTTTATAATATTAGAATTGTGTGTGCTCTCTAGGGTAAAACATACAAACAAACAAACAAAAAAACCTATGAGCAAGGCATACACCTTATCCCTTCCTCCTGTTTTCTAAACAAAGCACAGGTGACATCTGAGGTCTTTTTCTCTTCAACAGACAGAAAATTATTGGAGATGTAGCAATTCAGTGTTATGTACTCTTGTCTGTAATTTTTTTATTTTTTCTTTATTTTAAATTGAGACCGGGTCTCGATATGTTGCCCCTACAGGCCTCAAACTCCTGGGCTCAAGTGATCCACCTACCTCAGCCTCCCAAAGTGCTGGAATTACAGGCATGAGCTGCCGGGTCCAACCTCCTCTTGTCTTATTTAATCAATTTAGCTAATTTATTCTT
Source organism: Homo sapiens (assembly GCF_000001405.40). Taxonomy (NCBI): domain Eukaryota; kingdom Metazoa; phylum Chordata; class Mammalia; order Primates; family Hominidae; genus Homo; species Homo sapiens. The sequence goes on from NC_000024.10 coordinate 12,333,924, forward strand.
ACGTTAGAATGTTTGACGTTGGCGTAGAAAGATAAATACTGCTTTTTGTACGTTGATTTTTTGTCCTGCAACTTTACTGAATGTGTTCATCCATTCCAAAAGCTTTTTTTTTCAGGAGTCCCTAGTATTTTTCCTAAATGGAAGATCATATCATCTACAAAGATAACTTGACTTCTTCCTTTCCAATTTAGATGTCCTTCATATATTTCTCTTACCTGATTTCTCTGGCTAGGACTTCTAGTACTCTGTTGGATAAAGTGGTGAAAATGGGCATCCCTGTCTTATTCCAGATCTTAGAGGAAAGGTGTTGAGCTTTCCCTATTCAGTATGATACTAGCTGTGGCTTTGTCACATGTGGCTTTTGTTGTGTTGGGCTATGTTCTTTCTATACCTAGGATTTTGAGAGTTTTTATCAGGAAAGGGGTATTGAATTTTATCCAATGCTTTTTGGCATCTAGCTTATTTGTATTTCTAGAAATATTTATATTTGTATTTCTTCTATTTGAGCTGTAAATAATTACTATTTGGAAGGTTTTCTTCTCTCTTTCTCACTCTCTTTCCATCTCTCTGTCCCTCTTTCTGTCTGCCTTTGTCTTTCTCTCTGCCTCTTTCTTTTTCTGACTTTTTCTCTCTCTCCTTTTTTGCTTTCATTAAAGTTATATATGTACTAAATCAATACACACTCATTATGCTTTTTAGCATAATATCTGTTTTAAATCATCACAAGAATGCATTTCTTTTGAACATCACCTGACATCTGAAGAAAAGACACCAAATCTCCTTTCCTAGCCACCATAAATAAATCTCTTGACCATTTATTTACTTGATTTTTTTTCCTGTTTGTGTCCACATAAATACACTAGATCATCCATATCACATAGTGTATATGGCTTTGTCTTCTTTTATCACAACCTGTGATCAGCATTTTTCACTTTGTTATTAAAGCTGTGAACCCAGAAAAATCTGAGACAGCTCTAAGTTGATTTAGAAAGTTTATTTTGTCAAGATTGAGGATGCTGCCATGACAGACACATGCTCCATGCATGTGTGGAAGCTGATGCTCCACAGCCTCAGGAAGTCCTGGTGACATGAACCCAAGGTGGTCAGGGCAAAACTTGATTTTATACATTTTAGGAAGATATGAGACATTGATCAATAACGTAAGAAGTACATTGGGCACTTCTAAAAGTGGTCAGGTCACTGCCCTGGTTACTCACAGGCCAAAACCCAACAAGTCTGTATGCTCCCATCTCTTTTTCTTCTACGCATGCCTATGTCCTGTCAACAAAAAGAAGTGAACTCTGTAGAACATTTGAAGAGATTTATTCTGAGCCAAATAGGAAATATGAGTGTCCATGGCCCATGACAGAGCCCTCAGGAGGTCCTGAAGACATGTGCCCAAGGTGGTCAGGGTGCAGCCTGGTTTTATACATTTTAGGGAGGCAGGAGACATCAATCAAATACATTTAAGAAAGACATTGGTTTGGTCCAGAAAGCTGGAACAACTCAAAGCCAGAGGGGTTGGGTTTCTCTAAAGACCTGGGATCAATAGAAAGAAATGGCTGATTTTGGCGGGGCATGGTGGCTCACACCTGTCATCCCAGCACTTTGGGAGGCCAAGGAGGGTGGATCATGAGGTCAGGAGATGGAGCCCATCCTGGCTAACACGGTGAAACCCCATCTCTACTAAAAATACAAAAAAAAATAGCTGGCTGTGGTGGTGGGCGCTTCTAGTCCCAGCTACTGGGGAGGCTAAGGCAGGAGAATGGCATGAACCTGTGAGGCGGAGCTTGCAGTGAACCGAGATTGAGCCTCTGAACTCCAGCCTGTGCGACAGAGAGACTCTGTCTCAAAAAAAAAAAAAAAGAAAAGAAAAGAAAAGAAAAAGAAAAGAAAGAAAGAAGAGAAATATTCAGTTTAATATAAAGGATTGTGGAGGCCAGGCACAGTGGCTCATGCCTATAATCCCAACACTTTGGGAGGCCAAGGCGGGTGGCCTTGAGGTCAGGAGTTTGAGACCAGCCTGGCCAACATGGTGAAACCCCATCTCTACCAAAAATACAAAAATTAGCTGGATGTGGTGGTGCGTGCCTGTAAGCCCAGTTACTCGGGGGGCCGAGGCAGGAGAATCGCTTGAACCTAGGAGGCAGAGGTTGCAGTAAGCTGAGATGTCGCCACTGTACTCCAGCCTGGGCAACAAAGCAAGACTCCATCTCACAAAAAAAAACAAAATAAAATAAAATAAAATAAAGATTGTGGAGGCCCAAGTTCTTATTTGCAGAAGAAGCCTTCAGGTACTAGGCTTCAGAGAGGAGAAGAGGTAGACAATGTTTCTTATCAGACCTAAAGTCTGTGTGGATGTTAATACCAGAGAGGTATCATGAGGCATGTTCAACCCCTGCTTCCCATCATGGCCTGAAACAGTCTCTTAGGTTAAATTTTAAAAGAGCTCTGACTAGGCCGGGCACAGTGGCTCACACCTGTAATCCCAGCACTTTGGGAGGCCGAGGCAGGCGGATCACGAGGTCAGGAGTTTGAGACCTCTGGCCAACATAGTGAAACCCCGTCTCCACTAAAAATACAAAAAATTAGCCGAATGTGTTGGTATGTGCCTGTAATCTCAGCTACTCGAAAGGCTGAGGCAGGAGAATCACGTCAACCCAGGAGGCGGAGGTTGCAGTGAGCTGAGATCGTGCCATTGCACTCTAGCCTGGGCAACAATACGAGACTCTGTCTCAAAAAAAAAAAAAAAAAAGAGCTCTGACTAAGGAGGAAGTCCATTCAGATGGTTGAGGGACCTCAGAATTTCATTTTTGTTTTACAATCACTGTTTATTTTCATTCTTAAAATTTTTTATTATTATTTATTTTTATTAAGACAGAGTCTGGCCCTGTCTCCCAGGCTGGAATGGAGTTGTACAGTCTCGGCTCACTGCAACCTCTGCCTCCTGGGCTCAAGTGATCCTCCAGCCTCAGTGACTACAAATAGCTAAGACTACAGGTGCGCTATTTTTGTATTTTTGTAGAGAGGGGATTTTGCCATGTTGCCCAGGCTGGTCGCGAACTCCTCACCTCAAGTGATCCTCCTACCTTGGCCTCCCAAGGTAATGGGATGACAGGCGTTAAGCCACCACATGTGGCCTACCACTGTGTATTTTCAGAACATTTCATCACCTCACAAAAAAATCCTGTACTCACAGCAGTCACTCCCTTTTCCCCTGTGCTAACATCCATCACCCAAAAACTTATTTTTGGTTTGTTTATTATTTAATTTTTTAAATTATTTTTTGTAAAGATAGGGTCTTGTTATGTTGCCCAGGCTGGTCTGAAACTCCTGAACTCAAGCAGTTCTCCCAGCTGGGCCTCCCAAAGTGCTGGGATTCCAGGCATGAGCCACCATACCTGGCCACAAAATTATTTTGTATCATCATATATTTTCCTACTCTAGACATTTATGTAAATGAAATCATGCAATATGTGGGGTTTTTTGTGAATGGTTTATTTTACTTAGCATGATGTTTCTGAGGTTCAACTGTGTTGTAGAAACGTTTCATTCCTTTCCATGGCTGAATATATTCCATTGTGTGGACTCAGGTTTGAATTTTATCTTCAAACAATGCATCCAAGAAGGATAAGGCCAGGCACAGTGGCTCTCACCTGTAATCCCAGCACTTTGGGAGACCGAGGCAGGCAGATCACTTGAGGTCAGGAGTCCAGCCTGGCCCACATGGTGAAACCTCATCTCTACTAAAAATATAAAAATTAGCCAGGCATGATGGCCCACATCTGTAATCCCAGCTGAGGAGGCTGAGGCAGGAGAATTGCTTGAACCTGGGAGGTGAAGGTTGCAGCGAGCTGAGATTGTGCCACTGCACTCTCGCCTGGGTGACAGAGTAAGACTCTGTCTCCAAAAAAAAAAAAAAAAAAAAAGGAAGAAGGGTGGACACCTAGCTGGCCACATTATATTCAAACCTGTATTCCATTGTTTCCAAACACACCAATATTTCGTGTACCACAAAGATTCTAAAATGTGCTGCCCCATGTACAAGACTTCACACTGTTGTGCTTACACATTTTGTCTTCTCCCTGCTTAGAGAGCTTTATTTTTCAGTCCTTGAAAGAGTCTTTTTGGGCTAATGTTGGCAAGTATACCTACAATGTATATTTGCTTTGAAGTAGATGGATCCACCAATCTAGTACATATGTAAAACGGGATATATAAATGCCAACTACATCCACTAATGCCTTCCCAAAACAACTTCACATCGAAAGCCTGACTGCTCAGAAACCTTCTTTACCTCATTGCCATTGATGTTAATATATTGTTTACCCAGTCTGGTTTTCTGTGCCATGAAGAATGTCAGTATTATAAACTGGGGGAGCTTTAAGCAACAGGAATTTATCCTGTCCCAGCCCTGGAGATCAAGAGTTTCAGATCAAGGTTTCTCAGGGAAATGTTCCCTCCAGAAGATCTAGGGGAGGCTTCTCCCTGCCTCTGCCAACTCCTGGGGGCCCCAGGTGTCCCTGAGCTTGTGGCCACATCACTCCAGTCTCTGCCTCTGTCTCTATGTGGCCTTCTCCTCTGTGTCTGTGTCTCCTCTTCTGTCTCTTAGAATGCTGTCATTAGACTTAGAGTCCATCCTTCTCCATGATGATCTTGAGATATTAATTGCATCTACAAGGACCCCTTTTTTAAAATAAGGTCCCATTCACATAATCTGGAAATCAGGATGTGGATATATCTTTTAGGAGGACTACACTGCAATCTACTGCAATTGAATCCACTTCTTTCTGGATGCTCTAGGGGAGGCTCCTTCCTGCCTCTCCCAGTTACCGGGGGCTCCAGGCATCCCTGGGCTTGTGGCCACATCACTCCAGTCTCTGCCTCCATCTCCATATGGCCTTCTCCTCTGTGTCCATGTCTCCTCTTCTATCTCTTAGAAGGACATCTGTCATTGAATTTAGGGCTACCCTAATCCAGGATTGTCTCAAAGTCCTTAACTTGATTATGTCTGCAAACCCCCTATTTCCAAATAAAGTCTCATTTATAGGCTCTGGGAGATATGACATGAACATGTTTTGGGGTCACCATTCAATACATTGCAGTTGTATCCACTTTCTTCTTGAGCCTCTAGGGGAGGATTCTTCCTGCCGCTCCCAGCGCATGGGGGTTGCAGACTTCCCTGGGCTTGTGGCCACATCACTCCAGTCTCTGCTTCTGTCTCCACGTGGCCTTCTCCTCTGTGTCTGTGTCTCTTCTTCTGTCTCTTAGAAGGATATCTGTCGTTGCGTTTAGGGCCACCCTAATCCAGGATTATCTCAAGGTCCTTAACTTGATTACATCTGCAAAAACCCTATTTCCAAATAAAGTCTAATTTATAGGCTCTGGGAGACATGACATGAACATGTTTTGGGGTCACCATTCAATACATTGCAGTTGTATCCACTTTCTTCTTGAGGCTCTAGGGGAGGATCCTTCCTGCCACTCCCAGTGCCTGGGGGTTCCAGACGTCCCTGCGCTTGTGGCCACATCATTCCTGTCTCTGACTCCATCTCCACATGGCCTTCTCCTCTATGGAATGAGGACTCTTATAAGGACAAGAGCCATTTGCAGTGAAGGACCCAACTTAAACCAATGCACACTAACCAACAACAAGGTTAATAAAAAATATAAAATCAAACCTCTAAAGGGGAACTACATGAGATTGAATGTTTTAATGTCACTAAAACAGAGAGAAAGAGAGAGAGGGGGAAAGAGAGAGAGAGAAATTGAGATACTCGGGGGGAGAGAAACTTAAAACAAGTGAAACAAGCAGAAAGGTTAAATCACCCAAGCTGAGCATTTATTTCTGGTTTTTAACCACTTTCTTTTGTTTCTGTTCAAACACAGGTGGGAAGGGCATGGGAGGATGGGAAGGTGGGATCTGCATGCCTGGGATCTTCCGCTGGCCCGGGGTGCTCCCAGCCAGCCGAGTGATTGGCGAGCCCACGAGTCTGATGGACGTGTTCCCCACCGTGGTCCAGCTGGTGGGCGGCGAGGTGCCCCAGGACAGGTACAGAACAACCCAAAGAAACAATTCAGCTTTGCACAGACATAGCAACACTTGTGGCAAATGAAAATGTCACCTTGGCTTTGCAGTAAGGCATCCCTGAAATTGTTCCCCGACCAAACCGAGGGTCGGGCTGCTTATTCTCATGGCCCAATAACGAGATGCAAATGAAAGAGGAAAGAAAGGAGTTTTATTTCTGTAACCAGATACGGGGGAGAAGGGCTGGAAATGATCACTAGACCAACTCCAAATTACAAAGTTTTCCAGAGCTTCTATATCTTCTAAGCTGTATGTCCACATGTAAGTGTGTTTTCATGTAAATACATACGTAATTCAATTTCCTTTCATCTGTAACTAAGGTCTGAGTCCTGAGGACCTTCCTCTGGAGCCTCAGTAAATTGACTTAATCTAAATGGGTCCAGGTGCTGGGGTGATTACCCTTATCTTGTCTTCTGCTAAGCATGGAGGTTTGGGGAGTTCCTTTAGACCCCCAATAAAACTTCATCCTAAATGGGTCCAGTTAAGAATTCCTTCCTTGTCTTGTCATGCTTCAAGGCCTAGGAGAGCACTGGGCCAAACTCTTGGTGGGCTTTTGTTAGATTCCAGCCTTTGTATAAGGGCCTGGGTCTTTCAGCTTTTTTTCCTTTTTCTTTTTTTTATTGAGACCGAGTCTCACTCTGTCACCCAGGATGGAGTGCAGTGGTGCAATCTAGGCTCACTGCAACCCTCCTGGGTTCAGCCCTCCTGGGTTCAAGGGATCCTCCTGCTTCAGCCTCCCTAGTAGCTGGGATTACAACCATGTGCCACCACAACTGGCTAATTTTTGTATTTTTAGTTGAGATGGGGTTTCACCGTGTTGGCCAGGGTGGTCTCAAACTCCTGACCTCTGGTGATCCACCCACCTTGACCTCCAGAAGTGCTGGGATTACAGGTGTGAGCCACCGTACCCGGCCAATTAATTACTTTTAAACAAACAGGTGATGTTTGGTGATGACTAACGTGAGTAGCTGCTGCATGCTTCTTCTAAGCGTGCTAACGCACACACATGCCTTCCATCCATCTGCATTCACACCCAGACTTTCCCTCCACTGATACAATATAAGGAGAGTGCAGCACCTGGGGCTGGGACTGATGGATGCTGGAGGGACAAATGTCCAAAGTCCCTGTTCCAACCCTGAGCCATGCCATGTTCCTTCCTGCGTTGTGATTGACAGCCAGGACCTTCTGCCCTTGCTTCTGGTGACAGCCCAGCATTCAGACCACGATTCCTGATGCATTACTGTGAGAAGTTTCTGCACTCAGCCAGGCGGCATCAATGGGACAGTGAGTAGGGGAGCCCCTTCCTAACACTCTTTGGGAAAGAGTCCCTCTCTGCAGGAAAGCACCATGCCCTAGAACAGGCTGGGAATGGAGCTGCATTCCAGATTCCATCTCCATGTCTCCACACTTCTGTTTTTCTCCAGGAGCTTTTAAAATTTAGTTTTTGTCAATATGTATCCTTCTCATTCCAGTGACATGCCTTCTGAGATCACCTGTCAATCGTCTTAAAACAATGGGAAGGGGGTTGTTACCTGTAGTTTAAGCACCTTGTATGGTCTGTATTTCATTCTTTTTTTCCCTGCACTGTATGAAGTGCAACTTTTATCATCACACACACATGTATGTGCATGCATACACATGCACACACACATGCTTGCACACACATGTGTTCAAGACTTTTCTAATCCTCTTTTTTTCTTATTTTTTGTAATAATTTTTTTGACACTAGTCTTTCTTTGTCTCTCAGGCTGGAGTGCGGTGGCGTGATCTTGGCTCACTGCACCTGCAGTCTCCTGGGTTCAAGCGATTCTCCTGACTCAGCCTCCTGTGTAGCTGAGATTACAGGTGCCCACTACCACACCTGGCTAACTTCTTGTATTTTTAGTAAAGAGAGGGTTTCACCACGTTGGGCAGGCTGGTCTCGAACTCCTGGCCTCAAGTGACCCACCTGCTTTTGGCCTCCCAAAGAGTTGGGATTACAGGCCTGAGCCACCATGCCTGGCCTCCAGTTTTTCTTATTAAACTGAAACAAGGTCTCAGTATGCTGCCCAGGCTGGTCTCAAACTCCTGGGCTCAAGCGATCCACCCATCTTGACCTCCCAAAAAGCTGAAATTATAGGTGTGAGCCACTATGCCCAGCCTTTTGTAGTCCATTTTATGCATCTAGATGTGCTTCCAAATGTTTTACCCACCTGACCTTAACACAATTTCATCTTCTTTGTAAACAATTATAACTTTGTAATATAAACAAACACATGCTTACTGAATACTTTTTGCTTCCCTAAATTTTCTTGGTCTTTTGACTCCAATGTCCTCTCAAAAGAGCTATGAAATCATTTGCAAGTTTAAAAAAGAAAAAAAATGCCACAGAAGTATTAATCATCTCTGCATTTGATGGTTCATTACCTTTAAAACACTAGGTCTGTCCACACTGAAATATGCTACATTTCTCTATTTAGTTAATTCTTCATATTTAAAAAAGTATTTATTTCATTAAGAACTTGTCCTCTTGTTAAGTAATTGCATTATTTTTTTGTTTGTTTTTGTTCTTTCTTTTTTTTTTTTTTTTGAGACAGTCTTGTTCTGTCCCCCAGGCTGGAATGCAGTGTTTCCATCTTGGCTCACTGCAACCTCTGCCTTCCAGGCTCAAGCAGTCCTCCCACCTCAGCCTCCCAAGTAGCTGGGACTACAGGTGCATGCCACCGTGCCCAGCTAACTTTTTACTTTTCATAGAGATGGGGGTCTCCCTACATTGCCTAGGCTGGCATCGAACTCCTGAGCTCCTGCAATCCTCTTGTCTCAGCCTCCCAAAGTGCTGGAACTGCAGGCATGAGCCACTGCACCTGGACTTCATTGTGTTTTATTTATTTATTTTTGAGTTTTTGAGACAGTCTCACTCTGTCACCCAGGCTATAGTGCAGTGGCTGGTCTCGAACTCCTGACGAGGCGAAGTGATCCTCCCGCCCACCTTGGCCTCCCAAAGTGCTGGGATTACAGGCTTGAGACACCATTCGTGGCCTTCATTGTCTTTTAATTGCTTGTATATGTATGGCTATGTTTACCAGAGCTTTATAGGATCTTTCTGTCATTCTCTGTCATTTTAAAAAAATCCAGCTCTTGGATTTACTTAACAATTGTATTCTTTAATTTTATAAATGATTGATTTCCGCTTCTATCTTTGTGTTCAGACAAGAGAGTTCTACCTGTTTGACTTTATCAAATTCTCTTTTTTTCCTTTATGCTTCCGTTTCTGTAGCTTTGTCTTGTCTTGATGTTTTTCATCTTTTCTGGACTTGCTTGACAGACATGGTTTTCTTTGGTCTTTTTCCAAGGTTTGATAAGATCTGTATCCTCTTATGATTCAGTTGGCTAAAGATTTCTCAAAAGAATTGTCTAGATATCTCCAGGTGTCTGAATCAACAGTGAATTTTTTTTTTTTTTTTTTGAGACAGAGTCTTGCTCCGTCACCCAGGCTAGAGTGCAGTAGCGTGATCTCAGCTCATTGCAACCTCCGCCTCCCAGGTTCAAGCAATTATTCTGCCTCAGCCACCTAAGTAGCTGGGATTATAGGCACCTGCCACCACAGCAAGCAATTTTTTTTTTTTTAAAGACAGCTTCTCACTCTGTCACCCAGGCTGGAGTGCAGTGGTATGATCTCGGCTCCCTGCAACCTCTGTCGCCCAGGTTCAAGTTATTGTCCTGCCTCAGCCTCCTGAATAGCTGGGATTACAGGCCCCTGCCACTGTGCCTGGCTACTTTTTGTAGTTTTAGTAGAGACAGGGTTTCACCATCTTGGCCAGGTGGGTCTCAAACTCCTGATCTCAGGTGACCTGCCTGCCTCGGCCTCCCAAAGTGCTGGGATTGCAGACATGAGCCACCATGCCTGGCCAAAAAAATATCATTTACAGTCTCTTTTATTTGATGGCATTACAATAGATTTTTTTTTCTTAGTCTCTCTTCCTTTTCTTTCTTTTTTTTTAATTTTGAGACAGAGTCTCATTCTGTTGCCCAGGCTGGAGTGCAGCAGCTCAATCTTGGCTCACTGCAACCTCTGCCTCCCCTGTTCAAGAGATTCTCCTGCCTCAGCCTCCTGAGTAACTAGGATTACAGGCGTGCATCCCCTCGCCAGGCTAATTTTGTATATTTTTTATAATAAGTTGAACTTGAACCACTTGAATGCCCTGAACCTACTTTTTCCTTCTATTTTTTTTAATTTCTTTTCATTTTTCTAGAGGTGGTATCTCACTATGTTGCATAGGTTGGTCTCAAACTCCTGGGCTCAATCAATCCTCCTCCCTCAGCCTCCCAAAGTGCTGGGATTATACACATAAGCCACCCCACCCAACCTTCTTTCAATTAGTAGCCTAATCTGGAATTGTTTTATTGCTACATTTTTGGTTTTTTATTTACTTTTATGTTTATTTTAATTTTTTAAATTTTTATTATTTATTGAGATGACATCTCACTGTGTCATCTAGGCTGGAGTCCAGTAGCATGATCTCAGCTCACTGCAGCCTCTGCCTCCTGGGCTCAAGTGATCCACCTGCTGCGCCCTCCCAAAGTATTGGGATTACAGGCATGAACCACCACATCTGGCCCATTTTTTGTTATTTATGTATTTATTTACTTATTTAATCTTGAAATGGAGTTTCCCTCTGTCACCCAGGCTGGAGTGCAGTGGTATGATCTTCACTCACTTCAATCTTTGCCTCCCAGGTTCAAATGATTCTCATGCCTCATCCTCACTAGTAGCTGGGATTATAGGTGTGTCTGGCTAATTTTTATATTTTTAGTAAAGACAGGGTTTCATCATGTCAGCTAGGCTGGTCTCAAACTCCTGACCTCAGGTGATCTGCCTGCCTTGGCCTCCACTATTTTTCATTTTTTAAATTACATATTATAGATGTTGCCTTTTAAGTTTTTAAAAACATTTTCATCAATAGCACAGCCTGACCTACCATTGTTTCTGCTCAACAGCTCAGATAACTGGGTTCCTTGACACCATGACTGTGCATTACTCACCTGTCTCCTCTTGGTCATTGGATAATGTTTTTTTTTTGGAGGTCGACAGATGGAGAGTGCCTTTCTACTGCCTGTGTGTCCTCAATACTGCTCTGATTGGCCTTCTCCAGTCCACTGCTCATCCCATGGCTATTGTGCCTGCTGAGTGCATCCCCAAAATGATCCACTGCATGAAGTTCATGGCAAGTCCAAATTCCTGTGGGGAGCTTGGAATACCTTATTTCTGAAGCCAGCCCTGCCCTACCTCTGAAACTTCAGCCCTGCCCTACCTCTGAAACCTTACTCCTGATAACCAGAGCTCTGCAATGTCCAAGCTCCAACTGTCCCGAGCCCAGTGATCTGAGGACAGGCTCGTCTTGTCGCTGCCTCACGGCCTTTGTACGAACAATTCCAACCACATGGAATGCACTCAGAGGACTGGACCTCCACATGGCTGGCTCACTGTTGATGTGCATGTCCTAAGTCAAATATTACCTTCTCAAGCAGGCTTCTGGGATGAAAACCAAATCCCCTGAACTGCACTCACACGAACCTCCACTGTTAACTATCCATCACCCATCATGTGAACCAACTGTACTTAATTTGGAGCACTTACACCTGGCCACAATTTTCTGTTTTGTTTTGTTTTGTTTTGTTTTACTTTAAATAGATGTGGGGTCTTGCTGTGTTGCCCAGGCTTATCTGAAACTCTTGTATGCAGGCAGTCCTCCTACCTCACACTCCCTGAGTGCTGGATTATAGGCGTGACTGCATATCAGTCACTCTAATTAATCTATCTATCTATCTATCTATCTATCTATCTATCTATAATCCATCCATTCATTCATCTCCCTATCCATCTATGAATTATATTTATCTATTTATCTATGAATATCTGTCTATCCTTCCATGTATCTATGAATGATAGTTTTCTATTTATCTGTGAATATCTCTTTCCGTCCATCTGTCTATCCATCCATCCCTATCTATCTATCTATCTATCATCTATCATCTGTGAATGATGTCTATCTACTTATCTATGAATGATATTTATCTGTGGTCTATCTACCTATCTATCTATCTAATCTATCTATCATCTGTGAATGACAGGGTCTTCCCCTGTTCCTCAGGCTGCATACAGCGCACTGGCATAATCACAGCTCACTGCAGCCTCAATTTCCTGGTCTCAAGTGATCCTCCTACCTCAGTCTCCTGAGTAGCTGGGACTATGGGCGTGAGTGCATGCCCATCCGGTCTATCTATCTATCTATCTATCTATCTATCTATCTATCTGTCTGTCTATCTATCTATCTATCATCTATCATCTGTGAATGATGTCTATCTACTTATCTATGAATGATATTTATCTGTGGTTATCTATCTATCTATATCATCTGTGAATGACAGGGTCTTCCTCTGTTCCTCAGGCTGCAGTGCACTGGCATAATCACAGCTCACTGCAGCCTCAATCTCCTGGGCTCAAGTGATCCTCCTACCTCAGCCTCCTGAGTAGCTGGGACTATGGGTGTGAGTGCATGCCCATCTGGTCTATGTATCTATCTATCTATGAATGACAGGGTCTCACTCTATTGCCTAGCATGGAGTGCAGTGGCATGATCATAGCTCACTGTAGCTTTGACCCCCTGGACTCAAGCAATTCCAACCTCAGCTTCCTGAGTAGCTAGTACTATGGCATACACACCACACTGAGCTAATTTTAATTTTTTTTTTTAATGGAGGCCAGGCATAATGGCTCATGCCTGTAATCCCAGCACTTTGCGAGGCTAAGGTGAGCACATAATGAGGTCAGGAGTTTAAGACCAGCTTGGCCAACATAAGGAAACCCCGTCTCTATGAAAAATAAAAAAAAAATTTAGCCAAGCATGGTGGCAGGCACGTGTAATCCCAGCTACTCAGGAGGCTGAGGCAGGAGAATCACTTGAACCTGGGAGATGGAGGTTGCAATGAGCCAAGATTGCACCACTGCACTCTAGCCTGGGTGACAGACCAAGACTCTTGCACAAAAAAAAGAAAAATTACCTTTTAGCCCTATGAAGATGCCATTCACCAGCAAGGCACCCTATTTCTCTATGCCAACTCTGTAATTATTATCTTTCCACCAGGAGGAACAATGTGGAACTCCACTTTGTGACGCCTGTGTTCCAGCCAGAGGGAGCCGGTGCCTGCTATGGAAGAAAGGTCTGCCTGTGCTTTGGGGAAAAAGTAGTCCACCACGATCTACCTTTGCTCTTTGACCTCTCAAGAGACCCTTCTGAGACCCACATCCTCACACCAGCCTCAGAGCCCGTGTTCTATCAGGTGATGGAACGAGTCCAGCAGGTGATGCGGGAACACCAGCGGACACTCAGCCCAGTTCCTCTGCAGCTGGACAGGCTGGGCAATATCTGGAGACCGTGGCTGCAGCCCTGCTGTGGCCCATTCCCCCTCTGCTAGTGCCTTAGGGAAGATGACCCACAATAAATGTCTGCAGTGAAAAGCTGGAGCCCTGATTCCTAAATTTGTCACTCAAATTGAAACAAACCAGCTGGCCATAGTGGCTGTCATCCCAGCACTTTAGGAGGCCACCACAGGAGGATCACTCCCGTGATCAAAACCAACCTGGGCAACATGATGAAACTCTAGCTCTACAAAACAAAAATAAAAAAAAAATTAGCCTGCATGGTGGCACACGCCTGTAGTTCTAGCTTCTCAGGAGGCTAAGGCAGGAGGATCATTTGAGCACAGGAGTTGGAGGCTGCACTGAGCTATGATTGTACCACTGCACCCCAGCCTGGGCAACACAGCAAGACCCTGTCTCAAAAAAGAAAGAAAACAAAAAATGAAACAAACTTCAGTGTCAGGTTAAGGCATCTATGTGCATAAGGATGAATCGTTTCTCCCTGACAGAAACAAAGAAAGGCGAGAAAAAGTAGAAATGAACAATAAACACTGGCCGGGTGCAGTGGCTTACTCCTGTAATCCCAACACTTTGGGATGCAGAGACGGGCAGATCATTTGGGGTCAGGAGTTCAAGACCAGCCTGGCCAACATGGTGAAACTCCGTCTCTATCAAAAAAAGAAAAAAAAAAAAAAGGCTGGCATGGTGGCGTACACCTGTAATCCCACCTACTCAGGAGGCTGAGACAGGAGAATTGCTGGAAGCCAGGAGGCAGAGGTTGCAGTGAGCTGAGATCACACCACTGCACTCCAGCATGGGTGACAGAACAAGACTATGTCTCACCAAAAAAAAAATAAATAAACAAACATTAATAATGCACTGTTGAATGATCACTCAGACACCCAAACTGGAGAGGTAAAGTATCTCCTGGAGTAGGGGAGGATTCTGTCAATGGATCCTAACTCAGTCCAGAAGAGGCCGCCCTGTAGCCCAAAACAGCACAAGTCCCAGCAAAGGTGTCTCTGTGACCTACAGATTTGCACATGAACAGGAGATAGGTTCCAAAGATAAAAACTGGCACTGATGTGGCTTTGTCTGTGGTGCTCATTTATAGTGTCTGTTTATCGTTTACAACCACAAGGATGTACAGTCCTTTCCATTGGAATTGTTTTCAGTCCCCAGTGCCCCAGGTAATTAGGGCAAATTCAGGCTTTGGAATCTGTGCTGCACAGGCAGTGTTCTCCCCAGCTCTGAACTGCAAGGTCATTGCAAAATCAGGCTTTGCCTTACTTAATATGTCTAGGCTGCTAGAATGAAAATACCATAAAGTGGGTATCATCAAGAATATTTATTTATTGCAGTTTTAGAGGCTGGATGTCCAACACCCGGGCATGACAGAATCTGTGTCTGGGTAGAACCTGTTTTTTGGTTCACAGCTACCGCCTTCTTCCCCTGTCTTCAGACAGTCATCCATCTACGTCCTAGTCTCCGATTCTTGGTTTTTTGTTTGTTTGGTTTTTTTTTTGAGACGGAATCTTGCTCTGTTGTCCAGGCTGGAGTGCAATGGTGCAATCTCAGCTCACTGCAACCTCTGCCTCAGGTTCAAGTGATTCTCCTGTCTCAGCCTCCCAAGGAGCTGAGACAATAGGCTACTTGCTCCATGCTCGACTAATTTTTGTATTATTTAGTAGAGGCAGGTTTTTGCCATGTTGCCCAGGCTGCTCTGGAACTCCTGACCTCAAGTAATCTTCCCGCCTTGGCCTCCCAAATTGCTGGGATTACAGGCATGAGTCACTGCACCCAGCCCTAATCTACTCTTCTTATAAGGACCCCACTCCTATTGGAATAGGGCCCACTCTTGTGACCTCATTTTAAAGGATGACTAAAAACCTTATTCCTGTGAATTTGAGGGCAACACAATTCAGTTCCCAACATATTCTCTCCTGGGAGTAAGGAGGTCTTTCCAATAGTTCTTTCTGTCTCCAGATTCAAGAACAGTTCCCTCCTCCCACTATTCCAAGCCTAGGTATATGATAAGCAATGCCCCACCTTGTCACCACTTCAAGAACATGTCCTCAAATTATCCAATCCACATCAGCCTCCAAGAATTCAGGCTGTGCACAGAGACCAAAAAAGTCAAATCCATCTCCAGCCAATTCTCTTGGGTCAAGAAAGAAATAGTAGGCCAGGTGCGATGACTCACATCTGTAGTCCCAGCACTTTAGGGCACTAAGATGGCTTGAGGCCAGGAGTTTCAGACCAGCTGGGGTGACATAGCGAGACCTTGCCTCCACATAACATTTAAATAATTAGGTGAGGTGACACGTGCCTATAGTCCCACCTACTTGGGAGGCTGAGGTGGGAGGATCACTTGAGTCTCTGGCCTCCGAATGTGTTCAAGGCTGCACTGAACTATGATTGTGCCACTACACTCTAGTCTGGGTGACAGGGTGAGATCTTGTCTCTAAAAAGAAAGGAAGAAGGAAAGGAAAGAAGCAAAAAGAAAAAGGAAGGGAGAGAGGGAGGGAGGGATGGCAGGAGGAACCAGTTAACCCCTAAGGCTTTCCCCATAGCCATGGCTTATGGAACAAGACCAGCACTTTGGGTCAGCTGTGCCAGATGTTCCTGGCCCATAGAGTCGCCTTTAAGATCTTCAGCATCCACTGGGGAGAGTCACATCTGTGTCCACACTTGTCCACACTCTTGACCTTGATGGCTTTGAAGCCAAAGTCCCCAATGGAGGCTCCATGTGCTGAAAGTCATGTGAGACCCTCAGGGTCAGGGCTTACCCACCCTTTCCATTCCCACAACCTCCCCCAAATATGACTTCTGGTACACCAGCTTCTACTGCCCCCAGGCCCCATTTCCAAATCCTGGGCACCCAAGACAGCTCAGTGTGTTTATATAATTTACCTAAGTGCACCCAAGGCTCTTTTCTCTCTAGTTCTCAGGATCTCTAGTTCTCAGGAATCTCAACTCCCAGCAGTACAGGATTTCTTCCAAGGATCAAATCTCCACTCCACCCCTGCTAAACCTCCCTGCAGAACTGCTTATGGGCTGTCTCCTGCCCGCTCCTTCCAGGCCTTTTCCTGGCCTTCTCCATCTGTGTGATAATGGCTCAGCAAGAAATCCCAGTTGCAAAGCCCTCAAGGATAAAAAAGTTATTTTTTAAATTTTTATTTTAGAGACAGGGTCTTGCTCTGTCACCCAGTCTGGAGTGCAGTGGTACAATCACAGCTCACTGCAACCTCAAATTCCTGTGCTCATGTGACTCTCCCACTTCAGCCTCTCAAGTAGCTGGGACTACTGGCACACCACCATATTCGGCTTTTTTTTTTTTTTTTTTTGTAGAAATAGGGTCTCTCTGTGTTGCCCAGGCTGTTCTCAAACTCCTGCTTTTAAGCAATCCTTCCCCTTCAGTCTCCCAAAGTGCTGGGATTACAGGTGTAAGCCACCATGCCTAGTCTGATAAAAGCTCTTTCAGAGTAACAGGGCAAAGAGAGAAGCAATAAACAGTGCTCAAGGACTAGCTCTGTCTGGACATGGTGGCTCACGCCTATAATCCCTGCACTTTGGGAGGCCGAGGCGGATGGATCACCTGAGGTCAGGAGATCAATACCAGCCTGGCCAATATGGTGAAACTCTGTCTCTACTAAAAATAAAAAAATTAGCTAGGTGTGGTGATGTGTGCCTGTAGTCCCAGCTACTTAGGAGGCTGAGGCAGAAGAATCGCTTGAACTTGGGAGGCGGAGGTTGCTGTGAGCCAACATTGCACCACTGCACTTCAGACTAGGCAATGGAGCATAATAAATGTAAATGATCCTAATTTGCCAATTAAAAGTTAATGGTCTTTTTTCTAAATAGAATTCCCAGCACCATTTTGGGAGATTCCAATTCAATCAATTGAGGGAGTCGGGGGCTCCTGACTGTATTGTCTTGAACAAGCAGCCCCATTATCCCATGCCAGGGGAGTGTGGGGCAGCTCTCTCATATATGAAAATCCTAACTCAGTGAATTTAAGGAGGGACTTCTGATTCTATGTTTTCAACACAAACTTCTACCCCACCTCCCTGGCCTTACTGACTCTATTTGGTAAGCATAGAGAACTAGTTACAAAGGGGGAAAAAAAAGGCATAACTGTTGGAGGCATAATAATGGTGAGGAGGACCTGGATTTACCTCCTACCTATACACTTAATATAGAGTCTTCTGGATGGTCAGGCACAGTGGCTCACTTGTAATCCAGTACTTTGGGAGGCCAAAGCAGGAGGACTCCTTGAGGCCAAGAGTTTGAGACCAGCTTAGGCAACATAGTGGGACCTAGTCTCTACAGAAAAAATAAATTAATAAAAATGGGTCAGGGGTGGTGATGCACACCGGTAGTTCCACTTCCTTAAGAGGTGGTGATAGCCTCACCCTTGACAGCCAGAGCCTTAGAAGAAAAAAGTACTGTTATCTTGAAGACTATGGAATTATTTTGCCCCTGAACAGTGCAAGAGGACCTAAGCAACCCCCTTTGAGGGAAAATGGGTCACCTGGGCTGGAGGTAGAGATGTGATATTGTTTTGTAAGCTAGGATTTCCTACAAAATATGGATTTATACTTTGAGCAGATCTTGCATTGTGAGGGGATGTGAGGGGATGAGGTACGAAATGAAGGGGCTTGAGAAAATCAGTGACTAGGGTTCAAGAGAGTTAAAGACAAAAAGGTTCACTGCAGCCTCAACTCTCAGCCTTGATCTTTCTAGAGGTCAAAAGAGTTAAAAACAAAACATACAAACAAAAAAAGGGGGACCCAAAGATACAAAGAAAAGAATTACATGACAGCCGCTCCATCCGGGAGGGAGGTGGGGGGCAGCCCCCGCCCCACCAGCCGCCCTGTCCAGGAGGGAGGTGGGGGGCAGCCTCCACCCGGCCACCGCCCCATCCGGGAGGTGGGGGGTGCCTCTACCCGGCCACCCCGTCTGGGAAGTGAGGAGCCCCTCTGCCCGGCCACCACCCCGTCTGGGAGGTGTACCCAACAGCTCATTGAAAACGGGCCATGATGACAATGGCAGTTTTGTCGAATAGAAAAGGGGGAAATGTGGGGAAAAGAAAGAAAGATCAGATTGTTACTGTGTCTGTGTGGAAAGAGGTAGACATGGGAGACTCCATTTTGTTCTGTACTAAGAAAAATTCTTCTGCCTTGGGATGCTGTTAATCTATAACCTTACCCCCAACCCCGTGCTCTCTGAAACATGTGCTGTGTCCACTCAGGGTTAAATGGATTAAGGGCGGTGCAAGATGTGCTTTGTTAAACAGATGCTTGAAGGCAGCATGCTCGTGAAGAGTCATCACCACTCCCTAATCTCAAGTACCCAGGGACACAAACACTGCGGAAGGCCGCAGGGTCCTCTGCCTAGGAAAACCAGAGACCCTTGTTCACATGTTTATCTGCTGACCTTCCCTCCACTATTGTCCTATGACCCTGCCAAATTCCCCTCTCCAAGAAACACCCAAGAATGATCAATAAATACTATTTTAAAAAAAATGCAAGTTACCTCCCTGCTATCCTGGCGTTTTCCTAATTACTGTAATAAATCTGTCTTTCTCTACCTACAAAAAAAAAAAAAAGAAAAGAAAAGAATTACATGAGAGGGTAATGAGCAAAACTGCATCACTCAAAAACAAAAGGATGAGTCACAGAAAAGACGGGGAGGGGTCCAGGGCACAGTGGTTAATCAAAAGGAGTAATTTCAACATCAGTCTGATGGAAGGAATAAAGATAAAAATAGCAGTTGGAATTAGCCAGGCTTGGTGGTGGCCACCTGTAGTCCCAGCTACTCGGGAGGCTAATGCAGGAGAATCGCTTCAACCCAGGTGGAGGTGGAGGCTGCACTGAGCTGGGATCGCACCACTGCACTCCAGCCTGGGCCACAGAGTGAGACCCTATCTTAAAATAATAATAATGGTAATAAAAGGAAAAAAAAAAGAGTCCATCTAGCATTCCCCATCCCAAACTTAGAGTACAAGTCCAGCATCTGGAACAGACATTTCAAACACCAAGTTTTGAGAAACTGAAATTGCAGCTTGATTGCTCTGGGCAGGTCATAAGACCCTTCCCAACAAAAAGAAAAGAGACTCCGTGTGCTCAAACCTAACTGGGTTTGTTTATTTGTTTATTTATTTATTTTATTCTTTGAGACAGAGTGTCACTCTGTAGCCCAGGCTGGAGTGCAGTGGCGCAAACTCCACCTCCCAGATTCAAGCAATTCTCCTGCCTTAGCCTCACCAATAGCTGGGACTACACACGTGAGCTACCACGCCTGGCTAATTTTTGTATTTTTAGTAGAGACAGGATTTCACCATGTTGGCCAAGCTGGTCTGGAACTCCTGACCTCAGGTGACCTACTCCTCTTGGCCTCCCAAATTGCTGGGATCCTAGGCGGGAGCCGCAGCTCTGGGTCAATCACAACTGGGTTTAATCAGCTCCTCCTTAGCATCGGCCTCTCTGAGTGACGACCTGGGAAACCTGCTTCCACGCCCAGGTCCTGGAGATCCCTGAGGTCCCGAGAGCCAGGACATGAGGCGGATGAAGGAGGGGCAGGCGTACACCCTAGATCCCATAGCTGAGAGAGATCACCTTGGCACTAGCAGAGCCCTGCGCAGAGTGCGCAAAGGTCCCTCGCTCTGGGCCAGCGATGGGCCATGCGATCAGCCAGCTTGAGTGGACGCACCCGCCCGCCGCCAGGTGCCAGGGACCCTGGGATGTGGCCCACACTAAGGCTTGGGGTGAGGGCCTGGGGAGGGGGTCGCGAGCACGAAGGGTCCCTGTAAAGGGCGTGGTTATATCCGGCGCCCTGTAGTCCCCAGAATGTAGCTGGAGGCGGCTTCTGTGCCTGGGAAAGACGCCAGACATCAGAGCCCAGGGATAGGAGGCGACTGAGGGGATTCCTCGGTTATAACAAGGGGGTTAGTTACATTGGGTTTTAAGATACCTAAGTTTGACAGAAGCTATGCGTTGTTTTACAAATTTAAGAAACTAATTTTAATATATAATGGTTGGAAGACTAAACAAGAGAAGGAGAAAAAGGGTTCTGCCAATCCAGTAATTAGGGTAGTTAGTCATAGATTACAGTTAAACATGCTTTGTACTAGGGGGTGTCATGAATGTAAGCATTCCTTTCTACTTTTAGAGCCATTGGGGTGGTAAGGATGACAGTATGAGGTCTTTTCTAAGCAGGAGTCCTTCTTTCTGGAACTTTTTAACGAACACCAGGTCACCTGGCTGGAACGAGTGGCAGGGCCCCATCTGATCAGGAACTGGATTGGGATGAGCTCTCAGTCCAAGTGGCTGGATGATATCTTGCACCTTTTGGAGAGACTGTAGGTAATGTAATAAATTAGCTTGTGAGATTTCTGCTAAATGGGTATCTTTTAGCTTAGGCAAGATCGGCGGAACCCTCTTATATATGATTTTAAAAGGTGAAAACCTAGCCTGGTAGGAAGTTCATCTTACTTTAAGAAGGACTAAAGAAGGAGCCTTACCTAATCTTCACCAGTCTTTAAGATTAACTTTGTAAAAGTATTTTTAGGGTGTGGTTTATGCATTCTACCTGTGCAGAGCTCTGAGTTCTTACTGACTGACTGAGGTATGGACAAGGTGAAGGCTGGTCTATTATCAGACCTTATGGCAGCAGGCAGCCTATGTCAAAGGATGATTTCATCGAGTAAAAACCTAGCTACTGTGGTGGCAGTCTCGTTTTTGGGGGCAAATGCCTCAGTCCATCCAGAAAATGTATCTGCTAGTACCAAAAGGTATTTCTACTTAGTCCAGTGTGGTTTTATTTCTGTAAAGTCAATTTCCTACCTTTTTCCTGGCGAGTTTCCCCGGAGGCAGTGCCCTGAGATGGGTTTAGGACCTTGCTTGGCATTTACTTGAGCACAAGCCATACACCAGAGAGCTGCTTGGTTTGCAGAGTTCTGAAGGCGAAGGGATCTTGAAATGGCTCCTTAGGAGCTGGGCCAGTTTTACTCCTCTTAAATGGGTGGTAGAATGAAGACGACTGATTAAAGTTTCCTTGAGAGCTCGGGGTATGAAGATTCTGGAATCAGGAAGAATCCACCAACCTTCCTGATTTTAATTGGCCTGAAGATCTGAAGCTTGTTTCTTTTTTTTTCTGGGGCTGCCAAGTTAGGTTGCGGAAAGGACACAGCGGACAGCAGGGTTAAAGGCATGACAGGGAGCCATGCTGCCTTTCGAGTTACAGAATCTGCTCTTTGGTTCCCATGGGCAATGGCCAAGTCTTCCTTTTGATGTCCTTTGCAGTGAATTACAGCCACCTGCTTCAAGCAGGGCTAAAATTTCTTCTTTGTTTTTGACAATCTTTCCTGCTGAAGTAAGTAGCCCGCATTCTTGATAGACGGCTCCATGTACATGTACAGTAGCAAAAGCATACCTGCTGTCAGTATAAATATTAATACATTTGTCCTTAACCCATCAGACAGCCTGAGTGAGGGCGATCAATTCAGCCTTCTGTGCCGAGGTACCTGCTGGCAACACCTGGGACCACAGCACATCTGTCTCCGTAGTAAAGGCTGCACCAATCTTTTGTACTCCCTGTTCGAGGAAGCTGCTACCATCTATAAACATGGTATATGTTTATAGGGGCATATCTTGGAGATCAGTTCAGCCAGTTTCTGTAGTTTCTAACAGTTCCTGGCAGTCACGGACAGGTGTAGTGAAGTTTGGATCAGGGAGGAAAGCAGCTGGATTTAAACACCTTATGGAAGAGAAAGTCAAAAGAGGCTGATCTAACAGTAAACTCTGATACTGCAGGATGCGAGCATTTGACATCCATTTGCCAGAAGCACTTGGTAGCAAAATCTCTATGGCGTGAGGAGCCATGAGGGTGAAGTTTTGGCCCAGAGTCAATTTATTAGCCTCCTGGACTAGGCTTGCTGTGGCCACTACGGCTCACAGACAAGTTGGCCATCCAGCGGCCACAGGGTCCAGTCTCTTAGACAAATAGGCTACTGGGCATCTCCAGGGTCCTAAAGTCTGAGTGAGCACCCCCTTAGCAACTCCCTGGCTTTCGTGAATAAAAGGTGAAATGGTTTTGAGATATTAGGGAGGGCTAGAGTGGGGGCCTCAGTTAATGCCTTTTTCAGGTTTTTGAAAGCCTATTCTTTGGTGTCAGTCCATACTAGTGGGCCATTCCTTCCAGTAGCAGTGTACAGGGGCTTGGCAATCTCTGCGGACCTTAATATCCACAGGCGACAGTATCTTATGGCCCCCAGAAATTCACGTACCTGTCTCTTGGTGGGAGTGGGGATTTGTGGGATGGCTTCCTTACAAGCACTGATAAGTGCCCTTTTTCCTCTGTTTATCTCATACCCTAGGTAGGAGACTCTGGGAAGACAAAGCTGGGATTTTTGGCTGAGACTTGATACCTGAGTTCCTGAAGGAGGTAAAATAGGTCCTTAGTGTGTTGCAGGCAACTGTCAGTAGTTTCAGTACCTAATAAAAGGTCATCTGTGTACTGAAGAAGAGTACAATTAGGGTTCTGGCTTGAAATGGTATAAGATCCTGTTGAAGGGCTTCCTTAAAAAGGGTGGGGGAATTTTTAAAACCTTGAGGTAACTGAGTCCAGGTCAATTGGGTGGTGTTTCCTGAGCCAGGATCTGTCCATTCAAAAGCAAAGATAGGTTGGCTTTTGGGGGCCAGAGGAATAGCAAAGAAAGCATCTTTTAAGTCAAGGACAGTGCAAATTGTGTGTTCTGGTGGAAGCAGTCTGAGTAAAGTATAAGGGTTAGGGACAGTTGGGTGGACAGTGACTATCTGTCTGTTAACTTCCGTTAAGTCCTGTACAGGCCAGTAATCATTTGTTCTGGGTTTTTGGACCGGAAAAAATGGAGTATTCCAGATGGACTGGCAATGGTGTGAGTATGCCAGTTTGTAACAGTTGCTGAATATGGGGGTTGATTCTCTCCCTAGCCTGCTGACTCACAGACTATTGCTTCACCTGGACTGGCAAGGTGGTGGCCAGGAGTTCTACTACCACTGGTGGATGGTGCTTAGCCCGTCCTGGGGGGATTGGCTCAGCCCAGACTCAAGGAAAGAGAGTCTGTAATTCCAGTAGGAGAGGATTAGTTTTATTTTCTGGTGGTTTTGGAGGTGAAACTAACAGATATTCTTCTGACAGAGGGGTGGTTAACAGGAGCTGAGCAATAGGGGGCATTGTGTCCCCTAACATGAGGTGAGCTTGTTGGGCCGAGAAGGAAATAGATGCCTACAGCTTGTGGAACAGGTCTCATCCTAGGAGGGGAAAAGGACACTCTGGGACCAAGAGGAATGAGTGAGTTGCTCTTTTCTGTCCCAAACTCACCTCTTATGACTGGGTGACAGGATATTCCTGAATAACTCCAGTAGCTCCCTGTACAACCACTTTCCTATTACAGACACTGCCTAGGGGCATCTGCAGTACTGAGTGTTCCGCCCTGGTGTCAATTAGGAAGTGTACAGGCTGGCGCCCTACTATGGCGGTCACCATGGGCTCCCGAGGGCCAAGTGTAAAGGAGCCCTGGTCCCATCAATCATCAGAGTCCTCCGCAGCAGGGAGGGTGAGGACTTTTTTGTCTTCTGGTTTTTCCTCTGGTCTTAATGGGCATTCCTTTTTCCAGTTTCCTATCTGCTTGCAATAAGCACATTGGTTTTTCTTTGAAGGGAACCCTGGTCACTTTTCTGGCTTTTCTAGCATGGACCCAGGGCCCCCTGGCTAGTGTTCTGTGATGGGGGCCTTTCCTTTCTGGCTTCCTGGATGGCCGCCACTAAGATTTTCGCTTGTCTTTCTGATGCTTTGTCAGCAGCCTTGTCAGCTGCCTCAGCTGCCTGTTTTTGCTTTTTAAACTCTTGATTGTCAAAAACTTTTTGGGCTATTTCTAAAAGTTGACTGATATTCATCCCAGCAAATCCTTCCAGTTTTTGTAGGTTTCTTTTAATATTAGGGGCTGCCTGAACCACAAATGCTAAATTAAGAGCACAGCTATTTTCAGGAGACTCCGGGTCAGAAAGGGTGTAAGTCTGATAGGCCTCCTGGAGGCATTCTAAAACGTTCACAGTGACTCATCAGGCCCCTAGACAACTTCAGTCATCTTAGACAAGTTTACGGGTTTCCAAGCGGCTCACTTGATACCCACAAGGAGATACCGGTGAAAATCGTCTAAAGATCTCTTCCCACCTGAGGAGTTTGGGTCCTAATTAGGCCGGGTAGAAGGAAAAACTTCCTTAAGGAGGCCTCTAGCTTCCACTTCTGGCCTATTGGCTGATGTGAGGAAATACTTACTGGCCTCTCTTTGGATCTGTTCCTTCTCTTCAGCGTTGAAAAGGGTCAAAAGGAGCTGCTGACAGTCATCCCAGGTGGGCCAATGGGTCCAGAGCATGGACTCCATCAGTGAGGTCAAGACCTGGGGCTTTTCAGAAAAGGGGGGTTTATAATCTTTCCCATTATACAGCTCAGAAGTAGAAAAGGGGACATAAACTAAGAATGGAGCTAAGTGCTCATCACCCAAAGGGACTTGTGCCTCTCTCAGTGGGAGGAGGAGGGCTACCTCCTCCTGCCATGGCCGCAATCTAGAGGCAACAGGCGGACAGCCCACAGGGGACATCCTCGAGGAGACAAGGGAAGATTCTAAAGGAGCAAGAGGGTTATAAGCTGGTGGAACTGGGTGAAGAAGATTCTCTTCTTCTTCAGAAGGAAGCAGAATAGGAGGAGCCGAGCCAGCTGAGGGTTGAGGCAAAAGTGAGGTCTGGCTCAAAAGGAACTTAGAGGTAGAATTATGAATGATGCATTAGCGGAGCCATGGAGGAGGGCTCCTGACCAAACTCAGCCACTGATCAATGTATGGAAACTGATCTGGGTGACCAGGAGTTCCAGCAACAACCCGCCACACAGCCTGAACAACTGCGAGCTTCAGTGACCCTTCTGGGGGCCACCCAGCTCCAAAATTTGGCCATTCTGCTTCACAGAGTGTCCAGAGTTTGCCTTTTTTAAGGCAGACCCCATAATCCTCTGAGAAGCCTAGAGAAAATTTTTGTAACATACATTGGAGAGGGCTCAAATCTTTATGAGGCCGGGAAGAAGAGTATCCTATTCTGGGGCAGTTTAACAAGGTTTGAGCAGAGATAATAAACCCAGCACTGACAGAGAAATTCATGACCTGGGGGGTTGTAGCATCAGAAGAACAGAAATAATATGGCTAAAAGAAGCAGGAAAACAGCTATTGCCAGTGCTTCCTGCTACATGAGTTCTGTCCTTTTAAGCTTTGAGATTTAGGGAGAAGACAAGAGGTGGGTCCGAGGCTGGTGGGACCTACATGATTTCCCTCTGCCTTTTGACTTACAGCCTAAATATCTTTGGTGTCTCCACGACTGAAAGGCAAATAGTTCAAACTCAGCCTTTTCTTTTAAGGGTTTGAGGAGGGAGAGCAGAGCTAAGTCTTGGAGGTGCTGGACTTGCTGTGACACAGGAAAACGAGATGTGCAGGGCAAGGGATGGGGATGAGGAGAAAAGGGGCCACTCAGATCCTTTCAGGCTGAGAGGAGCCATGCTGGGCAGTGCTGGTTTGCCAGGATGACTCTGCGGTCCCCGGCCCCACCTCCAGGCCCCATCAGGCGCTGCAAGCCTAGCTTAGAAGCCTGGCCCAGGGCCAAGGCTACCATAGCAGGCTGGGTGCCTGCATTCTGAGCTGGGTGTGGAAGCACTGGGGCTCGGGGAAGTTGGCGGCTTTGATGCCTGAAGGCGTAGGAGCCGGGCACCTGAGGGGTCCCCTTGGGGAGGGGGTCCGGCACTGTCACCTCCTACTCTTTGCCTGTGGGTCAGGAGCCCCTGCCAGAGGGGAAGGAGGCTGTTTCTTTTGTGTACTGGTGGAAGCATGCCTGGCCCCTGGGCCCAGCAACCTGAAGACACACACCTGAGACCTCCTGTGTTAGAAAATCTGTACTCAGGACTTTGAAGAAGTCCTTACCCAGTCGTCTTGGGCAATATTGATGACCTGACATATGAAACTTAGACAAACACTAAACGGGACAATAAACACCAAACACAACAATAGACACAAAACAGGCAATAAACACAAATCAGGCAATAGACCCTAGGGTATATAAACAATTATGGAAGTTTTTATAGACAGACAAAGGGGAGGGGGTCCCGTGATGGGATCAGTCAGATGCCCGCCTGGCCACTCCCCCTGAGGGGACTTACGCTCCTCTTAGCATTTGCAGGCCGGTATAAACCCCTGGCTCAGATCCAGCTATGCCCGATGCTGCCTTAAGCCTTATGAGGTCACCACGGAACTGCAGGTGAGGGCCCACTTGAACTCCATAGCTTTCGCTGTGGAGCTACAAACTGGAGATTCAAGGGCAAGCCTTTGAATTCCACATTCATGCACACATTCACACAGAGTTTATAACAATTTTTCTTATTCCCGTTCTAAACAGAGGTCTCCGGGAGACCTGAACGAGAGAAAGAGAAGAGATAGAAAAAGGGGGAGGGGGAGAGAGAAAAAAAAAGAGGGGGAGAGACTGAGAGACTAGTCTTAATGGAGAGGCCGGCCTGCCAGAAACCAGGACTCTGTCCTCCAACATCCTGGAATATGGACAGAGTCAAAGAGAAATGCCCTCATCAGGGACAGTTCCCGCTCACCAAACCAGAACCAAAGGTGCCTAACAGAAAACCAAGGCTCTGTCCTCCAGTGTCCTGGAATGGGGGCAGAGTCAAAGAGAGAGACACCCTTATCAGGGCCACTTCCCTCTCACCAAACCAGAGTCAGAGCTGACTTACATTCCTGAGACCAGAAACTGAGGACTCAGAAGTTGAATTTTGTGGGCACACTCCAGTGGTCGATCCGTTCTCCTCCGGAAGACGGAGTCTTATGGGGCCCTGGGACATCTTCAGGTGGTGCCTCCCCTATAAGTCCACCGTATGGGGGAGGCTGGAATGAGTCCAGCTCTCACCTGGTGGCAAATATCTCGCTGGGGTCTCCAAATATTGTAACCAAGTGAGTTATAGAGAAACGCCACACTTTGAGACTAATTAAAGAGACCTTTATTAGCTGGCGACTGAGAGATGGCTAATGCTCGAAATTCCCTCAGCCCTGAAGAAGGGGCTAGATTTTCTTTTATACTGTGGTTTAGAGAGGGGAGGGGGAATTGAGCTGAAGCAATCTTACAGAAGTAAAACAGGCAAAAAAGTTGAAAAGACACATGGTTACAGGAAAACAAACAGTTCCAGGTGCAGGGGCTTTAAACTCATCACAAGGTGATAGGTGCGGGGGCTCTGGGTGCTATCTGCCAGACACAAAAGCGGGGCCTTAGGGTACTATCACCCAGGTGAATTCCTGGGAACTGTGGACATAGCTTGCCACCTTACCTTATCAGTTAATTGCACTCTTTGATGTGCTAAGTGTCAGCTTGCACAAGTTAAGTCCTTGAGGAAGGGGGTGGGTAACGAGCCCTTAATGTCTTGCAAATGAAGGAGCCAAATGGAATCCATCCAGCTTTTTCAGCTAAGAGAGAGTCAATAAAGTTAATACAAGTTAGGGTATCAGACATCTGCATCTCGCTATTGAGTCACAGGAAATAGCAGTCTGACCCTCGTTTGGTCTGGGGACACAAGTGCAGGAATTCAGGCCAAGATAATAACCTCCCATAAAGATGAATGTCTTAATTTAGTTAAGAAGGTCGGAAGACCTTCACCTTCCCAGCAAGCCGCCTTGAAATGCCTACTTCCTGTGCCAAATTGTAGATAGTCATTTCTGTGTTTTGCTTTTCTCTCCAGGGAATCTTTGCCGGTGCTACTGTTTTTATGCTTGCTTCTGAAGACGTGTGAACCTAAAACTGCAAATGCCTTTAAACCAAATATCCTACTGATCATGGCGGATGATCTAGGCATTGGGGATCTCGGTTGCTATGGGAACAATACACTGAGGTACAGTTGGTTGTTGCTATTGGTGATGATGTGATGTGAGTTTGAAGGAATAGTGCATTTAAAATCTGCCTGGAGAAATTAGGAAACTCCTTAGGGCCTCAGAACTCAACAAAAAACTACCAACAGGTAAAAAGGCCCTTTTAAACGCTGCAGAACTGCGGTGAGGGGGTGAATGTATTACTACCACAAAATGGGTAGCTTAAAACAACAGAAATTTGTTCTCCCAGGTCTGGAGACCAGAAATCTTAAATCCAGGTGTGGGCAGGGCCGGGCTCCCTCGGGGGGCCCTATGGGAGGATCCTTCCGGACTTTCCCAGCTCCTGGGGGCTCCAGGTGTCCCTGAGCTTGTGGCCGCATCACTACAGTCTCTGCCTCCATCTCCACGGGGCCTTCTCCTCTGTGTCTGTGTCCTAATCTCCTCATCCTATAAGGACACCGGCCATTGCAGCAAGGCCTGCCCACTGTAAAGATCTCATCTTCTGTTGATTACATTTGCAAACAACGTCTGTTGTGGGCTGAATTCTGGCCTCCTCCAAATTTGTAGGTTGAAGCCCTAACCACCAGTACTTCAGGGTGTGACCGTATTCAGAGATGGGGTCTTTGAAGAGGTAATTAAGTTAAACTGAGGTCCTTAGGGTGAGCCCTAATCTGATATGGATTACTAAAAGAGGAGATTAAGACACCAACAGAGCTCCCTGAGAGGCTGTAGGGGAGGACCCTTCCTGACTCTCCCAGCTCCTGGGGGCTCCAGGCATCTCTGGCTTTGTGGCCACATCACTCCAGTTTGTGCCTCCGTCCCCACGTGGCCTTCTCCCCTGTGTCTGTGTCTCCTCCTCTGTCTCTCAGAAGGACACTGGTCATTGCATCTAGGGCCCTCTCTAAACCAGGATGATCCCATCTCAGGGTACCTAACTAATAAGGTCTCACGCACAGGTTTGTGGAGTCAGCACATGGACAGATCGGTTTGCAGACCCCCATTCAGCCCACTGCAGTGGCATGTGCAAACACAGAGTAGTAGCCTCTATGCCAGCCTTACCAGCAGAGCGCTTGAGTGGTGCTCACATGCTTTCTGCAACAGGAGAAAAGGTGAGAAACCTCCTTATTCATTTGGTGGGCTTTTAGAAGGACTGCCTCAGAATGCAGGCTGCATCTGCTTTTTAAAAGATGCCAACCTCAGGAGCAGTTGCCGCAGAGCAGGGCCTCCCTTCTTTGTAGAGGACAATGCAGCACCTGCAGCAGTCTGCCCTGTGGGGGCTGGGAGGGTGGCTCCCGCATGTCATCCCAGCACCTTGGGAGGCCAAGGAAGGTGGATCACTTGAGCCCAGGTGTTTGAGACCAGCCTGGGCAACATGGCAAAACCCTGTCTCTATGAAATACACAAAAAATTTGCCAAGCATGGTGGTGCATGCCTGTAGTCCCAGCTACTCAGGAAGCTGAGAGTGGAGGATGGCTTGAGCCCGGGAGGTGGAGGTTATGGTGAGCTGAGGTTGCGCCACTGCATTCTAGCCTGGGCCACAGAGCAAGACCCTGTCTCTAAATCAATCAATCAATCAATCTGCCCCTTGTCCAGGGATCCCCTTTCGAACACCCTGAGCAAGCCTGGTTGTAATTCACAGAACATGCAGTTCATCTGTTTACAGTGTACAGTTCAGGGACTTTTATTCTATTCATGGAGCTGTGCATCTGTCACCACAAACCATGTTAGAGCATTTGCATACCCCCAAAGAAACTCTGCATCCCCTTAGCCATCACCTCCAGCGAGGAGCGAATCTGTGTCCCCTAAACACCTACATCGAAGTCCTGACCCCCAGGACCTCAGACTGTGACTCTATTTGGAGACTGAGTCTTTAGAGACGTGATTCAGGTAAAATGAGGTCACTAGGGTGGGCCCTGATCCAATAGGACTAGGGTCCTCATAAGAAGAGGAGATAAGGACACAGACACACATAGAGCAATGACCACCTGAGGACACAGGGAGAAGATGGTGTCTACGAGCCCAGGATGGTGGCCTCAGGAGGAACCAGCCCTGCCCATGCTTGATCTCAGACTTCCAGCTCCCAGAAATGTGAGAGAATAAATGTCTACTGGGTTTGTTTTTCTGTTTTATTTTGTTTTGTTTTTTTGAGAGAGGGTCTCACTCTGTTGGCTGGAATGCAGTGGCATGATCACAGCTCACTGCAACCTCCCTCTCCTCGTCTCAAGCAATCCTCCCACCTCAGCCTCATGAGTAGCTGAGACTGCAAACACATGCCACCACATCCTTGTATTTTTTGTAGAGGCAGGTTTTCACTATGTTGCCAAGGCTGGTCTCGAACTCCTGGCCTCAAGTGATCCACCCACCTTGGCCTTGGCCCCCCAAAGTGCTGGGATGACACTCATGAGCCACTGTGCCCGACCAATATCTGGTGTTGAAGCGGCCAGGTATGTAGGACTTTGTTATGGCAGCCCCAGCTAACACTCCTCCACCTCTCAGCACCCTAACCCTCCGTGTCTGGCAGCCACTAATGTACTTTCCATCTCTATAGACTCCCCTGTTAGGGACATTTCATACAAATGCAATTATATAACCTGTGGTCTTTTATGTCAGGATGCTTTCACAGACCAGTGTTTTCAGGGTTCCTCCCTGTGGCAGCAAGTGTCAGTACCGTGCCTCACGCCTTGCAGTGGCTGAATCTATGAGAATTCCACAGATTCCATTCTATGTGGATACCTCTTTTGGCTTCCTTTTTTTTCTTTTTTGAGACAGGGTCTCACTTTGTTCTTTCACCAAGCCTGGAGAGCACTGGTGCGATCTCGGCTCACTGCAACCCCCGCCTCCTGGGCTCAAGCTATTCTCCTGTCTCAGCCTTCCGGGTAGCTGGGATTACAGGTGTGCACCATCTTGCCTGACTAATTTTTGTATTTTTTTTTTAGTAGAGACGGGGTTTTACCATGTTGGCTAGGCTGGTCTTGAACTCCTGACCTCAAGTGATCTGCCCGCCTAGGCCTCCCAGAGTGTTGAGATTATTGGCATGAGTCACCATGCCCGGCCCTCACTGTTTTTTGATATCTGATGCTGAAAGCTTTTAGGCCTCTTCTCTCTGTGTTCCCCATCTGGACAAGCAGATAAGAAAGCACAGGGAATGTCTACTTTGGTGCTGATGGCAGATTCAGACCATAAACGCCCCCACCCTTGCATGGGAACTCTCATCCAATCCCCACACCCTCACAGCAATTAAAAACATAAATCTCCTTTCTTTGCTTCCTTATTTCACATGAGCTTGGAAGGTCTGCACTGCTCTCCCTAGAAAGCCTCATAATGTTTGTCATAAGTTGTCTCATGTACTCTGTGTGTGTGTGTTGGTGTGTGTGTGGGTGTGTGTGTGTGTGTGTGACGTCACCCATCTCAACATCAACACCAAACTTAGGATAGCGGTCAATCTGCCTCTACAGGAGGCCATAATGCAACTAATTCTGAAATCCAGTGAAGTCTTCACAGTCTATTCCTGTGCCTTTCAGAGCAGGGATCTGCTTAAGCCAAATGCATGTCTCCCTTCCAGCAATGACATTTGTGTGCTTTGCTCAGAATGCCAAATATTGACCAGCTTGCAGAGGAAGGTGTGAGGCTCACTCAGCACCTGGCGGCCACCCTGCTCTGCACCCCAAGCCGAGCTGCATTCCTCATGGGGAGACATTCTTTCAGGTCAGGTTGGTGTCATGGAGATGATGGAAGAATGGGCACATCTGTGTGCACTCATTCTATCATCTGTAACAGTTGAGTACTGATGGTGAAGATATAGGGGCAATGGTACAAAGATTATCTGCAATTCATCCTCTTCCCTATATTTATGTAAGGAATATTGTATTGTGTGCATACACATAAAAGTTGTGATCATTAGGATGTGAACAGAAAAGCCAAGGTCTGTTGAATATTTTAAAGAGGTTTATTCTGGAGCCAGTATGACTGATCACAAGACCAAGTGTGTCTTAGAGAGAGCAAAGTTTCCCCAAGTTGAGAAGCATTGTGAGATAGATAGATAGACAGATAGACAGACAGATAGATAGATAATTGATAGCTAGATACATGCTAGATGGATGATAATGGTAGATGATGGATAATTGATAGATAAATATCTAGATGATGATGATACATAATGATAGATGATTGATAATGACATGATAGGTGATTGATAGCTAGACAGCTAGATAACAGGTGATTATAATGATAGATGATAGAGAAGTGATAGATGATAATGATAGCTGATTGATAGCTAGATGAGTAATGATAATGATATATAAGAGATACATAGATGGATAGATATAGATGATAGATGATGGATACATATTGGGATAGATAGGTGATAGGTAAACAGATAGATAGCATATGAGAGATCACATAGAGTCTGTCATCCTAAGGTAGGGTGTCTCTGTTTTGGCATGATGGACATTTGGGGCTAGAAAATTCTCTATGGTGAGGCCGTTCTGTGCACTGTATGTAGGGTCTTGAACAGCATACGTGGGCTCCACACACCTGATATGAGTAGCACCACACCCCACTCTTTCTGAGTTGTGACACCACAAACATCTTCAGACATTGGCCATGCTTATTATTTTGAGAATAGTATGATAGGTAGGTAGGTAGGTAGGTAGGTAGGTAGGTAGATAGATGACAGATGATAGATGGGTAGATAAGTGATAGCTCCATACATGATAGATGGATGATAGATAACAGCAGCTTGGCTCGGCTGCGCAAATCCAGATCTCAGACACCAAATCCCCATAGTTGAGAAGTCCTCCTCTAGAGAAGGGAAAGTAAATTCTTACTCTCTTCCCTGCCCCACAGGCATGGACGCCAGCAATGGATACTGGGCCCTTCAGTGGAATGCAGGCTCAGGTGGCTCCCTGAGAACGAAACCACTTTTGCAAGAATCTTGCAGCACCGCGACTATGCAACTGGCCTCATAAGTGTGGATATGTGGGAGCCTTATATTATATGGTGGTTGAGAAGATTCATGATAAAAAAGATCCCAGTCTGGGTGCAGTGGCTCATGCCCGTAATCCCAGCACTTTGGGAAGATGAGGTGGGCAGATCACGAGGTCAGGAGTTCAAGATCAGCGTGACCAACATGGTGAAACCCTGTCTCTACTAAAAATACAAAAATTAGCTGTGCGTGGTGGCGCACACCTGTAATCCCATCTACTCAGGAGGCTGAGGCAGAAGAATCACTTGAACCCGGGAGACAGAGGTTTCAGGGAGCTGAGATCGCACCACTGCACTCCAGTCTAGGCAACAGAGCAAGACTCTGTCTCAAAAAAATAATAATAATAAAATAATAAAAATAATCCTGTTTTCCCTCAAAGGAAAACAATCCTGTCTCCTCTGAATCAGAAGTTGGTGCCCAGGGGGCCAGGTGCGGTGGCTCATGCCTGTAATCCCAGCACTGTGGAAGGCTGCGGCGGGCAGATCATGAGGGCAGGATATTGAGACCATCCTGGCTAACACAGTGAAACCCCGTCTCTACTAAAAAAAAGGCAAAAAATTAGCCAGCCACGGTGGTGGGTGCCTGTAGTCCCAGGTACTCAGGAGGCTGAGGCAGGAGAATGGCATGAACCCAGGAGGAAGAGCTTGCAGGGAGCCGAGATTGTGCCACTGCACTCCAGCCTGGGCGACAAAGCGAGACTCCGTCTCAAAAAAAAAAAAAAAAGAAGTTGGTGCCTGGTCCGTCTCATACCTATTGGATTGTTCCCAGTTTTTTTGAGTTTTTTTCTTTTTAAATTCCAAATCCTAGGAGATTGCCCTCTTTTCTTCTCTAGACCTATCAGTCTTCAGCTTGTCCCCATTTATCATGACCTTCTTCAGACATTATCTTTCTCTACATGTTCACTCATCATCTCAAAACCCCCAGAGTTAACAAACACTGCCTTCCTTTAGACAACAAGCCCCAGCAGGGGCACAACACCTTCTTTATAACAGATACCATGTCAGGGGTCTCCAAGAGCACCATTTAAAAGAGACAGCATGTCAAAAGTCTCAAAGACCACCCTTTATAAGAGCATGTCAGGGGTTTCCAGGACCACCCTGTATCAGAGACAGCATGTCAAGGGTCTCCGAGACCACCCTTAAGTTCAGGAAGTTGCTAGGAGGACTTGGCATACAGTTGTGCTCATGGGTGATTTATGACAGTCAAAGGAGGTAAGGCAAAATCAGTGAAGGGAATTACATGGATGAAGCCCAGGACAGACCAGACACAAGCTCCCAAGAATCCTCCCACAGTGGGATCACATAGGATGCACCAATTCCTCCAGAAATGAGTTTTAACAACACGCATGGAATGCTGTCTATTAGGGAAGCTCCGGGGAGATTCAGCGCCCAGGGGTTTCTGTTGGGGGCTGGTCCTGCAGGCACTCACTGCCTGGCACCAACCCGAATTCCAGACTCCCAGAGCCAAAGGAGATGTTTAGCATGTTTCACTCATGTCCTTGTGAAGGGACCACCAAACAGGCTTTGTGTGAGCAATAAAGCTGTTTATTTCACCTGGGTGCAGGCAGGCTGAGTCCAAAAAGAGAGTCAGCGAAGGGAGATGGGGATGGGGCCATTTTATAAGATTTGAGTAGGTAGTGGAAAATTACAGTCAAAGAAGGTTGTTTCCTGGCAGGCAGCAGGGGCAGCCGGGAGGGTCACAAGGTGCTCAGTGGGAGAGCGTTTGAGCCAGGATAAGCCAGGAGAAGGAATTTCACAAGGTAATGTCATCAGTTAAGGCAGGAACAGGCCATTTTCACTTCTTTTGTGGTTCTTCAGTTACTTCAGGCCATCTGGATGTATACATGCAGGTCACAGGGGATATGATGGCTTAGCTTGGGCTCAGAGGCCTGACAGCATGAACCACATTGCTTTTGCATATAGCTTAGGCAGTCAGCTTACTATTTTAATAATGTGAATTCTCCACTGGAAATCCAGATCTCAAACACCAGCCATGGGGAATCTTACAAGCCGGCCTTCCTAAGGGGCACTAGCTCAGGCCTGCCCCTTAAACTCCTTTCTGCACGGAGAGGAAAGGAGGGAGATGTTGGTTTATGCCGCCAAGCACCAGGCAGTCTGCTGGTTACCTCCTTCATTCCTTACACAGCCTGTGGGTTTAGAGGTGCTGTCCCCGTCATACACATGAGAACGTGGGAGCGCAGTGGTGAGGCCACCCGCCCCAACCTGGTGGTGGGATTTCTGTGCAGGGTCCCCAGTTCCTCTCTGTGCTTTTCTCACACTCAAAGCCACTGTCCCATTCACAGGAGCCGCAACACCCCAACTTGTCCAAAGCTGTGGTTTTCTAAAGGAGGACAACCATTGTTCCTCCTTTTCAAGTTTCCTGCCACTTTATTTTTATTTTGAATTTTTTTAAAGTTTTTTCTTCTTTTATTTATTATTTATTTTTATTTTTTTGAGATGGAGTCTTGCTCTGTCCCCTACACTGGAGTGCAGTGGCACGATTGCAACTCACTGCAGCCTCCACCTCCTGGGTTCAAGCGATTCTCTTGCTTCAGCCTCCTGAGTAGCTGGGACCACAGACATGTGCCACCATGCCCAGCTAATTTTTTTGCATTTTTAGTAGAGCCAGGGTTTCAGCATGTTGGCCAGACTGGTCTCGAACTCCTGACCTCAAGTGATCCACCCACCTCGGCCTCCCAAAGTGCTGGGGTTACAGGGCCAGTGCTTTATACTGTAGAAGTCTGTGTATCTCCTACTCTGAGGGTGGATTTATTCTTTATTTTATTTTTTTTAGAGACAGGTTCTTGCTCTCTCACCCAGGCAGGAATGTAGTGGCAAAATCACAGCTCACTGCAGCCTCAAACTTCTGGGCTCAGGCGATCCTCTCACCTCAGCTTCCTAACTAGCTGGGACCACAGGCATGCGCCACCATGCCCAGCTAATTTTATTTCTTGTTTTTGTAGAGGTGGGGGTCTTGCTATGTTGCCCAGGCTAGTTTTGAACTCCTGGCCCCAAGAGAGCCTTCCACCTTAGCCTCCAAAACTGATGAGATTACAGGTGTCAGCCACTGCACTCAGCCAATTTTTCTTTCTTTTGTTAACTATTTTAGTGGATTTACTTTTGTTTACCAAGATTGCATGCATCTTGGTAAACATTTGCATTTCTTCTAAGAGTCTTCATTTTGTGGTACACATACTCAGTCTGTTTTGGTGAAAGCCTGTTCTTCATGTTCCAGAGACACTCCTCACTATATCCAAGCATATTTTTTCCCCTAAATGTAAGAAGGGGGAATAGGAGTGTGTCTGGGTTTGAGAAAAAGATACATTTTTAGGGATTCTGAGGACAGTTTGTGAGGAATGGTCAGGAGGAAGTAGGGAGAAACCAGCTTGAACTCCTCCACTGTTTTGTTTGTTTGTTTGTTTTTGGAGACAGGGTCTTACTTACTGGGTGTCCCAGGCTGGAGTTGGAGTGCAGTGTCACAGTCTTGGCTCACTGAAACCTCTACCTCCCAGGCTCAAGCAATCCTCCCACCTCAGCCTCCTGAGTAGCTGGGACCACAGGTGCCTGCCATCATGCCTGGCTAATTCTTGTATTTTTAGTAGAGACAGGGTTTTGCCATCTTGCCCAGGCTGGACTCAAACTCCTGGACTCACGCCATCCTCCCACCTTGGCCTCCAAAAGTGCTAGGATTACAGGCAAGAGCCACCATGCCTGGCCTTATCTCCTCTAGTTTCAAGTGGGGCAAATAAGGCCCTGAAACCTTTCCCATCTATTTCTGTACCTGAATTTGAGTTGGCAGGTGGTCTGGATGTGAGATGGACAGAAGGGTTGCATGGACACCCCAGTTCTCAGACATTCTCCTGAAATTTGAGGTGTGGGCTTCCCCACATTCTAGCTCTACGATATTGTTCTAACAGTTATTGCCTTAGGAAAAATTGTATAAGGGCATTTTGATTACAAGTTGGTGGAGAGAGCCAGTTTCTGCTACTACATTTCAGAATTATTCAGGAGTCAACTATCATTAGTAACTGGTTACCTTTTAAGTAACATATATATTTATATACATATAAAATATAATATATAATATATACTTTATTTTTTATACACTTAAATATATATTTATATACTTTATTTTTACTTTAATACTTATATATAACTTATAATACTTATATTTACTTATATACAACTATTATGTATTACTCATATATAACATATAATATATATTACCTTATAAAATATGTAAGTATATATTATATATGACATATAAAATATATAGGTAATGTATACTTACAAATTTTAGGTAATATATCTGTTACTTAAAGATATTTACCTGTGGTGAGGCGTGGTGGCTCACACCTGTAATCCCAGCATTTTGGGAGGCTGAGGCAGGCAGATCACCTGAGGTCAGGAGTTCAAGACCAGCCTGACCAACATGGAGAAACCTCATCTCTACTAAAAATACAAAAAATTAGCCGGAGACGGTGGTGCATGCCTGTAATCCCAGTTACTCAGGAGGCTGAGGTAGGAGAATTGCCTTAACTGGGAGGCAGAGGTTGCAGTGAGCCAAGATTGTGCCACTGAACTCCAGCCTGAGTGACACAGCATGACTCCATCTCAAAAAAAAAAAAAACTATTTACCTGTATATATAGGTTATATATATTTATAGATTACCTATGTATATATAAATATTAATATTTATACAGATATATATATCTATATGTTATGAATGTATATTTAAAAATTAATACATTTTATTTATATTAATATATTTGTATATATAAATATTAATATTTTTATATACATAGGTTATATATATTATATATAACCTGTATTCATATAGGTTATATAGAATATATATTTGTATTTATTTATATATATAAATTTATATATAGGGTCCCTTTGATGTATTGTGTATTCTTACATTATAAAGGTTTTCTTTTTTCAGTATAATATATAATATGCTATAACATATAATATGTAACTATATATTTGTAATGTATATGATATATAACCTATATTTGCATTATATATAAATATAAATATTTTGAAAGGTATGCAACTCCTATATTGAAAGGTATGTAACTATAACATTTTAAATATTTATATTTATCACATTATATTTATAGTTATATAGGTTATATATTACATATAAAACCTATATTATAGGTAATATATTACATATAAAACCTACATTATAGGTTATATATATAACCTATATTATAGGTTATATATAAAATCTATATTATAGGTTATATATAAAATCTATATTATAGGTTATATATAAAATCTATATTATAGGTTATATATAAAATCTATATTATCGGTAATATATATCCTATAATATAAATACATGTATTACATATATATGTAAATGATATTTTGTAAATTATTTAATAGAATGGTCTAGGGTTGCAAGACTGTAAGAGCAACATTCTGGAAAGTGTTAAAACTTTTATTTATTTATTTATTTATTATTGCTATTTTTTTTTTTTTTTTTTTTTTTTGTGGAGTCTCTCTCTGTCGCCCAGGCTGGAAAGCAGTGGCACGATCTCCGGCTCACTGTAAGCTCCGCCTCCCGGGTTCACGCTGTTCTCCTGCTTCAGCCTCCTGAGTAGCTGGGACCACAGGCGCCCGCCACCACGCCCAGCTAATTTTATTGTATTAAGAAGAGACGGGGTTTCACCGTGTTAGCCAGGATGGTCTCGATCTCCTGACTCCGTGTCCTCCCATCTCGGCCTCCCAAAGTTCTGGGATTACAGGCGTGAGCCACGGCTCCCCGCCAAAAGTCTTAAACCTTTAATCACTTGCCAAGGGTTCTGACATGGATACATTCATTAGTCTTTCACGGATCAGAATGCATTCATTTAGGCCGGGCGCGGTGGCTCATGCCTGTAATCCCAGCACTTTGGCAGGCAGAGGCGGGCGGATCATAAAGTCAGGAGATCGAGACCATCCTGACTAACACCCCGTTTCTACTAAAAATACAAAAAATTAGCCAGGCGTGGTGGCAGGCGCCTGCAGTCCCAGCTACCCTGGACGCCGAGGCAGGAGAATGGCACGAACCCGGGAGGCGGAGTTTGCAGTGAACCCAGATCGGCGCCACTGCACTCCAGCCTGGGCGACAGAGCGACACTCCGTCTCAAAAATAAAAATAAAAAAGAATGTGTTCATTTAAACACCGGTATCCAATCCATTCATTGCCTTTCCATTTCCAGTTTTGCTCTTCGCAGACTTTTCTTTTCCTGCCGAGGCGGAATGATTCGGAGGTTCTTTGCAGCAGAAAGGGCTGCTTCAAAGCGGGTCTCCGTTGAACGTCTGCGTTTCTTTTAGGAAAATGGCACCAGGGTGTGAATTGTGCATTCCGCGGGGATCACTGCCACCACCCCCAGAACCACGGATTTGACTATTTCTACGACAAGCCCTTCACGCTCACAAACGACTGTGACCCAGGCAGGCCCCCTGAAGTGGACGCCGCCCTGAGGGCGCAGCTCTGGGGTTACACCCAGTTCCTGGCCCTGGGGATTCTCACCCTGGCTGCTGGCCAGACCTGCAGTTTCATCTCTGTCTCCGCGAGAGCAGTCACCGGCATGGGCTTCTTGTGTTTTATCTCTTGGTACTCCTCCTTTGGGTTTGTGCGACGCTGGAACTGTATCCTGATGAGAAACCATGACGTCACGGAGCAACCCATGGTTCTGGAGAAAACAGCGAGTCTTATGCTAAAGGAAGATGTTTCCTATATTGAAAGGTAAGCAACCATCACATCTTAAAGAGGAGATGGGGCCGGACGCGATGGCTCATGCCTGTCATCCTGTGTCCGGAATTGGTGGGTTCTTGGTCTCACTGACTTCAAGAATGAAGCCGCCCACCCTCACGCTGAGTGTTACAGCTCTTAAGGCAGCGCGTCTGGAGTCTGTCCCTTCTGATGTTCGGATGTGTTTGGAGTTTCTTCCTTCTGGTGGGTCCGTGGTCTTCCTGGCTCAGGAGTGAAGCTGCAGACCTTCGCGGTGAATGTTACAGCTCTTAAGGTGGCGCGTCTGGAGTTGTTCGTTCCTCCCGGTGGTCTCGTGGTCTCGCTGGGCTCAGGAGTGAAGCGGCAGACCTTTGCTGTGAGTGTTATAGCTCATAAAAGCAGTGTGGACCCAAAGATTGAGCAGTAGCAAGATTTATTGCAAAGAGTGAAAGAACAAAGCTTCCACAGCATGGAAGCGGACCCTAGCGGGTTGCCACTGCTGGCTGGGGCAGCCTGCTTTTATTCTCTTATTTGGCCCCACCCACATCCTGCTGATGGGTAGAGTCCAGTGGTCTGTTTTCACAGGGCGCTGATTGGTGCGTTTACAATCCCTGAGCTAGATACAAAGGTTCTCCACCTCCCCACCAGATTAGCTAGATACAGAGTGTTGACACAAAGGTTCTCCAAGGCCCCACCAGAGTAGCTAGATACAGAGTGTGGATTGGTGCATTCACAAACCCTAACCTAGACACAGGGTGCTGATTGGTGTATTTACAAACCTTGAGCTAGATACAGAGTTCAGACTGGTGTATTTACAATTCCTGAGCTAGGCATAAAGGTTCTCCACCTCCCTACCAGACTCAGGAGCCCAGCTGGCTTCAGCCAGTGGATCTTGCACAGGGGCTGCA
Organism: Homo sapiens; assembly: GCF_000001405.40. Classification (NCBI taxonomy): domain Eukaryota; kingdom Metazoa; phylum Chordata; class Mammalia; order Primates; family Hominidae; genus Homo; species Homo sapiens. The sequence goes on from NC_000024.10 coordinate 12,374,974, forward strand.
GGTGGAGATGCCTGCCAGTGCCAGGCGGTCCGCGTGCACTCCTCAGCCCTTGGGTGGTCGATGGGACTGGGCTAGGTGGAGCAGGGGGCGGCGCTCATCAGGGAGGCTCGGGCGGCACAGGAGCCCATGGAGGGGGTGGAAGGCTCAGGAATGGCGGGCTGCAGGTCCCAAGCCCTGCGCCGGGGGAAGGCAGCTAAGGCCCGGTGAGAAATCAAGCGCAGCACCGGTTGGCTGGCACTGCTGGGGGACCCAGTACACCCTCCGCAGCCGCTGGCCCGGGTGCTAAGCCCCTCACTGCCCGGGCGGGCAGGGCCGGCCGGCTGCTCCGAGTGCGGGCCCGCCAAGCCCATGCCCACCCATAACTCTAGCTGGCCCGCAAGCGCTGAGCCTCTCCCGACACACCTCCCTGCAGGCTGAGGGAGCCGGCTCCGGCCTTGGCCAGCCCGGAAAGGGGCTCCCACAGTGCCGCGGTGGGCTGAAGGGCTCCTCAAGTGCCGCCAAAGTGGGAGCCCAGGCAGAGGAGACGCCGAGAGCGAGCGAGGGCTGTGAGGACTGCCAGCACACTGTCACCTCTCAATCCCAGCACTTTGGGAGGTCAAGATGGGAGGATCTTTTACCCCAGGTGCTTTAGACTAGCTTGGGCAACGTAAGAAGACTGGTTCTACAATAAATAAAATCATTAGCCGGGCATGGTGGTGTGTGCCTGAAATGCCAGCTACTCAGGAGGCTAAGGTGGGAGGTTCGCTTCAGCCTCAGATGTTGAGGCTGCAGTAAGCAATGATCACACCACTGTGCTTCAGCGTGGGTGACAGAGTGAGACTCTGTCCCTAAAAAAATAAAAATAAAGTTTAATTAAAAAAAAGAGGCAGTAACTGCTCAGAGCATCTGAGAGTCTCCTTATAATCTTTGGGATCTCAGACACCAACCCTCGGAAGAGACAGCTTTGCAGAAGCCAACCTTTTCATGTGGCTGGGTTCCCCATATGAGAGTCTCGAAGTGGATGTCATGTGATGGCTTCAATAGCATTGACATACACGCCATTGGATTCTGTACATTTTTATTGACATTTCTTTAAACTTTTTTTTTTTTTTTTGCATTCTTTGTAGAGATGAGGTCTCACTATGTTGCACAGGCTGCTCTCAAACTCCTGGGCTCAAACAATCCTTCCATCTTGGCCTCCCAAAGGGCTAGGATTACAGACGTGAGCCACTGTGCCTGGCCTTTTTCTAATGTCTCATTTTTATTTTTTTTTTTTTTTGAGACAAGGTCTCACTATATGGCCCAAGCTGGTCTTGAATTCTTGGGCTCAAGCCATCTTCCCACCTCTGCCTTCCAAAGTGCTGGGATTGTAAGTGTGAGCCACCGTGCCTGGCCCTTACTTTTTAATTTGTACAAATGTATGGGGTATGTGTGAAATTTTGTTACGTGTATACACTGAATAGCGAGCAAGTCAGCATACTTACAGTGTCCATCTCCTGAGTACAATACATTTTGCTAGCTTTGGTCACTCTACTCTGCTACCAGACATTGAATGTATTCCTTTAAGCTTACTGTATGTTTGTACTGTTTAAACCACTTCTCTTTGTCCTTCATCCTTCCCAGCCTCTGGTCTCTATCATTCTATTCTCTATCTTCATGTGATCAGTTTTTCTTAGCTCCCACATGTGAGTAACAACATGCAGTATTGGTCATTCTGTGCCTGGCTTATTTTAGTTAACATAGTGACCTCCTGTTTCATCTGTATTGCTGCAAATGACAGGATTTCATTCTTTTTGATGGCTGAATAGTATTCCATCATGTACATACACCAGATATTCCCTTTTTTTCTGAGACAGGGTTGGTTCTGTCACACATGCTGGAGAGCAGTGGCATGATCACGGCTCCCCGCAACCTGTCTCCCAGGCTCAAGCAATTCTTGTGCCTCTGCCTCTTGAGTGGCTAGGATTATAGGCGCCTGCCACCACACCCTGTTAATTTTTTTATTTTTACTAGAGACGGGGTTTCCCCATTTCACCATATTCTCCAGGCTGGTCTTGAACTCCTGACCTCAACTGATCTGCAAGGCTTGGCCTCCAAAAGTACTGGGATTACAGGCTTGAGCCACCGTGCCCAGCCTCCAGTCTTTATTATGGCTGAATGGTATTCCACTGTGGACATACACAGTATATATATATACACACATATATATATAAATAATATGTGTATATAAAATATATATAGTAGTGTGTATATATATAAAAAAATATATATATATATATATATTTTTTTTTTTTTGAGCAGGGTCTGGCTCTGTCATCCATGCTGGAGTGCAGTGGAGTGATCAGGGCTGACTGCAAGCTCCACCTCCTGGGCTCAAGCCATCCTCCCACCTCAGCCTCCCGAGTAGCTGGGACCACAGGCTCGAACCACCATGCCCAGCTAATTTTTCTATTTTTGGTAGAGGCAGCATTTCACCGTGTTGCCCAGGCCTGTCTTGAATTCCTGGCCTCAGGTGATCCTCCCACCTCAGCCTCCCAAAGTGTTGGGATTACAGGCATGAGCCACCGCGTCTGGCCCACCATCTATTCTTTCTGTGTTCACCCACTGATGGCCTCAGAAGGTGATCCCCTGCCTTGGCTCTTGTGAATAGTGCTGGAGTGAACATATGGGTGCAGGGGTCCCTTTGATGTACTGTGTGTTCTGTGTATTCTCAAAGAGGTTTTCTTCTTTCAGACACAAGCATGGGCCATTTCTCCTCTTCCTTTCTTTGCTGCATGTGCACATTCCCCTTGTGACCACGAGTGCATTCCTGGGGAAAAGTCATCATGACTTATACGGGGATAATGTGGAGGAGATGGACTAGCTCATAGGTAAGTCAAGGTACCACGGAGCCTCACTCCACCCTCGGCCTCAGCATTGAACATACAGACTGGCCATCTGAATATGAACCAGCTTGCAATAAAGAATAACGGTGGTGGCTCATGCCTGTAATCCCAGCACTTTGGGAGGCTGAGGCAGGTGGATCACCTGAGGTCAGGAGTTCAAGACCAGCCTGGGCAACATGGTGAAACCCTGTCTCTACTACAAACATAAAAATTAACCCAGTGTGGTGGTACACAACTGTATTCCCAGCTACTTGGGAGGTTGACATATGAGAATCGCTCAAATATGGGAGGCAGTGGTTGCAGTGAGCTGAGATTGTGCCACTGCACTCTAGCCTGGGTGACAGATCAAGACTCCATCTCAAAAAAACAAACAAAAAATTAAAATAAAAATAATAAGAGTTACTCTTAGCACTTTTGGAGGCCCAGGTAGACAGATCGCTTGAGGTCAGGAATTCAAAACCAGCTTGCACAACATAGTGAGACCCCATCTCTACAAAAATAAATGCTTAGCCAGCTATGGTGGCACATGCCTGTAGTGGCAGCTACTCAGGAGGCTGAGGCAGGAGGATCGCTTCAGCCTGGGAAGTCAAGGCTGCAGTGAACTGAGATTGCACTGCTGTACTCCAGGCTGGGCAACAGAGTGAGACCCTGCCTCTTCAACAATAATATAATAGTACAAAGAATGGGGGCAGAACACACTCCCATATCATATTTATTTGCTCCTTCAGTATTTCCAATTACTTGGTCTAATTCTGCACAAAATCAACCTTCTACACAGCCAGTGACTTCATGTCATCATCAGAAGCTACCGAAAGTGAAGCAATAAAGTTAATGTTCAGGACAATGCAGAGACGCTGTCTTCCTTCTATGGCCTTCAGGAAACCATGGAGAGGACCGGTGAGGCTGCAGATTCTTAAAAGAGCACAGACATAAAAATTCTTGCAGAATCTGAATGTGTCTCCTGAGACAAGCATAGTGTTAGAGTGGGATTAGTTCACATTCTTAGAAGTCTACATTTTCAGGTGGGGCAAAGTGGCTCATGGCTTTAATCCCAGCATTTTGGGAGGCTGATGTAGGGAGATGGCTTGAGGCCAGGAGTTCAAGACCAGCCTGGGCAACATAGTGAGAGCCCCCGCATCTCTACAAAAAATTTTAAAAATTGGACAGGCATGGTGGTGTGCACCTGTGGTCCCAGCTACTCCGGAGGCTGAGGTGGGAAGATCATTTGAGCCCAGGAGGTTGAGGCTGCAATGAGCTATAATTATTGCACCATTGAACTCCAGCCTGGGCAACATATCAAGACCCTGTCTCCAAAATAAAAAGAAATAAAAAATGAATAATAGGAAGAAAAACTTCTCTCATATCATTTATTTGCTCCTTCAGTATTTCCAATTACTTAGTCTAATTCTGCATAAAATCAACTGTATTAGTCCATTCTTGCAAAGAAATAACAGATTGGGTAATTTATAAAGAAAAGAGGTTGGATTGGCTCATAGTTCTGCAGGCTGCACAGGAAGCATGGCGGTGTCTGCTTCTGGGGAGACCTTGGGGAGCTTTTGTTCATGGTGGAAGGTGAAGGGAGCAGGAGTCTCAAGCAGGAGCAGGACCAAGAGAGGAGGGGAGGAGCCGCACACTTTTAAACAACCAGATCTCGAGAGAAGCTACTCACTCTGCAGCACCAAGGGGAGATGGTGCTCAACCATTCATGAGAACTCTGCCCCCATCATTCAGTCACCCCCCCAGGCCCCACCACCAACACTGAGGATGACAATTCCACATGAGATTTGGGCGGGGAAACACATCCAAACCATATTATCAACCTTCTACACAGCCAATGACTTAACATCCTCATTAGAAGTTACAGAAACTAAAGCAATAAAGTTCAGGACAATGCAGAGATGTCACCTTCCGTCTATGGCCTTGAAGAAACCCTGGAGAGGACCAACGAGGCTGCAGGTCTTAAGAGAGTGTAGATATTAAAATCCTTGCAGAATCTGAACATATCTCCTGAGACAAGCATAGTGATAGGGTGGGATTGGTTCATAGTGTAAACCAAAAATAAATTTAAAGGCCCCCCACAACCATCTGAATGGATTCCCGCCTTTGCCAGGGCACCCTAAAACTTAACCTGAGAGTCTGGCTCATGCCATGATGGGAAGAGGAGTTGGGCATGCCTCATTCTACCCCTCCAGCACGAACATCCACACAGACCTTAACTCTGATAAGTAACATTTACAATCTGTTTTCTCTGAAGCCTGTTACCTGGAGGCTTCATCTGCATGATAAAACCTTGAGATTGAGACCTGCCTCAGATACTTTTCAGTTTATAGCAGTCTTCAAAGTCTGCATTTTCGGAGCTACAGATGACCATGTGGCTTATATCGTTTTGACTTTATGTCAGTGCTTTCAATGACCAGTGGCCTCCAGGGATAAAGCAATTGCATGGTTTGCAGGGCATCCTCTGCACTGCTGAGCCATCAAACTCCAAATGCCAATGCCCATAGATGCTACTTAGAGCCCTGCTTCCTCCTACATAGACAGGATTCTGTCATCACTGAGTCTCACCATTTCCCTCTCCCCAGCATCTTTATTATGTCACACACACACACACACACACACACACACACGGCACTATGTTTACAAAAGCATGCCCGCTGGCAACCTCTTGGCATTGTGTGTTCATTCTGTTTTGTATTGGTGGTATCCTGGGGTCGACCAAAAGAGTCAAACTCCGTAAAATATTTGGAGAGATTTATTCTGAGCCAAATATCAGTGACCAGTGACCCATGACACAGCCCTCAGGAGGTCCTGAGAACATGTACTCAAGGTGGTCGGCGTGCAGCTCAGCTTTATACATTTAGGGAGACATACGGCATCAATCAATATGTGTAAGATGTACCTTGGTTCAGTGCAGAAAGGCAAGACCACTGAAAGGGGGACTTCCAGGTCAAAGGCGGATTTACAGATTTTCTGATTGGCAGGTAGTTGAAAGAGTTATTATCTGAGAATCAATAGAAGGGAATGTCTGGGTTATGATAAGGGGTTGTGGAGGCCAAGGTTTCATGATGCCAAAGAAGACTCCAGGTAGCAGGCTTCAGAGGGAATACATGGTAAATGTTTCTTATCAGACTTAAAGAGTCTGTTCTACCACTCTTTTTTTTTTTTTTTAAACAGGGTCTCAGTCTGTTGCCTAGGCTGGATTGCAGTGGTACGATCTTGACTCATTGCAGCCTTGCCCTCCCAGTCTCAGGCGATCCTCCCACTTTAGCCTCCCGAGTAGCTGGGACTACATACAAGCATGTGCCACCACATCTGGCTAATTTTGTATGTTTTGCATGTTTTGCCATGTTGCCCAGGCTGTTCTTGAAGTCCTGAGCTCAATCAATCTTACTGCCTCGGCCTCCCAAAGTGCTGGGATGATAGGCATGAGCCACCATGCCTGACCTCTCAGTCATAAGGCCTCTGTTTTAATGTGAATGCTGGTCAGTTGCACCTGAATTCCAAAGGGAGGGTATCATGACGCATGTCCACCACCGCCCCACCCCCCGCCCCCGCCACTTTCCATCACAGCCTGACCTAGTTTTTGTTTTTTGTTTCTTTTTTCTTCTTCTTTTTGCTTGTTTTTTAGAGGGAGTCTTGGTCTGTCACCCATGCTGGAGTGCAGCGCAGTGCTATCTCAGCTCACTGCAAGCTCCGCCTCCTGGATTCACACCATTCTCCTGCCTCAGCCTCCTGAGTAGCTGGGACTACAGTTGCCTGCCACCATGCCTGGCTAATATTTTGTGTTTTTAGTAGAGACAGGGCTTCACAGTGTTAGTCAAGATGGTCTCGATATCCTGACCTTGTGATCTGCCTGCCTCAGCCTCCCAAAGTGCTGGGATTACAGGCATGAGCCACTGCACCTGGCCCTCTTTTGGGTTTTTTTCTGAAACAGTCTTACTCTGTTGCCCAGGCTGGAGTGAAGTGGTACAATCTCACCTCAATGCAACCTCTGCCTCCTGGGTTCAAGCGATTCTCCTGCCTCAGCCTCCCAAGTAGCTGAGATTATAGGCATGCACCCCCACACCTAATTTTTGTGTTTTTGGTAGAGATGAGGTTTCACCATAATGGCCAGGCTGGTCTTGAACTCCTGGCCTCAGGTAATCCGCTCACCTCAGGCTCCCAAAGTGTTGGCTCACAGGTGTGAGCCGCCATGCCTGGCCTGACCTTGTTTTTCAGGTTGACTTTGGAATGGCCTTGGCTGAAGTGAGAGTCCATCAGTTGATTAGGGGGCTTCAAATTTTATTGTTGCTTTGCATTGTAAACAGTCCTGTGGTATCACAGTGATTAGCTATGTCTTACCCTTTGGGATCACATCGTAACCATGGCCTCCGAGTAACTGTGGTCTCTTCTTATGACTTCCTAGCAAGAGGTGTCTCACGCAGAAAGGAAGAAGTGTATTGAACTAGCGGACGCTGCTTTGTTTTCTTGGTCCTGAAACTTTCCATTTTCTGTAAAGGTAAGATTCTTAATGCCATCGAAGACAATGATTTAAGAAACTCAACATTCACGTATTTCACCTCTGACCATGGAGGACATTTAGAGGCAAGAGATGGACACAGGAGTTAGGGGGATGGAACAGAATTTACAAAGGTGAGCTCTGGACACTGGGGACACATATGCATTTGACCAAATAGCTCCCACCACTGAGGGTCCCAGAACAAGTCAAACTGAAAATGACTTTGCTCATTTCAAAAAGAATGTATTGAACAGCTACTGTAGTACAAGTTCTACCTAGATGAGCAGGACAGGCAGATAAAAAGTCACATCCCCTTCCTTTAAAGGGTTTACACTTTAATAGAAGAGAGAGAGGTATAAATAAATAATTCAGATAAAATTAAAATTTATTATATTCTTAATTTTTAAATATTTAATAAATGCATTACTATTTTAATATTTTAAATGCATCAATATTGATGCATATTTGATAAATATTTTTAAAATTATTGGTATTTAACAAGCATTTTTAAATTATTAAATGTAATGAATATTTTAATACATTCTTTTATTCTAAGTAAAGGTAGCATAGATTTACAAGAACAGTTGAATCAGCCACAGTGACCCACCGATATTCAAGAGCCCAGGTAGTAGCACGATTCTGGAAATGTTGCTGTGGCTGTTTTTGGGAAGCTGAGGCTGCCCCAGTGTGCATGTGTGTGTGCAGATGGCTGTGCATATTCATATACCTATGCACAAATACATCCAGGTATATGTATAGACTGGGCAGTTTCCGGCAAAATCCTAATGATGCCTTTTACTTACAGGTGGGAAGGGCATAGGAGGATGGGAAGATGGGATCCATGTGCCCGGGATTTTCCACTGGCCCAGGGTGCTCCTGGCTGGCTGAGTGATTGGAGAGCCCACGAGCCTGATGGACGTGTTCCCTCCTGTGGTCCAGCTGGCAGGCGGCAAGGTGCCCCAGGACAGGTACGTGGCAATAAGGCTGCGTGTTCCCTATTTTTTTTAAATTGTTCTTAGTTTTTATTTTTTTTTAATTTTCAGTAGGATTTTGGGGAACAGGTAGGTGGTATTTGGTTACATAAATAAGGTTTTTTTTTGGTTGTTTTTTTGGGGTTTTTTTGCGATGGAGTCTCACACTGTTGCCCAGGCTGGTGTGCAATGGCACGATATCGGGTCACTGCAACCTCTGCCTCCCAAGCGATTCTCGTGTATCAGCCTCCCAAGTAGCTGGGATTACAGGCATGCACCACCATCTCCTTTACCCATGTGACCATGTGTCCTGGGGTCTATTATGATTAAAAAGTAAGAACAGGTCAGGTGCAATGGCTCATGCCGATAATCCTGGCACTTTGGGAGGCTGAGATGTGCTGATCACCTTTGGTCAGGAGTTTGAAAGCAGCCTGGCCATGTGGTGAAACCCCATCTCTACAAAAAATACAAAAATTAGCTGGGTGTCATGGCTTGTGCCTGTAGTCCCAACTACTCAGGAGGATGAGGTACAAGAATCACTTGACCAGGGGGCAGAGGTTGCAATGAGCTGAGATTGTGCCACTGCACTGCAGCCTGGGCAACATAGCAAGACTCTGACTCAAAAAAAAAAATTAAGAAAATTCAACCTGGAAATGTGGGCTGTCCAGCTGGAATTTGAAGGCTTTGTGTTAACATCCACAGTGACAGTGCTGTGTGTTGGGGTGTGTGTGTGTGTGTGTGTGTGTGTGTGTGTGTGCATGTGCACTCTGCTTATGCAGTGCTGCATAATAAATGACCCCAACACTTAAGAGACACCATGTCTTGAAATAACCACATGTATCCTGCTCAGCAACCTGCAATCTTAACAGTAGCTGGAGAGACAGCCCATCTCTGCTCCATTTGCTGGGAAGGCTTGCATTCTGGAACATGTGTTCCCAGGTGCAAAAGGCTGCCTGGGAACCTGTGGTCTGACTCTGCTCTGTGTTCTCTTCACGGAATCAGGGTGATCGACAACCGCAGCTTGGTGCCCTTGCTGCAGGGAGCTGAGGCATGCTTAGCACATGAGTTCCTGTTTCATTACTGTGGGTAGCATCTCCACACAGCACACTGGCAACTGAAGGACAGTAAGTACACACTGTCCACAGCCAGGGTTGTCCAGAGAAACAGCCAATAAGATGTGTGGATGTGTGGATGGATGGATGGATGGATGGATGGATGGATGGATGGATGGACAGACAGCTATAGAAATACAGATAGATAAACCAATGAGTAGATTATAGATAGACGAGAGGAGGGGGAGAGAGAAAAAGAGAGAGAGAGAGGATAATGGATATATATAGAGAGAGAATAATGGATAGATAGATGATAGAGAGATAGATAAAGATACACAATGGATGGATAGATATATAGATAAGATAAATGATAAGTTACATGATGGATGGATAGATAGATAAGACAGATGATGGATAGATAGATAATATAGATAGATGAAAAGTAGAAGCAGTTCATGGATGGATGAATAGATGGATAGATCTTTCATGGATGATGGATGAAAAGTAGATAGAGATATCTGGTGGGCTGTTTGAAAAAGACAGATGACCATATAGTTAGATAATAGATAGATGATAGACAGGTGATAGATAAGTTGATCGATAAATAGATGATAGATGGATAGAATAGATGGTAGATAGGTAGATAGATGACAGGTATGTAGGTAGATGGATGATAAATAGATAAGAGTCTGTAGATCAATGGACTTATAGATAGGTAGGTAAGTAGGTACACAGAGAGAGAAAGAAACAGAGACAAATTTTAATGAATCATCTCACGTAGGTTTCAGGCTGACAGCACTGAAATCTGCAGGGCAGGCCAGCAGTGTAGAAATTCTGGCAGGAGCTGATGTTGCAGTGTTGAGCCTGAAGGCTGAGGGACTTATGCAGAATTTCTACACTGTCATCTGAATCCAGATTTCCTTCTTCCTTTTGGGTCATTCTTGTTTCCTCAAGACAGTCAACTGATTAAATGAGGCCCACCACATTATGGAGGGCAATCTGCTGCACTCCAATCTGCTGACTTAAATCTCAATCTCATCTAAAAATACCTTTACAGCAACATCTAGTGTTTGACCAAATATCTGGGTACTGTGGCCCAGCTAAGCTGGCAGATAAAATTCACCATCACAGAGCAGATCCCTTTCTTTCAAGCTAAGAAGAGTCAGTCTGTTATCTCAGAGAGGGTGACGACTGGTATTTGGCTGTGTTTCTTTTTTTTTTGGGGGGGGGGGTTGGGGGAGACAGAGTCTTGCTGTGTTGCAAAGGCTGGAGTGCAGTCAGTGGTCTCAGCTCACTGCAACCTCTGCCTCCTGGGTTCAAGCAATTCTCCTACCTAAGCCTCCCAAGGAGCTGGGATTACAGGTGCCCACCACCACGCCTGGCTAATTTTTGTATTTTTAGTAAAGATGGGTTTCACCACTTTGGCCAGGGTGGTCTCAAACTCCTGACCTCAAGTCATCCACCAACCTCAGCTTCCTAAAGTGTTGGGATTACAGGCGTGAGCCACCGTGCTCAGCCTGGCCATGTTTCTAAGGAAAGAAATGTGCTGAGTCCACACCATGCCCTCTTCTTATTGCCTTTATTATCCATAATTAATCCAACTGAAGACCCTGAGCACACATGATTAGCAGACAGATAGAGGTAGACAGATGATTAGATAGGTACATGTGTAAGCTGATGGATACATAGATAAATAGTTAGATACATATAGATGATAGAAGAGAGGAGATAGATGATAAATAGACAAGTAGGTAGATAGATGATAGAGATATAGATAAGATAAATTGATGGACAGATACAGATAGATGATAGAGGATAAATAGAAGATAGACGATAGATTGACAGATAGACAGGTGGGTAGACAGATGATAGAGATAGATGATAGATAAGATAAATTGATGGATAAATAGGTAGTCAGAGATAGACCATAGAGGCTAGACAGATAATAGGGAGACACAGCATAGATAGATAATTGATAAATAGATAGCTAGATAGGTAAGTAGATGATAGATGAATGGATGGATGATGGATAAGATACATTGATTGATAAATAAGTAGAGATAAACAGTAGATAGGTGATGGATAGGTAAACAAGAGACAGATGATTGATAGGTAAAGAGATCATTCATAGATAAATAGATGATCGATAGATGAGATCGATAGGTAAGATAAATGGATGGATTGATAGATAAATAGCTAGTGATAGATAGGTAAGTACCCAATTGTGCCGTTTAAAATATCTTGGTTGTTTCTGTATAGAAAGGTAGTAGATCAACGCTGAACAGTTTCAACACGGAGGAAAGGGGAAGAATTAAGGAACCTCTATGATTCTGATTTCTGAAAGCAGCCACAGTGAGCACTCTGCAATGAGTCCCTTTGCCTGGGGCATGCGATGCAGAGACACAAACGGACACACACGGGTGCACGCACGCACACACACACGCTCTGACTTGACAAGCTGAAGGCTGTGATTGTGTGAACTGCCTCGTGCCCGCCCTCCTTTTCATTGAACAGGGAGGTTCATGCTGATTTCACAGTGCTGACATCTGCATCCTGTGTTCACACCTGCATGGATTTCTGCCACCCTGACTCCCTTCTTGTCTGCAGCCAGGTGGAAGCATCTGGAAGGTTCATTACGTGATCCCACAGTTCCACCCCATGGGAGCAGGGGCCTGCTACAGCTGAGGCATCTGCCCATGCTCCAGGGAGGGCATGACCCATCACAGACCCCCTTTGCTCTTTGACCTCTCCACGGACCACTCTGAGGCACAGCCCCTGACCCCTGACTCCAAGCACCTGTACCACGCCATGATAGCAAGGGTAGGTGCCGCAGTGTCGAAGCATTGGCAGACCCTGAGTCCTGTGCCCCAGCAGTTTTCCACAAGCAACATCTTGTGGAAGCTGTGGCTGCAGCCGTGCTGCAGACATTTCCCGTTCTGCTCATGCCCAAGGATGGGGATGGCACCCCGAATGCCAAGACTGTGAGAGAGGATCCAGGAGAGCCTGACTGCGTTGCAAACAAAATTCTCCAAGCTTGGTTCTATCTTCAGCTTCCCTTTTTGCAAGGAACATGCCCTGGACTGACAGTGAGTCCCCATTTTCTTTTTTTTTGAGACAGAGTGTCACTCTGTCCCCCAGGCTGGAATGCAATGGTGCAATCTCTGCTCACTGCAATCTCTGCCAACCAAGTTCAAGCGATTTTCCTGTCTCAGCTTCCTGAGTACCCAGGATTACAGGTACCAGGCACCCCCCACCATACCTAGTGAATTTTTGTAGTTTTAGTAGATACAGGGTTTCACCATGTTGCCCAGGCTGGTCTCGCACTCCTGACCTCAAGTCATCCACCTGCCTCAGCCTCCCAAAGTGCTGGGATTACAGGCACAAGCCACTGCGCCCATGTAGGGTTTCCCTTTCCTGATTTGTGAAATAAGACTGTCCCAGTAGGCACCCACTGATGCCTCTTCTTCCTCTTCTAAATCTCAGGGTTCGTCATTGTGCCAATGCCGGATGTTTTCACCCCTCCGTCTTAAAGCATTGTTGCAATTTCATCACCTAGATGACATAACAGCCTTACAAAAGGACAGGGAGGAGTGTCTGTTCCTACTCTCACATAGCAGAGGAAAGTTAGAGCCTCTCAGTCTCTGTTTATGAGGACTCATTGATCTCAAAGAATTGATGCGTTTTTCATACATTAGGGTCTCTGTCCATGTGTCTTCCTGATATTGTTATAGAAATGGCTTCAGGCTGCTGGTAACAGATGCTGGGGGAAACAAATGCCTTAAACAAAGCCAGGCACGGTGACTTACACCTGTAATCCCAGCACTTTGGGAGGCCAAGGTGGGAGGACCACTTGAACCTAGGAGTTAGACACCTACCCAGCCTGAGCAACACAGTGAGATCTCATCTCTACAAAAAAACAAATAATTAGCTAGATGTCGTGGTGCACAGCTGTAGTCTCAGCTACTTAGGAGGCCGAAGTGGGAGGATTATTTGAGCCTGGGAGGTTGAAACTGCAGTGAACTATGATTGCACTACTGCACTCCAGGCTGGGGGGCAGAGTAAGACCCTGCCTTAAAAAAAAATTACTTAAAGAATTAAGAACAAGAGAAGGGTGTGTTCTCTTCCAAGTAGTGAACCAATCAAGGGTAAACAACCCAAGGCTAGCAGGCTCTTTTCAATTCCCAGCTCTGCCACTCTTAGCATGGCAGAGAGTTGGCCTCATTATGTCAGCATGGCTGCCACAGTGCCAGACACTCCAGGCAGCAGGAAGGAGAAAGAACCAAAGGGCATCCCTTTCTCTTGAAGCAGTCCCTACGACGGGGGATTATCTGAAAGCCCCAACCCAATTTCTGCTTGCAACCATTATCCATAGAAACAACTGGAGGTTGAGAAGTGCAGTCTTTTAGGTGGGGACCTGGCTGCCCTGTATGAAACCAGAATTAGGTTGGTTAGCAGGAAAAGAAAATGCTTACTGAGTTGACTGAGGTTTTTGATGCATTGCTTTATTGTCATATTAAATGACTTTATCTCACTCTGCAGTGAAACACGTACTATCATTGCCTATAATTGGCAAATGATCCTCAGATGCACAGAAGATGCCCAGATGGAAAGTTTGCCCCTTGGGCAAAGAGACAGTGTTGGGAACCTTCAGACATGCAGAGAGAAGGCAGCTTTTCTTCCTACATTCCTCGAATAGCTAAGATTTGACCAATATGTTTTCTAAGTCAATTCTCGTGTGTTTCATCCTCACCTCTTACCCTGTGTCACTTTGATGATGGAAGTATAGTCCGAACCTACTGCACAGCTGGGACCCCCTGCCCCCACATCCCAGCTAATTTTTGTATTTTTCGTAGAGATAGGGTCTCACTACGTTGCCCAGGCTGGCCTTAAACTCCTGGCTTCAAGCAGTCCTCCCACTTGGCCTCCTAAAGTGCTGGGATTACAGGTTTGAGCCACTGTGCCTTGCAATTTTTAAAACTTTTAACTTTTATGGATACATCAGAGTTGCACATATCTATGGGATTGGTGTGATATTTTTGATACAAACATACAATATGTAGTCATCAAATCTGGGTAACTGGGCTATCCATTACCTCAAATATTTATCATTTCTTTGTGTTGGGAACATTTCTAAATATACTCCTCTAGTTGTTTTGAAATATACAATTGGCTGGGCACAGTGGCTCACACCTGTAATCCCAGCACTTTGGGAGACTGAGGTGGGTGGATCACTTGAGGTCAGGAATTCCACAGTGACCAACATGGTGAAACCCCATCTCTGCTAAAAGTACAAAAATTAGCTGAACGTGATGGTGGGTGCCTGTAATCCTAGCTACTCAGGAGGCTGAAGTGGGAGAATTGCTTGAACCTGAGAGATGGAGGTTGCAGTAAGCTGAGATGGCACCACTGCACTCCAGCCTGGGTGACAGAGCAAGACTCCATCTAAAAAAAATAAAAACAATAAATTATTGTTAAAAAAGCAAATGTTTGGCCAGCCACAGTGGCTCAGGCCTGTAATCCCAGCACTTTGGGAGGCCAAAGCGGGTGGATTGCTTGAGGCCAGGAGTTCAAGACCAGCCTAGCCAACATGGTGAAACCCCATCTCTACTAAAAATACAAAAATTACCTGGGTGTGGTGGTGCGCACCTGTAATCCCAGCTACTTGGGAGGCAGAGACAGGAGACTCGCTTGAACTGGGAGGCGGAGGTTGCAGTGAGCCAAGATCGTGCCACTTCCGCCTGGGCGACAATAAAGAGACTTCGTCTCAAAAAAAGACAAAAACAAAAACAAACAGTCAAATGTCTTAAAGGGAAGAAAGCCTTGAGGTTAAAGGTCATCTCCAGGTTGAATACCTCACCCTCTGTCCTTGGCCTCCACGTCACCCCATCCCATTATTTGGGCAAATATTACCTTCATGCTATCCATTAACATAAAAAAAAAAGAAACATCACACTCCCCCAGGCCATCGTGAAAACCTGGAATACAAGAATGACATGTTTTCTTCTTTGTTTTCAGAAACCACAGCACATTCCCCACCCGGAGAACATGCTCAAAAGAAAA
Organism: Homo sapiens; assembly: GCF_000001405.40. Taxonomy (NCBI): domain Eukaryota; kingdom Metazoa; phylum Chordata; class Mammalia; order Primates; family Hominidae; genus Homo; species Homo sapiens. Next base: position 12,390,419 of record NC_000024.10, read on the forward strand.
AAAAGAAGATTCAGAAGTGTTCATCTTCTTTTTTACTTTTTTTTTAAATTTAAAAATCTCAACTTTCCTCCACACCTGTTAAGACCTATGACATGAACAGATATGCTTTAAAGGTAGAGGTTCTGGCTGGCTTATAAGCACCCAGGATTTCTGCAGAAAACCTCACTGGGGCTTTAAAAAAATACATTCTTTAAAACTTTCTTGTATGGCTCTTTGTTTTTGTTTTTGTTTTTTATTTTGTTTTGTTTTGTTTTTGGAGACAGGGTTTCGCTCTGTTGCCCAGGCTGGAGTGCTGTGGTACAATCACAGCTCACTGCAGCCTCCAACTCCCAGGCTTAAGCGATCCTCCAGACTTAACCTCCAGAGTAGCTGAGGCAACAGGCACATGCCACCATGCCCAACTAATTTTTTTTTTATGTATAGAGATAGGGTTTCCCTATGTTTCCCAGGCTGGTCTCGAACTCTTGGCACAAGCAATCCTCCACTTCGGCCTCCCAAAGTGCTGGGATTATGGCTCCTTGAGAGTTAGGTTCCCTTTGAGTCTAACTGTGGCAGGCCAGGTTTCCATTAGCAGGCAGAGCAACCAGTTTTTCCCCTAATGCTTTATTATAATTCTGATGAATGCGTAAATTAAACATTAAAGAACTGGAGAAAGTGGTGCTGGGGAAGGAGGGCCAAAATGCCAAAACAAACCTATGAAGGCCCTGCGTGAGTTTCCTCAGACCCTAAAGTCGGATCAAATAATAAAAGCATTCTTACACATACACCTCATACCAGGGCTTACAGAGGATTAAGAAACTTTCCAAGGGTCTAGAGAAAGCTTCGTAGACCCCAGACCCTAGTTAAAGATTATATAGGGACTGAATGAAATACTCCCGCTTGTAGGTGCAATCCTACACGTAGGCATAGAGCTTAAAAATGCATAGAAACCCTGGAAAAAACTTGTCACTTTGAGTTGACCTCGTGAGTTAATCTGACCTTCTCCCTGTAACCCGTTGGAGAAATAAATTCCCTTCTCCCCAATCTGTCTGCACCTCATTATTGAACCCCAAGAACAAGCAGTCAGCCCTCGTTCGTTCGTCCAGCAGCAAAACCTTTGTTAAAGAAAAAAACTATTCAGTGATATTAGGTTGGTAATTGCAGTTATTACTTCTGCACAAACCTCAAACTTGTGAAAGCGTCACCAAAAAGATAATGAAGACATTATCCAGGCTTATCGTATGAAGTACAGGGACCACTGCAATGGCGGTTCACAGTGCAGGAGAGAGGCTGGGCTCAACTTCCAATATGAATACAGCAAGGGCAAGTGGGAATGTATAGCCACGGGGGCAGGCAGTGGGTGTATAGATGGCAAAGCACTAAAAGGAAACATCAGAGGTGAAGCGGGTCCTGGCTAAACCAACCTGGCTTGTTAAAGCCAGCCAAGGGGGTTAAACATCAACCAGGGGTGGTGGACGATGAGGAACCTGATATCAAGAATGGTGGCTTCTTGCCAAACTGACTTAGCAGGTACTTTGCTGAAATCTAATTTTATAAGGAAACGCACAACCGGGCCTGGGAGGGGCTTCAGGAGCCTGGCTACGGTTTGGCCAGGCAGAGACTTTTTGTCACATCTCCTTCTCACCTAAAGGTGTCTGCGGTGAATTCTTGCATCTTTCCTTTTCATGCATTTCCCCAGTCATGTGTTGCAAACCTAACCCTGAAAATACCAAGTATGCAGCCGGTCTGTGAGCTGAGGGAATATTCGGAGAAACCTGCAGAGAAGCAGCGTTGTCTGCAGATTTAAAGAGGAAGGAAGCAGGACTCGGATAAGGAGGGGGCCAGCCAGAGGAGTGGAGGAGAGCTGACTTACAGCTGCCTTGCAGAGGGCCTACCTTTATCTTGGGGGATGCCTGCAAGTCTGGTCTTTGACTCTTGTTCAAGATAAGAGCTGGGATTTATGATGCATTAGTTAAAGTTCAAACCTCCCTGCTGACCTGAGTCCGTTTCTTTACTTAAGGTTTGCACATTTGCAAGTGGCCTAACCAGTTAGACAGCCTGGATGCACTGAATGACCGGAGTGGCAACCGCCTCCCCTACCTCCTCAATGTCTGGTTTGAGGCCCCATGAAACCAAGATTCCTCTCGCCGTCCTTGGTGTGCCAACCATGAGACAGAACAAAGGAGACCCTGGGAAGCTCGTGCCCGGGATGTCCCTGAAGCTCCAACACTGGCTGCATGCTCTTTTCTCTCCTCGCACGTTCTCACAATCTTACACGAAAGAGCATGCTGTGTGCGGGCTGGGAAGTCCACTCAAATATCCAAACTAGAAACTGGCTGAGTGCAGTGGCTCATGCTTATCATCCCAGCACTTTGGGAGACCAAGGTGGAAGGATCACTCAAGCCCAGGAGTTCGAGACCAGCCTGGCCAACACAGTGGGACCCTGTCTACAAAAAATATAAAATCAGGCAAGTGTGGTGGTGCACACTTGTGGCCTCAGCTACTTGGGAGGCTGAGGTGGGAGGATCTCTAGAGCCTGGGAGGTCAAGGCTGCAGTGAGCTGTGATTGCACCACTGTACTCCAGCCTGGGTGACAGTCTCAAAAAGAAAAGAAAAGAAAAGAAAAACTTTGCGGGAAATTTTTCATATATTGACCTTTTAGAAATCCAACTGCATGTTCCATGAATGGAAAACCCAGCACCAAAATTAACTCAAAGTGGATCAGAGACCCAAATGTAAGTGCAAACTCTATAACACATGCAGAAGAAAACAGAGGAGAAAGTCTTTTTCGCTGTGGGTTAGGAAAACTTTTTAGATAAGACACCAAAAGCCTGACCCATTTAAAAAAAAACTTGATTGAGTTTACCAAATTCCGGACGGGTGCGGGGTGGCTCATGCCTGCAATCCCAGCACTTTGACAGGCTGAGGCAGGCAGATCACGAGGTCAAGAGATTGAGATCCTCTTGGCCAAGATGGTGAAACCCCATTTCTAGTAAGAAGTACAAAAATAGCTCAGCGTGGTGGCACGTGCCTGTGCTACTCAGGAGGCTGAGTCAGAAGAATCACTTGAACCCAGGAGGAGGGGGTTGCAAGGGACCGATATCAGACCACTGCACTCCAGCCTGGTGACGAGCAAGGCTCCATCTCAAAAAAAAAAAATTTCTTTTTCTTTGAGATGGAGTTTTGTTCACTCTTGTTGCCCAGGCTGGAGTACAGTGGCATGATCTCTGCTCACTGCAGCCTCCACCTCCTGGGTTCAAGCAATTCTCCTGCCTCAGCCCCCTGAGTAGCTGGGATTACACGCATGAGCCACCACGCCTGGCTGATTTTTGTATTTTTAGTAGAGACGGTGTTTCACCATGTTGGCCAGGCTGGGCTGTAGCTCCTGACCTCAGGTGACCAACCTGCCTCAGTCTCCAAAAGTGCTGGGATTACAGGCATGAGCCACCACACCTGGCCTAAATTCCTAAATTTCTTTTCTTTTTCTTTTTTGAGATGGAGTCTTGCTCTGTCACCCAGGCTGGAGTGCAGTGGCATAACCCCGGCTCACTACAACCTCCGCCTCCTGGATTCAAGCGATTCTTCTGCCTCAGCTTCCCAAGTAGCTGGGATTACAGGTGTGCACCACCATGCCTGTTTTTTTATTTTTTGTAGAGATGTGGTTTCACTATATGTTAGCCAGGCTGGTCTCAAACTCCTGACCTCAGGTGATCCAGCTGCATCAGCCTCCGAAAGTGCTGGGATTACAGGTGTGAGCCACTGCTGTGCCTGGCCTGGGGTCCCTTTTATAAGAACACTTATCCCATTTATGAGTCTAGACCTCTAATTGTTTCCTAAAAGCACCATCTCCTAAAACTATTGTCTTGGGGATTAAGTTTCAACACATGAATGTTCAAGGCACGCAATGTTCAAGGCAAGCATTGAGACCATAGCAACAGCCAAATCCACAACACTGCCAAAGAATGCCCAAACAGCTGCCATTGTCTTCTACGAGGCTCTACACAACCTCCTAAAAGGCAGAATGCCTGGACTGGCCTCTGCCAGCCATCAACAAGATTCCCGCTTTCCAGGCTCTCTGCCGACTCTATCCTATGAATTCTGGATGGCCTTTGACCCTTCACTTCATCCCCAATGGACTCCCCTGAGAGAAGAAATCCATTTGAATGCAAGATCACTGACCAGTGTACAAAATGACAAGGTGTCTCAGTGTTCTTGTAGAGAGGCCAAGTCACCAAGTCACATGACCTGAACTGGGGTAGAAGGCAGTAATGAAGGAAGGAAGGAGAAGTTCAAAATAGCTCATGAGCTGGAAGAGCTCTACTGAAGCTATTTCAATCTTGCTGTCAGAGGCTTTTGCATGAGAGTGACTCCATCTTGAATAGAGCCTGGGTAAAATGAGGCTGAGACCTGCTGAGCTGCATTCCCAAGAGGTGTGGCATTCTAAGTCACAGGATGAGATAGGAGGTCAGCTCGAGACACAGGTCATAAAGACCTTACTGATAAAACAGCTTGCATGAAAGAACCTGGCCAGAACCCACCAAAACCAAGAGGTGACAAATGTGACCTCTGGCCGTCCTCACAGCTCATTATATGCTAATTATAAAGCACAGAATACTAAGAGACACTCCCACCAGGGCCATGACAGTTTACAAATGTCATGGCAATGTCAGGAGATTACCCTATATGGTCTAAAAGGGGAGGAACCCTCAGTTCTGGGAATTGCGCACCCCTTTCCCAGAAAACTCAAGAATAATCCAACCCCTGTTTAGCATCTAATCAAGAAATAACCATTAAAAAAGGCAACCAACAGCCCATGCTGCTGCTCTGTCTATGGAGTGGCCATGCTTTTATTCCTCTACTTTCTTGGTAAACTTGCTTTCACTTTAATCTATGGATTCACCCCAAATTCTTTCTTGCCACAAGATCCAAGAACCCTCTCTTAGGATCTAGATAGGGACCCGTTTCCGGTAACACTGCTATTTTAATTTTTCACCCCTAGGTTTTGTCCCATCAGGGTACATCCTTTGGGTTATAAAATCCTTACAAGGAGAAATTCCTGTAAAGTCATTTTCCTGCAGAGCCAGGAGTTAGGGCACTGTGAGAAGTGCAGCAGGCCCTGGAGAGCATTCATGGGAGAAGGGAAACAGCAAATGGTGCAGGAGGAGAAGGGGAGGACAGGGAGGAAAGGAAGATCCACCAATGCGCCTGATTGGTGAGAACAAGATTTGGGGGTGCTTCTCCCATGGGGAAGACTTCTTGGTTTTAGCTTTCAAGAGTTCCTCATTGGAATCGGACAAGATGCTGCTGATAAAAAGAGTAAAACTCTAAAATAGTTGAAGAGATTTATTCTGAGCCAAATGTGAGTGAGCATGGCCTGTGACACTATCAGAGGCACTGGAAGCAGAGCCACTCCATCTTGAATAGGGGCTGGGTAACATGAGGCTGAGACCTGCTGGGCTGCATTCCCAGGAGGTGTGTGAGGCATTCATAGTCACAGGATGAGACAGGAGGTCCACACAAAGCCCTCGGTGATAAAACAGGTTGCAGTACAGAAACCGGCCAGATCCCACCCAAACCAAGATGGTGACAAGAGTGACCTCTGGTGGTCTTCACTGCTACACTCCCACCAGCGCTGTGACAGTTTACAAATGCCATGGGAATGTCAGGAAGTCTCCCTATATGGTCTAAAAAGGGAAAGAATGAATAATCCACCCCTTGTTTAGCATATCATCAAGAAATAACCATAAAAATGGGAAACCAGGAGCCCTCGGCGCTGCTCTACGGAAGAGCCATTCATGTATTCCTTTTCTTTCTTAATAAACTTGCTTTCACTTTACTCTATGAACTCACTCAGAATTCCTTCCTGCACGAACTCCAAAAACCCTCTCTTGGGGTCTGGACCTGGACTCCTTTCCAGTAACACAGCTATTAACATTAAAGTGTTAATTGATTGCAAATGCCAGGGAAAAGAGATGAAACAGTGAAGTATGAAGTATGACCCTCCAGGAGCCTCCACCAGAAAAGGAAGAAAGCCTCAGATGGGCATTTGTACAATCCCTAAACACACTGCACATGCTCACTTTCCAAGGGTAAGAAGGGCACTGCTTATGTGGGCAGCCCACCCCAAGGGAAGAATCATGGGTAAGAAAGAGGCCAGCATGTAAACTCCCAGGATCAAGGTTAAACTCCCTCGCTCTCGCTCTCTTTGACCTTCAGGCATGCACTTGCGTCTCTTCCAGGAGTACCTTCCTTTCTTTCTGTTCTAAGGCTTTTTAAAATAAACTTCCACTACTGCTCTGAAACTTGCCTTGGTCTCTTTTTCTGCCTTACGTCCTCAGTCAAATTCTTTCTTCCAAGGAGGCAAGTATTGAAATCGCTGCAGACCCCTACAGATTCGCCACTGGTAACTCAGGGTAACTCGGATCTCCCCACTGCTATCAGACACAGAGTTTCAGTTTTGCAAGATGAAAAAGTTTTGGAGACCCATGCACAGCAATGTGATTAGACTTAACTCTACTGAACTCTTAACTCTGCTCCCCACCTTTTCTTTTTTTAATTTTTGTATTTTTTTGTAGAGACGAGGTTTCGGCATGTTGCACAGGCTCATCTCCATATCCTGAGCTCAAGAGATCCATTCACCATGGCCTCCCAAAGTGCTGAGATTACAGGCATGAGCCACCACAGCTGGCCTGAAATGTACTCTTGAAAATGGTTAAGATGGTAAATTTAATGTTTTGTGTTTTGCAAACTGTGTCATCCCAGTTTATGTTGCTTCAACTCTTGCCTCCTTTTCCTATATGTTTCTCTTCTGTTTTGTTCTCTCCTCCTTTTTTGTTACCCCCACTTTCCTCTGAACCTTGACATATTGCAAAGCCTTGCAAAATAAACAGTCCTGAGAGTTGCTGAAAAGGGACTGCACCAATAATACCAAGAAAAAGGCATTTAAACCACAGCAACAAGTCTCCAATTGATACGATGCCAGGTTTTGCAACAGCTGAAGACGAAGAAAAGTGTAATTTGTTTTTTGCTTTTGTTTTGTTTTGTTTTTTTAAAACAGAGTCTTGCTCTGTTGCACAGGCTGGAGTGCAATGGCCAGATCTTGGCTCACTGCAACCTCTGCCTCCAAGGTTCAAGCGATTCTCCCACCTCAGCCTGCTAAGTAGCTGGGATTACAGGAGTGCAACAACACGCCTGGCTAGGTTTCATATTTTTAGTAGAGATGGGGTTTCGCCTGTTGGTCAGGTTGGTCTCCAACTCCTGACCTGAAGTGATCCACCCGCCTCAGCCTTTCAAAGTGCTGGGATTACCAGCGAAAACCACTGCGCCTGGCCAGAAAAGTGAAATTTGGGTGAGTCCTCAAAAACTTGTACCCCTCTCTTCTCCTCATCTTACAAAACTCAGATCCTGCTGTGCCACAGTGAATCAATTATCTGTGCACAGGGGCTGTCGGGTGAGGATCTGCTGAATAAAAGCCCTTAGCTCTATTCAAGTCACTTCTTTTCCTTCACCATGTGTTCAAGCAGAATTAATGAAGAGGTGTCCACCATGTTTACTAATATTTCTAAGTCTTTTACTTTTTGAGACAGGGTCTTGCTCTGTTGCTCAGGCTGGACAGTACGTGGTGCGATCATGGCTTGCTGCAGCCTTAACTTCCCGGGCTCAAGCGATCCTCCCACCTCAGCCTCCCAGGTAGCTGGGACTACAGGCATGCACCACCATGCCTGGCTATATTTATGTATTTTTATAGAGCTGGGGTCTTGCTATGTTGCCTAGGGTGTTCTCAAACTCCTAGGCACAAGTGATCCTCCCACCTCAGCCACCCGATTAGCTGGGACTACAGGCACATACCACCACACCCAGCTAATTATTTTTGTTGTTGTTGTAGAGACAGGGTCTTGCTATGTTGCGTAGGCTGGCTAAATTTGTAAACATTATCATACACAGTCATAAACATTTTTTATCTCAATGTTAATTTGTTAATTTTTTTCTTTTTTTTTTTGAGACATAGTCTCACTGTGTCACCCAAGCTGGAATGCAGTGGCGTGATCTTGGCTCACTGCAGCCTCCACCTCCCAGGCTCAAGCAATGTAATTTTTAAAACCCAAGTTATTGGCAGTGTCTCTACAGATCTCAATAAGGCCAGGAACGGTGGCTCACACCTGTAATCCCAGCACATTGGGAGGTAGATGTGGGCAGATCGCTTGAGTCCAGGAGTTCGAGACCAGCCTGGGCAACATGGCGAAATCTGTCTCTACTGAAAAAAAAAAAAAAAAAAAAATTACCTGTGCATGGTCGTGCAAGTCTGTCATCCCAGGTACTAGCGGGGCTGAGGCAAGAGGATGACTTGAGCCTGGGAGGTCAAGACTGCTGTGAGCCCTGACGGTGCCGCTGCACTCCAGCCTAAGCAACACGGTAAGACCCTGTCTCAAAAACAAGATTTCAATCAGATGTTGACAATGAGAGCAGCAGCTTATGCTTTCATGCTTAATTGTTCCCACAGACTGTGCTAAGAGCTTTATGTTTATTGTCTCGTTTTATCCTCAGAAAATTCCCATGAGCAGGTGGTATTGTAATCCCTATTTTATAGATAAGGAGAGAAGATGTGGGGCTTAGCATTCATTTGTTACAAAGATGTTTTTAAACTACTGGCTGCGTTTCCCTGAGGAGGTGTGAAGTCAATTTAGAACATAAAAATTGGCTTGTTCTTAAAAATAAGACCTTGGAGAAATGTCTGGCCCCAGCTGTGAGGGGAGAAAATCTATGATGGTTCTGGAGAATCTCATTTTGCCAGGAAGCAAGGAAGTGATCAAAGACTAATGGGGGCCAGGTGCTGTGGCTCACGCCTGGAATCCCAGCACTCTGGGAGGCCAGGGCAGGCAGATCACTTGAGGCCAGGAGTTCAAGACCAGCCTGGCCAATGTGGTGAAACTCCATCTCTACTAAAAATACAAAAATTAGCCAGGCATGGTGGCATGTGCCTATAATCCCAGCTACTTGGGAGGCTGAGGCAGGAGAATCTCTTGAACCTGGGAGGTGGAGGTTGTAGCGAGCCAAGATCGCACCACTGCACTCCAGCCTGGGTGACAGAGCGAGACTCTGTCTGAAACAAAAATAAATATAAATAAAAATTTAAAAATACTAATGGGATCAGTTCATAGTCTTAAGAATCCATCTAAAGAGAATTCCACTGGTAAATCTGGTACAATTTGAGCCAAACATGGTGGATCTTGCCTGTAGTCCCAGCCACCTGGGAGGCTGAGATGGCAGGATCACTTGAACCGAGGAGGTTGAGGCTACAGTGAGCTATATGATCATGCCACTGCACTCCAGCCTGGGCAACAGAGTAAGACCCTGTGTTATTTAAGGAAAAAAAAAAAGGAACAGTTTAAACATTAAAAAAATAATAAATTGGACTGCTTTTTACATATTGAACAATCAAAACAGTAGTGATATTCAGGAGAAGGAGTGTGCTAGGGAGGGAAGAGAAACAGAAAAGCTCTTTTGTGCAGCTGAGTGTTAGGCCATAAATGCTGCAATAATGACAGACTCACAGAGCATCAGCATTTAGCAACTATGCAATGGAATCCAGACAAGCATCCTCAAGGCATGCTAAAATCTCATGTAAAGTATATTCTTGCACAGTATATGTCACATACTAGGTATAGCTGGATTTGCACGAATGTGCTTCCAACAGATATTGTCTGTGCCAATAAAAACTTCATTTTGTTTCTTAGGATGATGGATAGAGCAGGGATAGAAGACATCAAGTTTGTAAACCTATGCAACTCATTTGATCTATTAAAAAAATGGGAGCCAGGCACAGTGGTTCATGCCTGTAATCCTCAGTACTTTGGGAAGCCAAAGCAGGAGGACTGCTTGAGGACAGGAGTTGGAGACCAGTCTGGTCCACATAGGGAGACTCCTATGAGAACATACCTCTAAAAAGTTTAAAAAATTAGCTGGGTGTGGTGGCACATGCCTGTAATCTCAGCTAATTGAGAGGCTGAGGTGGGAGGATCACTGAAGCCCTGGAGTTGGAGGCTGCAGGAAGCAGTGACTGGGCCACTGCACTCCAGCCTGGAAGACAGCGTGAGACTCCATGTCAAAAAAATAGAAATAAAATAAAAAATAAAATTATTTATTTTAAAATAAACACATTATTTATTTCAATTATTTTATTTTTCTATTATTACTATTATTTTTTAGATGGAGTCTCACTCTGTTGCCTAGGCTGGAGTGCAGTGGTATGATCTCAGCTCACTGCAACCTCCACCTCCTGGGTTCAAGTGATTCTCATACCTCAGCCTCTTGAGTAGCTGGGATGACAGGCATGCACCACCGTGCCTCATTAGTTTTTGTATTTTTGGTAGAGACAGGGTTTCACCAGGTTGGCCAGGCTGGTCCTGAACTCCTGACCTCAAGTGATCTGTCCGCCTTGGCCTCCCAAAGTACCAGGTACAGGCACGAGCCACTGTAATCGGCCAAAGATACATAAATAAGTAATTTTTAAAACAGTACTGTACACTAAAGAGCAGAGGTCTATGAAACCAGAAAGAAAAAGTGCTCTGCTTTTCCTAATTCAATGGTGGTTGGAAAGAAACCCCTTTCTTACTCAAACTACAGTTCCACCCAAAAACGCTTTAACACTAGGATCTGTTTCACACTTCCAAGTATCAGCCAAAGGTTTCGGCAAGATTTGACCAAGTGGCTTTGAGGAACAAAAATACTATAACTTATTCCTATGGATCTATAGGCATCAATCCACCCTGCCAATTCAACAGATCTAGAAATCCTTTCCTTCCCACATCATTTCCACTTGCCACAAGATAATAATCTCATAATATTTATTTATTTATTTTTAAATAATTTCAACTTTTATGTTAGGTCTAAGGGGTACACGTGCCGGTTTGTCACTGGGGTATATTCTATGGTAGTGAGGTATGGGGTATGCATGAACCCCCCACCCACGTACTCAGCACTGTACCTGTGAACCCTGAAAATCTGAGACAAGTCTCAGTTAGTTTAGAAAGTTTCTTTTGCCAAGGTTGAGGACACACACCCGCGACACGGCCTCGGGAGGTCCTGGCGACATGTGCCCAAGGTGGCCAGAGCACAGTTTGGTTTTATATATTCTAGAGAGACATGAGACGTCAATCAACATATACAAGTTGAACACTGGTTCAGTCTGGAAAGGCAGGACAAAAAAAGAAAAAAAGCAAAGGCGGGGAGACTCGAAGTGGGGAGGGGGGCTTCCGGGTCACAGATACATAAGAGAAAAATGGCTGCATTCTTTTGAGTTCCTGATGAGCCTTTCCAAATGAGGCAATCAGATATTCATCTATCTTAGTGAGCAGAGGGGGGACTTTGAATAGAATGGGAGGCAGAAGCCCTAAGCAGTTCCCAGATGGACTTTTCCTTTAGTGATTTGGGGGCCCCCGAATTTATTTTCCTTTCAACACCCAACAGGTGGTTTTTCAACCCTAGCTGTCTTCCTTCCCTCCCCCTTCTAGGAGTGCCCAGTGTCTGACATCCCCATCTTCATGTCCATGTGTACCCACTGGTTAGCTCCAACTTATGAGAACATGCTGTATTTGGTTTTCTCTTTCTTTATTAATTCACTTAACATAGTGGCCTCCAGCTGCATCCATGTTGCATTACTTCATTCCTTTTTATAGCTGTGAAGTATTCCTTGGTATAGATACACCACATTTTCTTTATCCAGTCCAATGCTGATGGGCGCCTGGGTTAATTCCTTGTCTTTGCTATTGTGAATAGTACTGCAGTGAACACACTAGTCCAGGTGTCTTTTTGGTAAAATGAATAATCTCATAACATTTCCAGATCAATGAAACATTTTTTAATTGCCTAAACATTTTTATTTATAAATTTTTTTTATTATACTTTAAGTTCTAGGGTACATGTGCACAATGTGCAGGTTTGATACATATATATACATGTACCATGTTGGTGTGCTGCACCCGTTTACTCATCATTTACATTAGGTATATCTCCTAAAGCTATCCCTCCCCCCTCTCCCCGCCCCACGACTGGCTCCAGTGTGTGATGTTCTCCACCCTGTGTCCAAGTGTTCTCATTGTTCAATTCCCACCTATGAGTGAGAACATGCAGTGTTTGGTTTTCTATCCCTGCAATAGTTTGCTCAGAGTCATGGTTTCCAGCTTCATCCATGTCCCTACAAAAGACAAGAATTCATCCTTTTTTATGGCTGCATAGTACTCCATGGTGTATATGTGCCACATTTTCTTAATCTAGTCTATCATTGATGGACATTTGGGTTGGTTCCAAGTCTTTGCTATTGTGAATAGTGCAACAATAAACATACGTGTGCATGTGTCTTCATAGCAGCATGATTTATAATCCTTTGGGTACACACCCAGTAATGGGATGGCTGGGTCAAATGGCATTTCTAGTTCTAGATCCTTCAGGAATCGCCACATTTTCTTCCACAATGGTTGAACTAGTTTATAGTCCCACCAACAGTGTAAAAGTGTTCCTATTTCTCCACATCCTCTACAGCACCTGTTGTTTCCTGACTTTTTAATGATTGCCATTCTAACTGGTGTGAGATGGTATCTCATTGTGGTTTTGATTTGCATTTCTCTAATGGCCAGTGATGACGAGCATTTTTTCATCTGTCTGTTGGATGCATAAATGTCTTCTTTTGAGAAGTGTCTGTTCACATCCTTCGCCAACTTTTTCATGGGATTCTTTGATTTTTTCTTGTAAATTTGTTTAAGTTCTTTGTAGATTCTGGATATTTGCCCTTTGTCAGATGGGTAGATTGTAAAAATTTTCTCCCATTCTGTAGGTTGCCTGTTCACTCTGACGGTAGTTTCCTTTGCTGTACAGAAGCTCTTTAGTTTAATTAGATCCCATTTGTCAGTTTTGGCTTTTGTTGCCATTGCTTTTGGTGTTTTAGACATGAAGTCCTTGCCCATGCCTATGTCCTGAATGGTACTTCCTAGGTTTTCTTCTCGAGTTGTTATGGTTTTAGGTCTAACATTTAAGTCTTTAATCTATCTTGAATTAATAGATTCAAGGTGATAGATATACAGATAGATAGATACATAGGTGGAGACAGATAGATGATAAATAGAAGATAGATAGATAGATAGATAGATAGATAGATAGATAGATAGATAGATAGAAAGTATAAGTAAAGAGATGATGGGTAAAAGAATTCCAAGCCAGGCATGGTGGATTATGCCTGTAATCCCAACATTTTGGGAGGCCGAGTTGGGTGGATCACTTGAGGTCAGGAGTTTGAGACTAGCCTGGCCAACATGGTGAAACCCCGTCTCCACTAAAAATACAAAAAAAAAAAAATTAGCAGGGTGTGGTGGTGATCACCTGTAATCCCAGCTACTTGAGAGAGTGAGGCAGGAGAATTGCTCGAACCCAGGAGGTTAAGATTGCAGTGAGCCAAGATGGCACCACTGTGCTCCAGCCTGGGTGACAGAGCAAGACTGTGTCTTAAAAACAAAAAAAAACAAAAACACATATATTATAAATATAGAGGTAAACATTTAAAACATAGAGAAATCTTAGAAGAAAGTAGATGAAAGTTTCTCAGCACTGCTGCTGTCTGGGACTGGGGGGTTCCATGTGGTCGGGTGTCCTGTGTACTGCAGGGTGTTGGGCAGCATCCCTGAGCTCCACCCACCAGATGCTAGCAGGAGGTGGCAGTTGTGACAACTAAAAATATCTCCACATATTGATGCAGGTGGATGTTTCGTTTATCTAGAAGCTGGAAATGCTGTTGTAAATTAAACAAGTTGGAAGAGGACACCAGAACTGCTGTGTGTCAGAGATAGTATGTGTGAAAGTAAAAGATAAAACAAACGGAGGGCCACATTGACAATATTATAATGGAGAGGTTCTTATTGTCCCTCACATACAAAGAACTCTTAAAACACTTGAGGGGTTTGCAGGGGCTCGTCTCTAGCACACCAGAAGCAAAGATAGACAAATACAAAAATATCTTTGCTTTCTTAGGGTAAGCTCTATTTATTTCTTTACTACAGGGCTAGAGTTGCCTTATTAACATCCTGTATTTGAGGGCTTTCTCAATCCAAATATAAACACAATCAAATGTGTAAATCAAGTTTGGGTTTCAAGATTATAACAGTTTCTTAAAATAAGTGAACACATTCATCTTTTGCTAGGCTCTGTGACACTTTATGCAGCAGGGAAATTAATTCATCATAAGCAATTTACCAGAACTTCCCTTAAAATTGCCCAAACCAGGGCCTTTCTACAAGATAAGCCTTTGGTAACATTTTCAGTTTTTCTCATAGTTATTGTCAAATAGAAGGTTTCTATTTCTTCTGATGACAACAACCAACATCTCACTGATTTCCCTAGAAGGATCAAGCGCTTCTTCAATACTTCCAGTGTTATTACTATAAGGGGTTCTATATAGTATTCGCTTTTAAAACTGCCTCCAAATGACTTCTTTCCAATTTCTATTTTGTACATTTATGTTTTCTCAAATGAAAGATTCATTTTTATTTGTTATTTTTATTTTTAGAGAGAGGAGCTCACTCTGTTGCCCAGTCTAGAGCGCAGTGGTACGATCATGGCTCACTACAGCCTCGAACCTCTGGGCTCAAGCAATCCTCCCACCTCAGCCTCCTGAGTAGCTGGGACTACAGGTGCGCACCACCACATCTGGCTCTTTTTATTTTTTGTAGAGATAGGGTCTTGCTATATCACCCAAACTGTCTTGTCAAACTCCTGGCCTCAAGCAATCCTCCCACCTTGGCCCCCCTGAAGATGCGTTAATCAAATGCCTGAATTTGTTTCTTGTTCCCAATTATTAGTTGTGTTGTTTTATCTTTATGAATTTTTTTACTGCTGTTTGCTTTACTTTTTTTTATTTTAAAAATATTTGGAGCTGGGCATGGTGACTCACACCTGTAATCCCAGCACTTTGGGAGGCCAAGGCGGGCAGATCACTTGAGGTCAGGAGTTGGAGATCAGCCTGTCCAATATGGTGAAACCCTGTCTCTACTAAAAATACAAAAATTAGCCAGGCATGACGTTGGGTGCCTGTAATCCCAGCTACGCAGGACGCTGAGGCAGGAGAATCACTGGAACCTGGGAGGTGGAGGTTGCACTAAGCCAAGATCCCACCCCTGCACTCCAGCCTTGATGACAGAGTGAGACTTTGTCTCAAAAAATATATATATATATTTGAACGTATATATTTATATATATATTTAAACATATATGAACATACATGAACGTATACATAAACATATATATGTATATATAAAAATATGTATATATTTGAACTGGATGATTTCTTCACTGATTTAAATTTTCTTTCTTGTACCACTTTAGTTGCTGTCTTTGCTTTGTATAGGTAGCACTCACATTGGAATCATTTTCTGAAATAGTACGTAATTCAAGCTTTCATTTATACCCAGATCAAGTTATTTAGGAGAGCACTTCTAGTTTAAAATGTCTGAGGACACACTGGTTGGTTTTTTATTTGTTCTCTTTTTAGTTTAGCTATTAATGTCTGGATTTATTATTTCGTTGTCAAAGAATATGACATTCAATTCCTGCTACATCTACATATTAAATGCCTCCTCGTCCCATTCATATAAAATCACTTTTTCTAAGTGGTCCATGGTTGATGAAAGAAAAAGATTATTGCTTACATAATGTATGACATTTAAGAGAAGCCTTATGCTTTATTCATTAGATGCATTTATTTATGTATTTGCTTTATTTGAGAATTAAAGACAAAGGGAATTGTAAAAGGAAATTATTTTTAAAAAGACTCCTTGGCAGGGCGCCGTGGCTCATGCCTGTAATCCCAGCACTTTGGGAGGCCAACCTGGGTGGACTGAGTGAGTCCAGGAGTTCAAGATCAGCCTAGGCAATGTGACGAAACCCTGTCTCTACCAAAAATACAAAAAATAAAAATAAAAATAGCCAAGCATGCGGGCACATACTTGTGGTCCCAGCTGCTTAGAAGGCTGAGGAGGGAAGATCACTTGGGCCAGTGAGGGAGAGGTTGCAGTGAGCCGAGATGGTATCACTGCACTCAAGCCTGGGCGACGAGTGAGACCCTGTCTCAAAAAACAAAAAAAAAGAATTGAATTTTCAGTTTCCGTGGTTGGGAGAATGAACTGTAACCATACCCAGTATTGTTTTTTAAAGTATTGTGAAGCCGATCACACGCCTATATTTTCACATGATTCGAAGGTTCATTACAAATGTAAGATGCCCATCATGATTGCCAGCCATCCAGGCCGGTGAAGAACGGTGGTCAGTCATCAGAATAACTCCTAGGACCTCTTGGGGGAGAGGTGACCCTCCTTCTATAGGACCCATCTGGGCACAAGCCACATCTCTGAGCCTTACCTGAGCAGGCTGGACACCTGAGGAGTGATCAACACCACCAGCTTCCTCGTCAGCCTGTGTCTCCTCAGTGACTGCCCCAGGACCAGGGCGCCCTGGCAGTAGATGTCATCTGTGGCCAGTGTGACAAAAGCCTGATCAGTCACTGTGAAAATCAACAGAAACACCAGAGTTACACTCCTGAGGGACAGCAGGGGTGACAAGGCCATAGTCACCTCCTCTCCTCTCCCAAGATTCATGGCTTGGGCCAGATGTGGTGGCTCACACCTGTCATCCCAGCACTTTGGGAGGCTGAGGTGGGTGAATTGCTTGACCTAAGAAGTTCGAGACTAGCCTGGGCCACATGGTGAAACTCTGTCTCTATGAAAAATACAAAAATTAGCTGGGCATGGTGGCATACCTGTAGTTACAGCTACTTGGGAGGCTGAGGTAGGAGGATACTTGAGCCTGGGAGTTTGAGGCTGCAGTGAGCTGTGATTGTACCACTCTACTCCAGCCTGGGTGACAGAGTGAGACCCTGTCTCAAAAAAGAAAAAAAAAAATCACGACTTGCAGTGAATATTCAGTATTCTAATTCACAAACATTCTTCCTTTCATTCTAAACAAAACAAAACACAGGAGGAGAATGAAGGAACCTTAAACATGAGACAAAGTCAACCCAATGGCTATGCCCGTTTCCTGATGCTGCAATGCCATGGAAACTCATAGCTACTATCCCTTATTTTATGTTGTGTTTGACTCTTGAAAACTCACCCAAAGTGTTTAGATCTTAGGTGGAAACAAAAGGCAAAAAGTGGAAGTGATGACTTGATGACCTGAGTTACAGCAAAGATGTAATCCAACTCAAAGAACTGTGTTCTGGGCTAGATGCAGTGGCTCATGCCTGTAATCCCAGTGCTAGGGCTGAAGAAGGGGGACTAATTGAGCCCAGGAGTTTGAAACCAGCCTGGGAAGCACAGCAAGACCTCATCTCTACTGGAAAAAAAAAAATTAGCCAGGCAAGGTGGTGCACACCTATAGTCCTAGCTACTTGGGAGGCTGAGGGAGGAGGATTGCTTGAGCACAGGAGGTCAAGGCTGCAAAGAGCCATGATCACACCACTGAACTCCAGCCTGGTCAACAGAGTGAGTCCCTGTCTTCAGAAAAAGAAAAAAGAAAGAAAAGAAAAGAATCATGCTCCACAAAGAAGCAGCCAAACATGTTATTTAAATTCTGGACAGACCATTTCTTACAAAGACTTCAACTTCAACTCAGGGTTGTATGAGGTGGTACAGTCAACATAAGGAGAAGTGTATTGTTTCATTAGGTAGAATGTGCTCAGTTTCCTAATGCCTCAATAGGAGAGGAAGGAACTCTCACATTAGATATAATTAATGGCTTTTAAGTCTCTGTGCATAAGACTGATGTGAACTTTGGTAATGACTTTTAAACCACTCAATTCTTGGGCACCCAAGCCCCTGTTGCCAGGAGAAAGACAACAGTCAGGAGGGCAGCCAGCAACACCAACAAGTCCCACACAGTGTGCAGCCCAGTGTACTGTCTATGGAAATTAAAATGCTCAGCATGCAGGCAACCATGGCACCTTCCCCAGAAGCAGCACTCCAAGAGAAGCCAAACCACAATTCGCACTAAATATAACAAACACAAGTGTCCCAGACGTGTGGCCCAGGGCTGCCTCCTTGACCTTTACATTGCAATGGGGTAAATTCCAAAATGCGCCTGTTACAGCTGCTCCTGTAGATTCCTCTCCCTACCCTTGCAGGAAGGAAGAACAAGAATTCCTGACATCTCCACTGGGAGTGAGTATCATAGACAGCAAACTTTACAACTTAATTCTGTAGAATAAAAGATATCTGTCATCAGTCCATATCTATCCATCTATCCATCATCCATCCATCCACCCATCCGTTCATCTATCATCTATCTATCCGTCTATCATCTATCATTGGATAATATCTGTATTATCCATCTACCTATTATCTATCCATCCATTCATCCATCCATCTACCTATCATCTACCAATTCTCTGCACATCTATTACTTTCTATCTTACTATTATCTATCTCTATCCATCCATCCAGCTATCCATCTATCTCTCATTTATCCATCCTTCCATTATCTATCATTTATCCATCCATCATCTATCTATCCATTTATTCATGCATCCATCCATCCATCATCTACCAATTCTCTGTACATCTATTTATTATCTATCTTACTATAAATCTGTCTTTATCATCTATCAATCAATCATATATCTATCCATCCATCATCTATCTATCCATCTACCTATCATCTATCCATCCTTCCATCTATCCACCTATCATCTACCAATTCTATTCACATCTATTATTTATTATCTATCTTACTATCATGTATCTGTATATCTATCTAATCCATCTATCTCTATCATCTATTTATCATATATCATCTATGTAAATTTATCATCTATGTATCTATGATCTATCATCCATCTATCTCCATCATCTCTCCACCTATAATTTTCTATTATCCATTTATCTATCTCCATCTGTCATCTACCTATCATATATGTGTCCTCTCTGTATCTACTTCTTTATATCTATCAATCTTTCAAACATCTACCTACCTACAGTCTATAGATTATAAATTGTCTCTAGCACCATTATCTATAATCTATCTATAGTTTTCTTAATTACTAGCTTTAAAATGATAATAATGGTGATTATTACTCCTTTAGACATTTCCCAAGGCCTAAGCTCTGACCAAAAGTATTTCCCAAGAAAGGCATAGCTGTCATGGACCCGTTCAGCCATCTGTAAGGCTCTTTTGTCTCTAAGCAGAGGAGAGAGATGGGAGAGGAAGCAGACATTCAGGACTGGCATCCGCAAAGCCCAAAGCTGGCCAAGGTACTGTGTGAGCTTCACCCACAGACCTCGAAAATCACACAATGCCCAAAACAGAGCCAGAGATCCAATCCCCTACCCCGTCCTCACCAAGGTTTCTCTGACCCGTATCTTGAAAGATTGTGGAAACAGAAAGAATTACCAAGTAGAACCCCCAGTGTTGAACCCTAAGTGTGAACATATTTCTAAGCAGCATAATGGGTATCCCCACACCTAAACATACGACCTGCTAAGAGCTTCACCTTTCCATGCAAACTCTCAAAAAATTAACGGGAAATTAACATAACGTAAAACAAACCATTTTAAAGTGCACAAGTGACTCGCATTTAGTCCATGCGCAATGTTGTGCAACAACTAACTCCAGGCAATCCGAGGATATTCTCATCACTCCAAAAGGAGGCCCTGTACCCATTACGCAGTCACTCCCCATTCTGGCAACCATGAGTCTGCTTTCTGTCTCTACATTCCTATTTTGGATATTTCCTATAAATGGAATCAAACACTATGTAGTTTTTGAAAATGGAATAATTTTGTATTTCCTTTTTATTTATCACAGTAAACTTCAGATGACATAAAATTCACCATTGTAAAGAGCACAATTCATCACAATGTTGTACACCCACCACCTCTATCTAATCCTGGGACATTTCATCACCCCAAAAAGAGACCCTGCACTCATTAAGGAGTATCTTCCCTTTCTCCCTTCCCTAGCTTGTGACAACCACCAATCACTTTTTATCTCTGTGGATCTGCCTGTTCTGCATATTTCATGTAAATGGAATCAAGCATCATATGGCCTTTTGTGTCCGGCTTCTTTCCATCAGCATGATGTTTTCAAGGTCCATGCATTTTCATCAATTCAACCGTGTAATTAAAAGTGTAAACCAGGAATCTTCCAAGCAAAGATGGTGGATGCGGAGCTCCTAGTTTCTCTTTCCTTCCTTCTGAGATAAAAGGAGAACAAACTAAAAAGTGTGCTAAGGAAGGCAAGTGTGAACCCCAAGCCAACAAGGAGGCAGGAGAAAACTGTCAGCCAATAAGAGAAACTGGAGAAGTCACTGAAATTCTGCAGAATTCTCGAAGGCCAAATATACCCATCACGAGAGGCAAAATCAGATAATAGGACCTACTCTACAGGAAACCAAAAGCCCAAGAAAAAATAATTACCACCACACAGAAGTGGAATTCCTAACCTATAACATAACCTTGACAAATTCAGACAAGTCGGCAACCCTTGCAAGTAGGCACAGCTCAACTGACATTCCTCATTTTTATACATGTAGATATAAACCATTACAGGCATTTGAAAAACACCTTCAACACAAAAGAGAAAACTAAAAAGTTATGGGGTAGAATGGGAAGAACCCCATAAATACCAGAGAATTCATGGAATAGAAATTCAAGGAACAGACAGACAGACATAAAAATTCTGACTGCATTAATTAGTATTCTTTCAAAAGATTACAGGGAGAGGGATACATCTATAAACCAAGAATCAAATGCTATAGAAAAGATCACTCCAAGGATAAGAAATAGTTATTAGAAGTTAAAAATATGATTTGCTGAAATGAAAATGGAATAACAGAAGGTTTGGAAAATGTCAATGAGGAAATCTCGCAGAAAGTACAATTAAGGGACAAATGGAAAATTTCAGAAAGCTAGAAGCCTACAGGAGTGATTCAGAAGGTTCACCAACATAAGTTTCAGAGTAAGAGAACAGAAAAAAAAATAGAAGAAAAGTTTTCAAAGAAATTAAACAGGAAATGTTCTCAACAGCAGCAGAAAGTCAGTCTTCAGATTTTAAAAGCCCAGAGAGTATGCAGCAAAAGAAAAAGAAAAAAGAAAGAAAGAAAGAGAGAGGAAGGAAGGAAGGAAGGGAGGGAGGGAGGGAGGGGAGGGGAGGAGAGAGGAGGGGAGGGGAGATGGGGACAGAGAGACAGGGAAAGAAAGAAAGAAACTCAACAGTCCTTATCCTGACAATATGTTTCTGGAGTTTAAAAACACCAAGGATAAGGAGAACATCGTGATAATGCCAAGAAAATGAAAGTAAAATAAAAATACAGGTCAATCCTATTAAGGATGAGACTGAGACTTCTTATCATGAATAGTGGACACTAAAACAAAGCACCATATCTAAACTCTTTGAGTGCAATGGTCCTCAACCTAAAATTGTATACCCAGACCAAGTAGCTAAATTTCTAGGCCCAGGCCAATTAGCACATCTGCTGCACATTTATACGCCACATACCATTTCTCAGGCAGGTATTTGAGTATGTGTTTCACAGTAAGAATAGACTTGTATTCTTTTAATTTAAAAATACATTTTTTTGCACATGCCTGAAGTCCTAGCTAACTTGAAAAGCTGAGACAGCAGGATTGTTTGAGCCCAGAAATTGGAGGCTGCAGTGAGATATAATTGTGCCACTGCACTCCAGCTTGGGTGACAGAGCAGAGCCCTGTCTTTAAAGAGAAAGCGTGTGTGTGTGTGTGTGTGTGTGTCTGTGTAATTGCAAAGTAGATGGCAAAGTAAAAAATAAGATAAATCAAATAATATATGTTATGAGAAGAATCATCAGCAAAGTAATGTCAAACTGAAAACAAAGTGCCATTTACCATTTTTAGCCTTCCATTGGCAATATTAAGATTTCTTTGTGATCTCCAATGTATAGATTATTGAAATCTGAGGAACCATGTTTAAGGACCCTGTGAATTAAAGAATAGAAAGGAAAAGGAGTGCATCCTTTAGGAACTACAATGACAAAGGTAATAGAACTCCCGAGGAGGGGCGTTGTTTTGAGATTTCCTCCTGAGCTGACTGTTCTGTCCACCTTCGAGATGCTCAGAGGGATTGGCTCCCCTCTGAACTTCACCACTGAATCTGAGAATGAGGGCTAAATCACACTCCAAAGGCCATGCTTTGGGATTTTCCTCCAGAAACAGATGACTGAGGTTAGACCTTGCTATTTAGATGCTTGGTCCTGCAAGAGCAAGCTTTGCAGAATATTTAGCGTGCCAACTCCTATACCCTAGTAAGGAAGAGTCTACTGTTTCCAACCCCACTTACTGACCTGCGCTCTTAAGTAGCAGAGAAGAAGAACAGAGAATGTATAAAATGAAATTTGGCACCATCTGACCTGGGACATGGGCTCCACCGGGTAGATTCAGATCCCTGTTACCCACCTCCTAGGTCTCCCTGAGAGCCCTAGAAGCCTCGTCTGTGCAGAGCATTTATGACATGAATTCTGAGGTAAGGAGAAGTCCACTTGCCTCCAATCCCACATTCTACTCTTGCATAACTAACTGAGATCTTAACCGAGAGGCACAACAGAAAATGTTGGGGTTGTTCATTATGTTGTTGTGGTGGTGGTTTTTGAGAGAAGGTCTCCCTCTGTTGCCTAGGCTGGAGTGCAGTGGTATGACTTCAGCTCACTGCAGCCTCAACTTCCTGGAAGCAAGCAATCCTCCTACCTCAGCCTCCTGAGTAGCTGGGACCACGAGTGCACATCACTACGTCCAGCTATTTTATATTTTTTGTAGAGACAGATTATGTTGCCCAGGCTGGTCTTGAACTCCTGGGCTCAGGCAATCTGCCTGCCTCATGCTCCCAAAATGCTGGGACTACAGGTGTGCCTCTGTGCCTGGCCTTTTTATTCTTTTTTGACAGGGTCTTTCTCTGTCTATCACCCAGATTTGAGTGCAGCAGCAGCATCACAGCTCACTGAAGCCTGGAACTCCTGGGCTCAAGCAATCCTCCTGCCTCGGTCTCCTGAGTAGCTGGGACTACAGATGCTCACCACCACACCTGGTTAATTTATTTTTAATTTTTCTGTAGAGATGGGGTCTCTTGCTCTGTCACCCAGACTGGTCTCAAACTCCTAGCCTCAAGCAGTCCTCCCGTCCTGGCCTCCCAAAGTGCTAGGATTACAGGTGTGAGCCAGCCACCGCACCAGACTAGAAAACATTTAAAATGGGTCTCTGATCAATCACCCTGAGCCACACTTCTCTCCTTTGCATTCTCTGCTCCACCCTGTAGATTCTGGTTCCTGTTATCTGTTTCCTCAGTCCTTAAAAACCACATTTTCTCCCCCAACACAGAGTGAAAGCCATCAGCTGCCCTGAAAGCCAACCCAACACCAAGGGTTTTCTCATTGTCTGCAAATGTAAGCTGGGTTCAGGATGCTGGTCATCTCATCCCCCACACTAAGTCCCCACGTCCAGCTCCACCCCTCTGGGTCCTCAAGCACATCCTATGATGTGTGCTACTACCATGGGGCTACTACCACTCCCTTAACTCACCTGGAACTCACTCTCCTCCCAGCACATGGTGGCCATGGAAAAAACCACCCATCCCTCAGAGATCTTCCTGCAAACCCTGCTCCCCAAGACGACCCTTCTCATCACAGTCCCTCACCTCCTATGACACAGGACCCTTCATCTCTTGTGCCATCTTACCTGCTATGCTCATTTTGCTTACTGGTGGGCTCATTGCTGACTCCTTTCCCTAGCAAACCCATGAATGAGCTTCCTGGGGCTGCTGTGAGAAAGTACCACACGCTGGGAGACTTAAACAACACACATTTACTCTCTTGCAGTTCTGAAGGCCAGGATTCCAAAACCAAACTCTAGAGAAGGGTCCTTCCTGCCTCTTCCAGCTCCTGGTGGCTCCAGATGTCCCTGGGCTTGTGGCCACATTACTCCAATCTCTGCCTCCAACTCCACATGGCCTCCTCTGTGTCTGTGTCTCTTCTTCTATCTCTTGGGACAACACCTGCCATTGGATTTAGGGCCCACCCAAATATTCCAGGATAATCTTATCTTGAGATGCTTAACTAATTACATCTGCAAAGACCCTATTTCCCAATAAGGTCTGTAAATCTAAACTAAAATTCTAGGCCTCGCAACTACCTAATTGGCCAAGGGCATTCCAAAGTTAACCTGAAAAACGAGTTCAGGCCATAATGAGGAGAGGGTCAGACATGCCTCATCATACCCTCCTCCATTTTGGAATTCAGGAAAAGCTGACCACCATAAACATCCACACAGACCTCAAGTCTGATGAGAAACCTTTACAATCTATTCTCTCTGAAGCCTGCTACCTGGAAGCTTCATCTGCGTGATAAAACCTTGGTCTCTACAAACTCTTATCATAACCCAGACATTCTCTTCTATTGAAAATAACTCTTTCGACTAATCAGAACATTTAAAAATCTACCTATGACCTGGCACCACCCCCCGCAACCCCCTTGCTTCAAGTAGTCTCACCCTTTCAGATCAAAGCATTGTGTATCTTACATGTATTCATTGATGTCTCATGTCTCCCTGAAATGTGTAAAAGCAAGCTGTACCCCAACCACCTTTGGCCCATGTTGTCAGGACCTCCTGAGGCTGTGTCACAGGCATGTCCTTAACCTTGGCAAAATAAACTTTCTAAATTGATTGAGACCTGTCTCAGATACTTTTGGGTTCACAGGTCCCATTCACAGCTTCTGGGGAGATGTGAGTTTTATGGGGGGCACTGCTTACCCCAGTCAACAGTGCTGTCCCATAAGCTGCCCACACAATGGCACCTGCTTAGAGAAAGAGTGAAGGTTTGAAGCTGGAAGCAGAAGACAAAGAAGGTGAAGGGGCAGAAGATGTCTGTGTGGGCCTAATGACATGCTGTCAGTGCATTACACGTTCACTGTGGGTTCACGTCCCAGGCAATTCCCAGGCACGAGAATCTGCTACGTGCTGGGCCCAGCAGCTAACAAGGTACAAGCTCTGTCCTCAGACACCCACAACTCCATGAGAAACATCAGCCCTAAGAAATGGGTGTTTCAATACTGCAAGGCAAGTCCTATGGCAGGCAGCAGTTTTTGAAAGGGCACCATCCAAGCTCAGGGATAAATGGCCAGGAAGAACTTATCCATCAAGAAATCAGTGGATCAATAAACAAGAATGAATATGGCTCCCATCCATCCAGGAGTGTCTAGATGGGGCATACCTATGCACTATCATTAATTCCCTTTCCAACACAGACATGTGCTTCAAAAACAAGTAAACTGGGGCTTCAATGAGTAACTAAATGTCTGAGGTCACCTCTGACTCCAACACCAACAAAAGCCCTCAAAATAGCTACTCTCTCCTGCCTCCAATAAGAAACTAAACTAAAAATAATAAGGCAAAGAAGGAAGAGGCAGAAAAAGTCCATGAACCAAGATCAGAGGTGGAGATGATAGGTTGCATGCTGCATCCTGCATTCCTCACAGTGTAGCAACAGCAGCTGGAGAATAAGGACCCACAGGAAGAGATGGGGTCAGAGGGCCAGGATTACGAAGGTGATATGCAGCCTTTTCTATTATCCTGAGGCTTATGAGGAGCTATTTCAGGGTTCTAAGACCTGTAAGAAGGTCTCATCTCCATTGCCAGGGAGGGCCCTCTGGCTGTCTAAAGAAAAGGAGGATGCAAGTGAATTGGCCCAAAGCAAGGTGCAGAGGACAACACAGAGAAATGGCAAAGTGATCAGTGATTGATCGCCACCTGTGCTAGTTTTATAGTTCTTCATGAGGGCATCACTGACGACTAAGAGAAATGGCAAAGTGATCAGTGACTGATAACCACAGACACTGGTTTTTTACCCCTTCATGAGGATCTCAGTGACAACTGAAAGAAATGACAGAGTGATCAATGATTGATAACCATGTGCATGGCCTTTTTATCTCTTCATCAGGACGTGAGTGACAACTATGCGAACTGGCAAAGTGATCAATGATTGATAGCGAGGTGCGCTGGTTTTTTTAATCTCTTCATGAGGATCTCAGTGACAACTAAGAGAAATGGCAGAGTGATCATTGATTGATAACCACATGCTCTGGCTTTATAGCTCTTCATGGGGACCTCAGGGAAAACATGAGGATTAATGGGTGTTATAGACGGATGATAACCCATCCTGAAACGCCTAGGATGAAACCCTACCCCACAGAACCTCTGAATGTGTCTGCATTTGAAGATGGGGTCTTTAAAGAGGTGATTATGGTAAAATGAGGTCACTAGGGTGGGCCCTAATACAGTAGCACTGCTGGCCTCACTACAAGAGGAGATGAGGACACAGACACACACAGAGGGATGACCTTGTGGAGATACAGAGAAAGACCACAAGACCACATCTACAAGCCAAGGAGAGAGGCGTCAGGAGGAAACAGCCCTGCCCACACCCTGATCTCAGACTTCCAGCCTCCAGGGCTGTGTGAGAGTAAATGTCTGTTGTTCAAGCTTCCCAGTCTGTGGGACTTTGTTATGGCAGCCCCAGCAGAAAAAAACAGTAGTATTCAAATACATGAGTTATCCTATTATGGGCTGAATTGCACACCTCCAAAATTCATATATGAATGTCATAACCTCCAGGACCTCAAAATGTGAGTGTATTTGGAGATGGGGTCTTTAAAGAAGATATCAAGGTAAAATTAGGTCACTAGGATGGTCTGATCCAATAGGATTGGTGTCCTTATAAGAAGAGGAGATTACGCTGAGCATGATGGCTAACACCTGTAATCCCAACACTTTGGAAGGCCGAGGCAGGTGGACCACTTGACGTCAGGAGTTTGAGACCAGCCTAACCAACATGGAGAAACCCTGTCTCTACTAAAAATACAAAAATTAGCTGGGCATGGTGGTGCATGCCTGTAATCCCAGCTGCTCAGGAGGCTGAGGAGGAGAATTGCTTGAACCCAGGAGGCAGATTGCACCATTGCCTGGGTGACAAGAGCAAAACTCCATCTCAAAAAAAAAAAAAAAGAGGAGCTTAGGACACAGACACACACAGAGGGATGACCCTGTGAGGACCAAGCCCAGGAGAGAGGCCTCAGGAGGAACCAGCCCTGCCCACACTTACCTTGATCTCAAACCCAAAAGAGAATGCAGACAGGGCTGCATTTAGAGTGAGAGTTTTATGGAACTACTGGACACCCTGTTTCTCTCTTTGGTTTAGAGTTGGGGGAATACTGACCACAGTCACACAATGACAAGACAACACCAGTTGGCACAAGAGCTCTCCAGCAACAAGGTATCCGAGACTCAGACTTCTGCTTTGGAACAAAAATGTGCACCTCCTGAAGGTTAGCCACTTCCCATCCAGGACACTGTAAAACCCATCTAAAGTGCAAAGACAGACCAGCGGATTGAAATAGAACAGATCATGAAACATTGATTGATAGGTGCTTAGCTTCCACATCACCTTGCCCTGAAGAAACAACTGGTGATCAAGTCGTGGTGCGGCGCCACAGAACATCCACAATTATCCAATGCTGCTGCATTCAAAGAGGGAGTTTCCACTTCATGTGCCAGTGCGGCAGACTTTCAGCAAAGGCACGGAGTGGAAAAACAGCAAAAGAACTTGTCACTACACTACAGCCCACAAAAAGGAGACACTGTCACAAAATCAAGTCCAGCCTGGAGATTGCAGTGGCTTAGAATTTTATGACTCTGTGACAACAGTTTCTTTCTACCCCTTGCCTGCCCCCCTGCACTCAAGGAATCTTCTGATCACCCCTCAGAATATCCTTAGCATCTTCCTTCTCAGCCCTTCTCTACTCAAAGGCAGTTTCTGTTTTCTGCAAAGAGTTGAGTCTTCTCTTCTGGCATGAGGCTGACCAAGATGTATGCAAATGTCTGTCTTGAATGCTGTTATTATACAGACACAAGCAGGCTTGGGGAAACCTGTAGCTTTCACTTTAGAGAGCTCCAAACGCGTCCCTAGAACAGAGAATCTTTTCTGCTATTCCTGGGAATAGAGTCTTCCAGTACACCTCATGAAAACAGCCCTTAAGATCCCTGCCCCGAAAATTTTCCTCTCTAAGTCCAGAGTGAGAGAAAACAAGAGAGAAGCAGCTCTGTGATTTACCAAATCTCTCCTCTGAATTAAGAAGTCATCTGTTCTGTTTGTGTGTTTTAAATTGCATTCATGGCCAGGCGTGCTAGCTTGCCCCTATAATCCCAGAACTTTGAGACGCCAAAGGAGGAAGACTGCTTGAGCCTAGAAGTTCAAGACCAGCCTGGGCAACATAGCAAGACTCTGTCTCTACAAAATTTAAAAAATATACAATTAAGGGCCAGGCACAGTGGCTCACGCCTGTAATCCCAGCACTTTGGGAGGCCGATGCAGGCAGATCACAAGGTCAGGAGTTCGAGACCAGCCCAGCCAATATGGTAAAACCCTGTCTCTACTGAAAATACAAAAATTAGCTACTACAGGCACGCGCATCTGTAGTCCCAGCTACTCGGGAAGCTGAGGCAGAAGACTCACTTGAACCCGGAAGGCAGAGGCTGCGGTGAGCTGAGAATGCAACACTGAACTGGAGCCTGGGCAACAAAGTGAGACTCTCTAGGGAAAAAAAATATATATATATATACACATACATATATATACACACACACACACACACGTGTGTATATATATATGTGTGTGTACATATATGTATGTATTATATATT
This sequence comes from Homo sapiens, assembly GCF_000001405.40. NCBI lineage: Eukaryota > Metazoa > Chordata > Mammalia > Primates > Hominidae > Homo > Homo sapiens. The sequence goes on from NC_000024.10 coordinate 12,419,145, forward strand.
TATATATGTGTATATATGTATATGTATATTTATATGTGTGTATATATGTGTTTATATATATTTATATGTGTGTATATATGTGTGTGTATGTGTATATATGTATATATGCACATTTAAAAATAAATACATAAAATGCACTCATGAATGATCCAGTGTGGTCTAGTACAAAAAGGAGGTGTCTTAATGATTTAATGATAAAAAATAGAGCCAGCATCTTTCTTGTGGGATGAGGTTACAATCTATGTTCACATATCTAGGCCTCTTAAGTCAACCGGTATATCTGAAGTCCACAAAACCCAAGGACAGGGAGATGGGGCTCACCGGTCCTTGCGGGGCAGGCCTTTTCTGCCATTCCTGCCATTCCTGCCAGCCAGCCCTCTGCCTGCAGGAGGATTAACCTGAATTGTTATTTTTTTTAATTTCAATTTTTTTAGAGACAAGGTCTCACTCTGTCACTCAGGCTGGAGTGCAGTGGTGCAATCATAGCTCACTGCCACCTTGAACTCCTGGGCTCAGGACCCTCCTACCTCAGCTTCCCTAGTAGCTGGGACTACAGGCACGTGCCGCAATGCCCAGCTGATTTTTAAATTATTTTCCTACAGATATGGTCTCCCTATGTTGCCCAGGATGGTCTCAAAGTCCTGGCCTCAAGCAGTCCTCCCGTCTCAGCTTCCCAAAGGGCTGGGATTACAGGCCTGAGCCACCAAGCCCGGCCATCCCTTTATCTGTACTGGAAACAGAAATTAAACCCACGATCTGAACTTTAAGAACTCAAGGCAGCGTCTTCCCAGAGCTTTAGTTAGGGCCGTTTCAGAACAGACTTCTTCCCATGGGCCTTCCAGGCAGTGACAGGCTCAGACACTGCTATTGGGAATAGCCAATGCTATTCCGAAGAAACAAGCCCATTGAGTTTCAGGACTATATTTTACAAAAGGAAACTGGTGAGAACCCAAGGTCCCCTTCACTTGCTGTAAATCACCCCCTCCCAGCAGCTGAGGCTGGTATCTCCATTCCCTCCAGCCCCAGAGAGACCTGGGCGAGGGAGTGAGGGGGAGACTTGGGGTTTGGGGCAATCCTGCGGTCAAAGTGGGGTTCTCCCCAGTGCAGACCAATCTCTCACCCATGCCAGTAGGAACAGGCAGGCTGAACTGAAGGAGCTTGAGCTACTCACCCGACATGGTCCGTGGCGCCGCACGCAGTGGGCGCGGACCCGCAGACCTGCGCCCAGGCGCAGTGGGTGGAAATAAATCCTCGTCACGAACCCGCAGAACAGAGGCGCCGTCTTTGGGAAGCCGCGTGGATTTCCAGGCCTGGGGGCGACAGCGTGGCTGCCTCGACACCCTCGGCTGCAGGCCTCGCCGGTGTCACCCCCGGCCTCCTACTCACTCCATGTCACCTGCGCCCCATGGGGCCCCGGCCTCCCCCGACGCCCCTGAGACCCCCACGCCCCGCAATTCCTCCTCGGCGCTCTAGGTCAGCCTCGTGCCCTCTGGCCAGGGGCCCCTTGACCCCCTGTCCTCCCCACAGTCACCTGCGACCCCGCTGATTCTTAATACCCATGCGCCCAGCAACGACACCGCACGCGGAACACCGCCCGACCTCAGCGGTGTCAGCAGCTGCCCCGTCGCCCAGCGCACTTGCTTGGAGTACTGGTACATCCTCTTCCCCCAACCCAGCTGCCCCCCGACCCGGTCACCCCTCTCCACTCCCTGGCCCACCCCTGCGCTCCCGGACCCCAGTATCTGCACCTCCTCCGAGCTTGAGCTGCCTCTGCCCGTGTCCCCAGGCCAGGCGCCCCCTCCCCCGTCACTCCAGTGCCGCCCCACCCCAGCCCACTCCTGCGCCTCTCGCCGCCCCTCCTCCCCGTCCCGGCCTTCTGCCCATCCTCTCCAAGCGCCCCCGAATCCCCTCCACGCCCTGCACCTCTCCCTCCCCGCGCGCTCCCGCAGCCTCTGCCTTGGGCCTGCGCCTCCCTCCCCAAGCCTCTCAGCTCTACGTCCCCGCCCCCGTCTGTCCTCCATACTGAGGCAGCCTCCGTCTCCCCGTGCCCACTGCGCCTGGACCACCTGTACTCCTCAGCACTCGGCGCCTCGGCTCGGCCCACCCACCCGCAAGCGCCGCTAGCCTATCCCTGCGCCCCGCACCCCTCCCCGCCTTTGCTTTTGGGCAACCTCTCTCTGACCTCCAGCTCCCAGCGCCTCTCGCCCCACCTCTGCACTCCAAGGCCGGCGCCCCTCCCCCAGCCCCCAGCCTCTGCCTCTGGGTTCCGCCCGCGCCCCGCTGTACGCCACCCACCCTCGAGACCTCCTAGGCGTTCGGGCAGCCTCAGCGCCCCCCGGCCCCCAGCCGCGCCCAGGCCTCCTCCACTGCATACGATCCCCTGCACCCCGCTGCAGCCCCCGCACCTCTTCCGGCGCCCTGGCTGCCTCTGCCCAAAGCCGGCGCTGGGGGCCCGGAGGGCAGCGATTGGCCTCTGTCCTGAAGCCCGGCCCCGCCTCCGCCCAGCCCTGGTAGGCGCGGGTCAGCTCCTCAGCCCTGCAGCCCCTGCCCGCAAGCCCGCGCGCCTCCTGGTGTCCAGCCCCAGCTACCAAGGAGAGAGACCCAGGAACCGCCAGTGGCTGCGCTCCACGCCGGCGCCCAGCCCCTCGCCCACCGCGGCCCCCTTGGCAGTTGGCGGTTTCTAGGTTTGGACATTTAACCTTTAATTGGCCGGCCCCAAAGTAAATGTTTGCGATGACTTAAGGCCCTGGGCCCAAGGCCAGCGCGCAGCCCGAGTGGAGGCCGCTCTGGAAGCCTCCCAGAGGAGAAAGCAGAGCTCATACACTATCTTGTTGAATGCATGAAAAATACACGTGCGCAAACTTGCACGCATGAATGAATGAATGAATGCACGAAAGAGAGAAAAAATGAGTGTTCAGGCCTCAGCTGTTGAATACATAGCGAGTGAGTGGCTATACGCACGCGGTGAGTGCATGTATGAGTGACTGCATGTATGCGTGAATGCATGTGAGGCGAGAATGAACAAACAACAATTCGTGAATGAGATAGCGAGGAAATGAATGAACCAGTGACTCAACATTTGCGCCAAGGAGGGAATGAATGCATGAGTTGAAGGCATGAATGGGCCAATGCATGTATGAAGGAATTTAGAGATACATGCATGAATGGAGGAGTGACTGTGTGGAAAAAATAGGTGAATGCATGCATGCATGAATGAAGGCATGAATCTATGAATGAGGGAATGAATGAGTTGAATGCATGAATGATTGAATGAACAAGTGAATTCATACATGCATAGTGCATGAATTAGTGAAAGGTGAATTCATGTATGCATGAGTAAACAAATAAATTAATGCCTGCATGAATGAGTGCATGAATGAGTGAACAACTGAATTCATGAGTGATTGAGTGCATGAATGACTTAAGTGAATTCATGCTTGTGTAAGTGCATGTATGAGTAAGTGAACAGGTGAATTCATGTATGCATGAGTGCATGTATGAGTGAGTGAGCAAGTGAATTCATGTATGCTTGAGTGCATGAATGAGTGAACAAGTGAGTTCATGCCAGCATGAGTGAGTGTATGAACGAGTAACTAAGCGAATTCGTATATGCATGAGTGAGCACGTGAATGACTGAGTGAACAAGTGAATTCATGCCTGCATGAGTGAGTGAGTGAATTCATCCATGCAGGATTGAACGAGCAGGTAAAGTCATGCATTTATACAGGAATGAATGTGTGTGTGTGAGTGAATGAACAGAATACATGACAAGTGAATATGTGGATGAATGAATGAGTGAATAAATATGTATGAGTACATGAATAAGCTGAACAAACTAGCATGTGTGTTAATGCACACACACGAGTGAATGAGTGAAGACTGCATACATTTCATGAATTCATGTATTATGTATAAGTGAATGAATGAATTGAATGCATGAACAAGTTAATGGATGCATGAATGAATTAAGTGAAAGTGTGAATGCATGCATGCGTGAGTGAATTGAATGAATCAATGAATGTGTGAATGCAAGCATGTATGAATACATGAGTTGAATGAGTGATGATTGTGTGAATGCAAGTGTGTACGAGTGCATGAGTTAAGTGAATAAGTGAGAAACCCTGCTCTGTAGCAAGAGAGCGCCTTCTGGGTGGAAGCAACTTGGAACTGCACCAAGCAGAGCCACTGCCAGGCCCTAAGGAAAGACATGGGAATGCTGCCCCTTCCTCAACCTTCCTATGGCGTCTTCACCTTGTGTTTCCAGGTATTCCCAAAGTACAGTGACAGTTGTCACAATGAACCCAATGAACACAACCCCATGCTGGCATCCTCAGGATAGATTCTGTCAGCTGTCGAGCAGCTCACTGGCAGGGTAGACAGGCAGGGGCCTGCCTCCTGCCTCCTTCTAGGCAGCTCTTATCTCTCTGGCCTGGTGAACACATTTTTCTCCCCATGCATAACAGAAGCCTCTGATCTCCTTAACACACATCACCCACCCCTGGGCATCTTATCCAGAGCAGAAGTTGGGGAAAACCCATCTTCATTATGGAGTCCCAGTGCTTAAGGGCTTGAGGTCTTTGCGGTGGCATCATCCTGTGCACTACAGCGTGTTGAGCAGTGTCCCAGGGCTCCACCCACCTGATACCTGGAGCACCCCCACACAATGGTGACGACATCACCAAGAGTCCCCCAACAGAACAAAAACTTGGGCTTCTATTTCCTTATGATGTTTTTAATGCACTCCCTAAATTAAGAAAACAAAGTAAACAGAGCTTTCCTGTGCTTCAGCAAGGATGTGAAAAACTTCAAATTACACTGGTGGTTTCTTCAGCCTATGGCAGGCTTTCTCAGACTCTTCAACCATATTTGGGGCTAGATAATTACTGTGGAGCCATCCTGTGCACTGTGCCTTGTTTAGCAGCATCCGCTGGGCTCCACCTGCTACGTGCAGTACCACACCCCACCTAATCCTAACAAGCACAAGGGACTGCACACATTACCATGTGTTCTCTGGCATCAAAATCACCCAAGTGACAGCCACTGCCATGGTTAGATGTAGAGAGATGGATGATAGATAATAGAAAACAGATAATAGCTAGATAATCAATAGATGATAGGAAGATAATGATAGATATAAATAAACAGAAAATAAGTAGATGGTAGAAAAACAATGATAAATATAGAGGGATGACAGGTAGACAGATGATAGAGACAGAGACATAAATGAGGACTGATAGATTAGAGAAACAGATAAATAATAGATAAATGTTGATGATAGATAATAGATAAATGATGATGATGATAGACACATAGATAATAGATAAATGTGATGATGATGATAGGTAGACAGGCAGAAAGCCATAATAGATAGACATAGATAGATAAATGACAGGTAATAGATAAATGATAGATGGATGGGTGGATAGACATATAGATTGATGTTAGATACATAGATTATATGTAGACAATGGACAGATAAATGATGAGGATAGATTAGATTGAGAGGCAGAAAGACAGGGAGGCAAGCAGACAGATAGATAATAGATTGATAGAAGAAGATGAAGAAGAAAATGAGGAGGAGGAAGATAGGAAGACAGATACTAGATAAATGATAGATAATACGTAAATAATGACGATAGATGGATGATGGATGGCTAGATAGATGGACAGATAATAGATAAATGATACATAGGTAATAGATAAATGATGATGATAGATGAATGGATGGATAGACAGATAGATACATAGATAGGCAATAGACAGAATCTTTCTCAACTTTACTACTATTAAGTTGAATGACTGTGGGGGGCGTCCTGTGCACTGCAGGGTGTTGAGCAGCGTCCCTGGGCCCCACCCACCAAGTGTCAGGAGCACTGTTCTTCTCTCTGGAACAGGGGTCTCCAAAATAGAGTCTCAGGCTGCGTTTTGCTGAGAACCCTCACCACATCTTTTGATTTTGAATTCGGGGTAAGATGTGCAGGCTCAGTCCTGGTCCAGCAGCATCAGCATCACCTGGGAAACTGTGTCATGCACATTCTTAGGCATCCGAACTCTGAAATCAGAACCCTGCGTCTCGGGGCTTCCCCCAACCCCGCTATGTGAACCAGGCCTCCAGGAGTTCCTAATGCGCAGGCTTGAGAGGCACTGCTTGCATTTCTGAGATTTGAGGGTGTTGGGGAGGGGTAGCTGGAGCCAGGAGGGCTGGAGAAGGTGGGGCATGGATTTGGCAGAGACAGAAAAGGGTTGAAACAGCCACAGAGAAAGAGACGTTGGCCCAGTTGCAGGGATGTTTAAACAGCATGTTTAGGGAACGCAGGAGGCCTCAGTCTCCCAACACAAACAAGTGTAGGTGTTGCACCATTCTCTGCCCCATAAATCACCCCACCTCTCCTCACCCGCCTGTTTCTCCCATTCCACTGAGAATTGGTGCTCTGAAAGCAGAGTATAAGGCACCAAGTCACAAGGCAACATTCATGATCCCCGGGCAAAAGGGTAGCTCCGTCTTTAAACCCGGAGGAGGCATCTTCCCCTGGGGGTTGCCGGGCTTCTGTTCTTGTGTGTGTTGGTCTCCAGGAAGCCATGGAGAGCTTGACAGCAGGTGAGCTTTGTCATGGGTGCATTCAGAGTAAACATTTCTCTCCTCCCTGTTGGTGGGAATAGGTGAATGCCAATTTTCCTAGGGAGGCATTTGAAGAAAACGTCAAGACATTTATATGCCTGGGACAATTTTATTGGAGAGTTAGTTACAAGACCTTTTTAAAGTTACATGTGTACTGGGAAAGGAAGGATTGAAACCCAGCAGGCAGCTGGGCATGGTGGCTCATGCCTGCCATCCCAGCACTTTGGGAGGTAAAGGCAGGAGGATCGCATGAGCTCAGGAGTTCAAGAACAGCCTGGCCAATATAGTGAGATCCCTCTGTCTTTACAACAAATTTTAAAAATTAGCACAAAGTGTTGGCACACGCCTGTTGTCCCAGCTACTCAAGAGGCTAAAGTGGGAGGCTCACCTGAGCTCAGGAATTCAAGACCAGCCTGGCCAATCTAGTGAGATACCCCTCATCTTTACAAAAAAAAATTTAAAAAAAAAAACAGCTGGGAGTGTTGGCACATGCCTGTAGTCCCAGCTACTCAGGAGGCTAAAGTGGGAGGATTGCTTGAGCCTGGAAGTTCAAGGCTGCAGTAAGCCATGATCAGCACTCCAGCCTGGGTGACAGAGCAAGACTCTGTCTCAAACAACCACAAAAAAAAATCAAAAACAGATGTTTGTGCCAAGCTATTTCATTGCACAAAATGATTGTGACAAAGTTCTAAGAATTGAAGACAAGTACAGGATGAGGGAACACATTTGCGATACACAGAACATGCATCTATATGTATGTGTGTGGGTCACAATTGCAATTACTACTCAATATTTTATATTTTGATAATGATTAACATGATAATATATAAAGAACTACATTGGCAAACAACTTGACACAAAAATAAGCAAATAATTTGCAGCACATGCTGCTGGCTACCCAGTCAACCATTATTTTTCCTTATTGTTGGTGGAGCCTGTATTTTTTCCCAGGGTTCCTTCATGCTTTCTCACCTGATCCCTTTATTTATTTATTTATTTATTTGAGAGGGAGTCTCACTTTTTTGACCAGGCTGGAGTGAAATGTGAAATGGCACAATCTTGGCTCACTGCAACCTCCACCTCCTGGGTTCAAGTGACTCTCCTGCCTCAGCCTCCCAAGCAGCTAGAAATATAGGCGCCCACCACTATGCCTGGCTGATTTTGTATTTTCAGTAGAGACGAGTTTTTACCATGTTGGCCAGGTTGGTCTTGAACTCCTGACCTTAGGTGATCCTCCTGACTCAGCCTCCCAAAGTGTTGGAATTATAGTCATGAGCTGCCATGGCTGGCCTACACCTGATTACTTTTAGTTAGGGGCTGTGTGTAAATCAGGGATGAGGAATTGGGGGTGATACCTGAAAGAATGTCTTTGTTTTTAAAAGAGAAAATCTGAGAGGAAATGATCTTAACTGGGCCTCCGGATATTAGTGGATGAGGCTGTGATGTCTGGAGGTACAGCAGCTTCTGCCATGAGTGAAGTGGGCCAATGACATATGAAACACAGGACTGCAAGACACAGGGAACTGGCTACTGGAGGACATTGTTAAGCCCTCAAATTGATCCAGCCCAGAGGTCCTGAATCTAAGTACATCTTGTTACGGATGCTGTCTTTATTGCTTCAACCATTTTGAGTTGGCAGAGATAGAAAAGGACTGAGGCAGTCAGACAGGGAGGGAGACTGATAAAACTGCAGAGATTTCAGGGGGAAACTGCCATCATTTATAAAATCGAGCAGAAATTGTGAAACATGTTGGTCACAGAATTCCTTTGCCTTCTTTTTTTGTTTTGTTTTGAGACAGAGTCTCGCTCTGTCTTGCCCAGGCTGGAATGTAGTGGCATGATCTTAGCTCACTGCAAACTCCACCTCCCAGGTTCAAGCAATTCTCCTATCTCAGCCTCTCAAGTAGCTGTGATTACAGGCACATGCCGCCACACACAGCTAATTTTTGTATTTTTAGTAGTGACAAGGTTTCACCATGTTCGCCAGGTTGGTCTTGAATTCCTGACCTCAGGTGATCTGCCTGCCTCAACCTCCCAAAGTGCTGGGATTACAGACATCAGCCATAGTGTCTGATCACCTGGACCCATTTAGATTAAATAAGTTTACTGAGGCTCCAGAGGAAGGTCTTCAGGACTCAGACCTTAGTTATAGATTAGAAGGAGTTAATCACTGTTTTTAGATGAATGCACACTTACACGTAGACATACAACTTAGAAGGTATAGAAGCTCTAGAGAACTTTGTAATTTTGAGTTAGTCTGGCTGTAATGTCCAGGCCTTCTCCATATAACTGGTTACAGAAATAAACTTCCTTCTCTCCTAGTTCATCTGCATCTTGTTTTTGGGCCACCAGAATAAGCATCCCGACCCTTGGTTTAGTTCAGGAACAAAAATTCAAACCGGAGTATGACAAATTATCAACTTGAACCTGGGAGGTGGAGGTTGCAGTGAGCCAAGGTTGTGCCACTCTATTCCAGCCTGGGCGACAGAGTGAGACTCCATCTCAAAAATAAATAAATAAATAAATAAGTTATTTTAATAGCTTATTTTTCTCATTTTCCTACTAACGTACAAGGAATAGCAAATAGCATTGTTATTATCTATTACTCCTACTGGCAGTAGGTCTTCCTAATTAGAACATTATTTACTTCATTAGCTTTCTAAAATGCTATATTTTGATAGACTGCTTTATCATTTTCTGGGTGAAATAATAAATTATTCTTCATTTTCCAGATATAAAAGGATTACTTCTAAAATCACATTAAATGGAGAATAATTTAATGAAAGTAATCAATTTTAAAAAGATTGTAGGCTTTTGTAATGTTCAAAATACCTATTTTTTTCTCTTTTAGAGACAAGGTCTCACTCTGTTCCTCAGGCTGGAGTGCAGTGGCACAATCATAGCTCACTGCAGCCTTGACCTCCTGGGCTCAAGTGATCTTCCTGCCTCAACCTTCCAAGTAGCTATAACTACAGGTACACACCACTGCATCCAGCTTATTTTTACAATATTTTTGTAGAGATGAGGTCTTGCTTTGTTACCCAGGCTGGTCTCCAACTGCTGGCCTCAAGTGATTCTTCCATCTTGGCCTCCCAAAGTGCTGGGATTACAGACATGAGCCACTGTACCCAGCCTGAAAAATCTAATTTTTAACAGATCTTTGGGGATATATGAATTTTAGTGTGGTCACCCCTTGTAAAATTTTTAGTATTTTAATCATTAAATTTAGTGACAATTAATATCCAAAACTCCCTCTTTTTTATTTTGAATATTTTGTGAAATTGTTGTACAGCTTATTTTAAAAGAACTTTCATACTACAGACCTAAGAATAATACATTGAAAAAAATAAAATTTCTGAAGCTATAAGGACAACAGCTGCAAGGCCTCCTTAATACAATATATTGTTTTTATTTTTACAGGAGATACACACACATACACGTAATATACATATTTTTCCTTTTGCACAAAAATGTTGTGATTAAAGCTTGAATGTCATTAGAATCACAAGATAACACAAGTGTCCTCCTTAGCTAAACTAATGAGCCTATTTCCATTTGGATTTTTGCACCCCAATATTTTTTTTCTCTGCAGCCTCAAGGTCTCATTTGCAGAGAAAAGTTATGAAATGAAACAAAATCCATTGTCCTCACCACAAAACATGACTTCTGCACAGAAAACATACAGTAGGAAAAGTCTGAACTCTTTAGCAGGTCCTCAAAGGCAAAAAATGGCATCTGTGGATTCAAGAGGCAAGTATCACCTTGACTCAAATCCTTCATAGAACTGCAGAATCCCTCACTTTATCCATTTGAAGGAAAACTCTCAACCCTGTAGTTTGGATCAATGAAGCCTAGCAAACAGAACAGCTGCCACTTTTGCACGGTTCTCTAAGAAGATGTGTTTTAGATCTGTCAGATAGCATTGAAAAATCTCCTCTAGGTCTGGGTCGGTTGTCAGAATGATAAATTTCAGAAAAACCAAGCTGCCCACTTCTGACTGTTTTGAACTTCATAGTAGAAAATAATATCAGAATCTTGCCATCTGCTATTTCTACCAAACCAGGGCAGCTTTCCAAAACTGGTGTCTCATCACAAGTTTATGGGTGAAAAGAATCAAATTTCCTTCCCTTCCTTCCTTCCTTCCTCCTTCCTTCCCTCCTTCCTTCCTTCTTTCCTATGTACCTTTTAATAGTCTCACTCTGTTACCCAAGCTGGAGTGCAGTGGTGCTATCACAGCTTACTATGGTCTTGAATTTCCGTGTTCAAGTGATCCTCCCACGTAGCTGGGACTATACAGGTGTGCACTACGACGCCCAGCTAATTTTTTACTTTTTACTAGAGATGGGGTCTCCCTATGTTGCCCAGGCTGGTCTTGAACTCCTAGGCTCAAGCAATCCTCTCACCTAGGCCTCCCAAAGTGCTGGGATTACAGGTGTGAGCCACTACACCCAGCCTAAATTTTTGGAAAACTATACCAAAGCCACTAATTTTTCAGGGTTAGTTATTACCTTCAAATGACACTTAACTGACATTTCTGACCATCTAAATGAACTTAACTGAAAAAAAATCAAGGGCTGTATGAAAATAGCATGTACTGAAAACCTTGATGGGTTCAGAGCAAGAATTTGCTTTTGGTGAAAAGAATTACATGGTTCACTGCTGATGGTTTTAGAATTTGAATCCTAAAGAACTGTTAAAATGAGCAGGACTATATCTGTGCATGCATGAAAAGAAAAGTCATTGTTTCAAAATACTAGACAGGAAAAAGTTTGATGGTATTTGAAATCCAGTGGCCCTATCACAATACAGTTCAACATGACATTAATCAATGAGTAAAATGGAAAGACGTATGAGATTTAACAGTCTCACTTAAGATGGCAATAAAAGATGGTGTGAATGAAAATTTCCGTTTTCATAGATGCATAAACCTGATTTCCCAAGAAGCCAATGGATGCAAAGAAAGAGTGAGTGGATTTAATGAACAAACACAAACAATATTAGAAAATACTTGCTGAAGACAGATCAGACTGCCATTCTTGGAGATGATGCAGTGGATAGTGAGCCCTTGTCATTGAGTATAAATGCATTAGAAGGTGGAGAATTGCTAGAAATCAGAAGGAAAGTTGATGAAACTGATTTATGTGTTAAGGTAAATTAGTCTTTAAAATCTCTGGAAGAAAAAGCAATGAAATTTACACATAATTATCTGAAAGTGGATAAAATAACAGTATACAGATTGTATGAAAAGTCTCCAAAATGAACAAGACAGAAAACACACACACAATTTGAAAGTCAAATTCCAAAATGTCTGCAAAAACATAAAGTCTTAGTAAATTGTACTCCCCCCATCAACATAATGAATGATCAGCAAAGATTGAAGGTGAATTTACCCTGGAAAGAAGAAGGAGAATCTTTCCCAAGCAGCTGAAAAGATCATCTATTCATTCAGGGAAATGAATGCCTATGGAATTCAAGCAAAAATTCTTCCAGCAAAAAAATATCAGAAAGAACTACTGATTTTTAGCAATTACCCTGAGAGGATAAAGCTCATCTTGTTTGAAGACTTAATGAGAAAACTTGGGGACTTGTTTAACTTAAGAAAATGTATGTATCGGGAAAAAAAATTGAGGGGGAAATTAAAATTTTCAAAAAGTATCTTTATGTTCTTGGTGTTCAAGTAAAGCAAGGATTGGTGGATGTGTAAAGATTCTCACAGAGCTCCCAGGAATTCTTTGGATAACTGGATCCCCAAGAAAAATTTAAATTTAGATTATTCCTCAGTTATTTTTCGCATGCAAAAAACACAGGGAAAGGATTCCTCCATTAGACCTACTGGGTCCTGATAGCAATTTCTCCCCAAATGCAGGACTGACTCACCGTGGTGTTCCTCATCCTGGAAGACAATTTTTCGTTAAATCATGACAGTATCTTTCAGCTTCAGAAATAGAGGTAACTCATCATTTGCCAGAGTGCAGTCATGTGACTTCACCTACCCACAAGGGATGCTGGGAAATGTAGTTGAGCTGGGGAACCATGACCGCAGTTCCATACACTAGAAATACAGCACTGTTGAAATTATTAAGACAGAAAGAAGAGATTTGGGTGGACAACGTGTGCATTCTCTAAGACTCCGTGTTTTTAGTTAGGTTGAGCAGCCTTGGCTTCATGGTCTTGACTTCTGAAACAATTCTTTTATTTTTATTTGTATTTTAAGTTCCAGAGTACATGTGCAGGAAGTGCAGGTTGTTACATAGGTAAATGTGTGTCATGGTGGTTTGCTGCATCTATCAACCTACCCTCTAGGTATTAAGCCCAGCATGCATTAGCTATTTTTCCTGATGCTCTCCCTCCCCACACTCCACCTGCCAACAGGCCCCAGTGTGTTTTGTTCCCCTCCCTGTGTCCATGTGTTCTCATTGTTCAGCTCCCACTTACAAGTGAGAACATGCAGTGTTTGGTTTTCTGTTCTTGCATAAGTTTGCTGAGGATAATGGCTTCCAGTTCCATCCATGTCCCTACAAAGGACATGATCTCATTCCTTTTTATAGCGGCATATATATATACATATGCACACACACAGACACGTGTGTGTGTGTGTGTACCACATTTTCTTTACCCAGTATATTACTTTACCCAGTAAAGTACCACATTTTCTGTGTAAGTACCACATTACCCAGAAAAGTACCACATTACCCAGTAAAGTACCACATTTTCTTTACCCAGTATATTACTGGTGGGCATTTAGTTTGATTCTATGTCTTTGCTATTGTGAATAGTGCTCCAATGAACATACACATGCATGTATCTTTGTAATAGAATGGTTTATATTCCTTTGGGTATACACCCAGTAATGAGATTGCTGGGCGGAATAGTATTTCTGGGTCTAGATCTTTGAGGAATCACCACACCATCTTCCACAACGGTTGAACTAGCTTCCATTCCCACCAACAGTGTAAAAGTGTTTCTATTTCTCCACCATCTCGCCAGCATCTGTTGTTTCTTGACTTTTTAATAATCACCATTCAGACTGGTGTGAGATGTTATCTCACTGCGGTTTTGATTTGCATTTCCTTAATGATCAGTGATGTTATGTTGAGCTTTTTTTCATGTTTGTTGCTTTTGAGCCAATCCTAAGAAATGCTCTATGTATTTCGATGAGATTGATTTTATTTACACTAACAGAAAAGCTTGTTTTTTTCCCCAACCCCTGGGCAGCCCTTACTGCCTCCCAGGCACCACTGAGAATGCTTTTCACACATTAAGTCATTTCTTTCTTTTTTCTTCCTTTGTGACAGGGTCTCTCACTCTTTCACCCCAGCTGAAGTGCAGTGGTATGATCTCCATTTACTGAAACTTTGACCTCCCAGGTTCAAGTGATTCTTCTGCCCCAGCCTCCCAACTAGGTGGCATGCACAACCATGCCCAGCTAATTTTTTTGTATTTTTGGTAGACACGGAGTTTCACCATGTTGGCCAGGCTGGTCTCAAACTCCTGACCTCAGGTGATCCACCTGCCTTGGCCCCCCAAAGTGCTAGGATTACAGGCATGAGCCACCATGCCCAGTCTTCACACATTAAGTCTTATATCCTCAACACATCTTGGAGAGGAAGATCTTCTTAGCATACCTCTCCTTTGTTGCCCCCAAATGGGATAACCATGGCCCAGAGAGGTTGTATAACTTGCCTAAGTGTGCACACCTTGAAATGGAGAAACCAGGTTGTGAATCTGTAAATTGAGTGTCAGAGTCTGGAATTTAACCCTGAGTAATCTTGCGTACTACCTCTACAGGCAAGCTAAACTAATTCCTCATCATTTTTGTTTAATTAGGGGGAAGAAACATGTACACAGCATGTGTTAACGTATATATTCATTCCCTGGAACTGCTATAGCAAAGTATTGCAAACTGAGTGGCCTAAACAATGGACATTTGTTTATTCTTGCACAGTTCTGGGGGCCAGAAGTACAAAACCAGGGTGTCTGCAAGGCTGTGCTCCCTCTGAAGTCTCTAGGGAAGGATCTGTTCCAGGGTCCTCTTGCTCTTTGGGTTGTTCTCTGGCTTGTAGTAACATCACTCTACAGCCTTCTCCTTGTGTGACTACCTGTATCCAAATCCCACATTCTTATAAAGACACCAGGCATGTGGGATTAGGAACTCACCTCACTCCAGTATAACCTCATTTCAATAAACTAATTACCTCTGCAATAGACTTATTTTCAATAAGGCCACATTCTGAGGTGCCAGGGGTTAGGACTTCAACATATGAATTTGAGGGGACATAATTCAACTCATATCAGTGTGTTAATACTGTGCTTGTGTATGTGTGTGTGTTTGTATGTGGTGTGTTTCTGTGTGTAACTGGATATTCCAATTCCAGTAGTCAAAGGCAAATCAGCAGAATCATACTTTCCTCGCCCCCAAAACCAGAAGAATTTCATATAGTGGTTTATACTTGGACAAAAAAAGTTGTTATTTTTTCATCTGTGTAGAAAAAGTTAAACAAAAATATAGCTCGTATATTTGTCATTTTCCTCTTCACCCTACTAAAATTAGTCATGTCTTCTCTTCATTCCAACGTGAAGATATTTATCCATTGACCACCAAATGCATTCAAGTCCCCACAAAGAGAAGGTAAGTGTGGCTTTTAACATTATACAATTGACCCTTGAACAATGTGGGGTAGTGACGGGAATTGACCCTCCGCACAGTTGAAAGCCCATGTATAACTTTTGACTCTCCAAAAACTTAACTACTCATAGCATACTGTTTGACTGAAAGCCTTGCTGATAACAGTTGAACACATATTTTGTATATGTATTACATACCATATTATTACAGTAAAGTAAGCTAAAGAAAATGTTATGAAGAAAATCATAAGGAAGATAAAATTAATGAATTTACTATTTATTAAGTGGAAGCGGATCACCATAAAGGTCTTCATCCTTATCATCTTCCCATTGAGTAGATGGAGGGTTGGTCCTGCTGTCTCAGTAATGGCAGAGCCAGAAGCAAACTCACATATAGGTGGACCTGTGCAGTTCAGCCCTGTGTTGTTCAAGGGTCAGCTGTACAGTCAAGGTTATCCTTCTCTAAAATACATGGAGATGACGTTTTATCAAGGCTTTTCTCATCTGTTCAATTCTCACCTTCTCAGCATGAAAACAGAATGTCCAGCAGGTGGTCCTCATGACCCCTCAAAGAGAGGTTCCCCCAAGCAATCATGATTCAAATATTTTCATCTTAAGTAGCTTGAACGTTAGCCTTGTCACCCAGGTGAATTTAGTCTCATGATTAGGTAACTATGTATTTCATATGTTCATAGAGCTATATGTTATATATTTATATCTTGAGCTTTAAAACAGATTTGTTGCATCATATTCACAGCTATGAAGGTTCATAATTTTGGGGCCACTTCTACAGTCATTTCATAAAATTTATTTGTGAGATATAGAAAAAGCTATGCAATAATCAAATCCATTTATTTTTCTTTTACGTTTATTTAAAATGATTAAAAATGGTTTATGATAGTTTTAGAAAATGGAATGGATTAAAGGCTAAAAGTGTTTAGATTCCATTTAAGTAGGTATGTATGTGTGTACGTAACTAAAAGCACAGAGACTTATTCACAAGAATTTAATTAAGCTCATGCTGAAACTCTTATAGAGAAAACAGTAATTGAGCATCAGACATCACCACTCCTGAAAAAAACCTTCTACAAGAATTGAAAAGTGTTGCAGGACCTAATACTGAAATAGGAAATATGGACTATCTTCAAATTGCACAAATGATGCATGAATCTACATTTGAGACCCGCAACTCCGAGATACCTAATGTGAATGATTAAAGATATTTTACAAACCGGGGAGCTCTTTCAAGTGCTTTCCACTTTCAACCTTCTCTCTTTGAAGATCCCAATTCATATTGGTGAGCATAAAACATGCATACTGGGAATTTTTATGGGCCCCATATATACATTCCAGACTGTACATGAATGTCTTCATCTTTGGTTCTGATATTTATGGCAAAGTCTAAATGTTATATGAACATTAACCTTAGTTTACTCAAATTATACCAATATGCCCAAACCATCATTTTTCCGTACCCACAAGTGTTTCTAAAAGGGAAGGAAAAAGCTGGTACACTTCTTGGATGCCTAAGGATTTAAGATTTCCTACTCTGATGAATAGAAAAAGTATAAACCAAGGAATGCAATGTTGGTGCCTTAGGAACTAGTACTTACAGAGTATCAAAGACTAAAAACACTACAAAAAGGCTCAATGCCTGATAATCGCCATTTCTGTCTCCTATGTGCCAAAACATATCAAAACCATATGATTTCCTAGGAAAAAGTATCCCAAGATTTGCCCCAGATGGTTTTAACATCAGTCGTTTTGCACTTAACATTTCAAAATGCAGCCTTATTTTCTTCAGGTAATAATAATTTTATGTGCAGATATATCAAAGCTGAAAGGATGATCAAACCCTGCTTGTGGGTGTCAGAAATAATGCATCCCCACTTCACTGGCAATAATGAATGCTCAATGATTTTTTATATCACTGAAGAATTTAGCATCTTTGGAACCTCAACAATATTCTTCATCTCCCAGAAGCTGATAACATCCCCTCCCCACCAAGATACTCTGCCTCCCTACTGCTCACCGCTTTGTGCCATCAACATGGTTAAGCGTGTGTGTGTTATTGCACCATGAGGTAGCTGAAGATCTCACAACAGAGAGCCACAGTCTCTTTGTGCAAATCAATGGCCAAACCAACATTGCAAGCAATCCTTTTTTAGAATGCAGGGTCTAGCTGCCTAACTTATCTTTATAACCACATCACATTCAATGAGTTGGGAATGCTTAGTGAGAAAGCTCACGTACTTCACACAGAAGAAAACACACTTTAAGACATCAAGTTGTGTCAAGAATAAAAGGAAATTTCCACAACAGTGATAAACAGCCTTCTTGTTTTAGTTGTTTTTCCTCTAAGTAATCAGGGGATCTTAACATCTTCAGACATTTTCTGGTTCTGAAAGGAAGACTGGAAATAAATGACACTGTGGGGACAAAAAAAAAGTCTATTAAACAAAGTAAAAGAAAACCAAGATCCAACTCTATGTTGTTACAAGAGACGCTTGCTATATATTTAGAGCAAGAATATTTAGCAGAAGGAAGATTAGAACAGAAAAAAATACAGCAGAAATGAAGTTGCACATCTTAAATATATACAATGTTTGTTTATTATGCTTTAAAAAAATCTAGAAGAATGAAAAATCTATTTAAAAAAAAAGAAAACCAAGATCCAACTATGTGCTGTCTATATGACATTTGCCTTACTTTCAGCAGAAGGAAATAGATTAGAAAAAATAAATTATGCAAAAATGAAGCTGTGCATCTTAAATATATACAATGTTTATTTGTCAATTATACCTTAATAAAGCTGGAAAAATTAAAAATAGAAAATATTTGGGCCAGGCGCGGTGGCTCACACCTGTAGTCCCAACACTTTGGGAGGCCAAGGCAGGCAGATCACAAGGTCAGGGGATCGAGACCATCCTGGCTAACACAGTGAAATGCTGTCTCTACTAAAAATACAAAAAATCAGCCAGGCATGGTAGTGGGTGTCTGTAGTCCCAGCTACACAGGAGGCTGAGGTAGGAGAATGGCGTAAACCCGGGAGGCAGAGCTGGCAGTGAGCCGAGATCCAGCCACTGCACTCTAGCCTGGGCAACAGAGCAAGACTCCGTCTCAAAAAAAAAAAAAAAAGAAAGAAAGAAAATATTTAAAAATTGTTAAAATCATATCTGGAAATAAATATTAGTTTTCAAAACATTGTTTTTTTACATTTTGCCATTTGTTAAGGATTTTGATGATCTTAAATGAATTGAGTAACTTTCTTTTTGGTTAAAACTAATATTTGTAGGAAATTCTTTTTTAGAATATGGCCTTGTTGGTCTTTATAACTTCTGAAGTGATGTTGTCATTTGCTCCACTTTATAAAATAAAAGCAAAGTATGATTCTTAAAAGTCCACATCAAGTGACAGACATCTGCTTCTATCTGTGCAGCTCTGTTACTACAACTCTTTCTCTACAAAGTGTGCAAGCTTCAGTGTATGGCCTCAGCATGTACACAGTTCCACAGGTTGTGCACTGCATCACATCACCGTGGATATGGTTAGTATACCATGTACGTCATCCTTTAGGAGACAGAGAAAATTAATGACCTAACTAAGGAGAAGTGGACAGCTGGGTACCATTAGCAGCAGCCTGGAACTTTAGAGTCAAGTTCGCAGAGCTCTGAGCCCCATTTGATACCAAACCCATATGTATTTGCTGTCATGCACATATTTCCTAGATAGTATAAAGGCTTTACAGCCAGCGAGGTGATATAGGCCCAGGATCCACATAAATGTCACTGCTCACCCTTGAAGAGATCTCCCTAACATCAGCTCACTCTGTCTACATCCTCCTTTCTGATCTCAGGAACTTTAAGGGAGGGGAAGATAAACTTGGTGCTTGGGAATACCTGGTGAGGGTATCATCGAAGTACAATGGAGAAAGTAGACAAAAATACTTACCAGGCAGCCAAAAGGCATGAAAGAGCTTCAAGACATTATACCTCTTTAGCAAAAAAGTGCTTCCACCTCAGATAAATGGGGCATGCATCATCCACGTTTTTAAAACTACACCTATTTCAGAAACTCAACTGGCCCCCATTCCAATGATTTTCCTTTTAAAATATTGCACTAAAATATATTTGTCTTATTGAGTTTGTGGGGGACCCCTGTACCCCGCCCTTATATTTTGTGCTTGTGGAGACTGCCTCTCTCTGCTTATTCAGTTTCAGCCCTTGGTTGACAAAGGCTTACAAATCACTGCCACGAAGGCTACTGAAATTAACACATGGTGTTCGTTAATGATGGCTGCCACGTTGGGTGAAAGAGTGTTGTCACTGAACCCAAGAATCTGCTCTCAGATTGCCAGGAAAATAAGGCAGTTTTTCAGTAACTCAGTTTCCTCCTAAAATTTCAGGACAGGGCATAACATAGATGGAGGCTTACCCCAAACAGAGGTTCATTAGCTAACGGTTGATACTGCCCATTCACCAGCAGAGAGAGCGCATGGGAAGGTTTTAGGATTTTTGAGGCCAAATGCAAATCCTAAAGCAAACACCGTAGGAATGGGCACCCCTTTCTGGTTTCCTTCGGGGACACAAAGAAGGTATGAGTTAGAGGGCCCTGGGCAAACTCCAGACAGATTCTGACGTGGGTGGCCTGAGGTTTAAACCAAGCCTCCAGAGACACCCAGTTAAAGATCTGAGTCACTCTTTAGGCTATAAAACAATCCCTGACAATCCCTGACTGTTGTTTCAGAGATTTCTTTAGGGCATCCTCTGCTCTCAAATCCCAAGTGATTCTTCAAACCCAGGAGTGTGGAGCCGGCATTGAACCAGGAAGCCACAGCAGATCTTTCTTCTCTCCTATGGTCTGAGCACACCTTCTGAATTTCAGAGAGGCTTATAATTTAGTGTTTTGGTAGTTTTCTTTGTGGGTGGGGTTCTGTGCAAAACATTCACATTCAACCCAGATATTTTTCGTGACCCACCTGTGACGAAAATTTCACTGAATACAAAACAGGACTATATTTGATTAGTTCAATCAACTATCATGCTTTAGTCCTGCAATGTAGGTTAGTAATTTTTTTGTTTGTTTCTTTTTCTTTCCTTTTTTTCTCCCTCTCTTTTACATTAGACAGATAACGTGCCAGCGTCATTGTAACAAGGTTTAGAGGAAGGTACAGACTACACCTGACCATGAAAACCAAATCGTTGACCAGGCACGGTGGCCCATGCCTGTAATCCCAGCACTTGGGGAAGCCAAGGCAGGCAGATAATCACTTGAGGTCAGGAGTTCAAGAACAGTCTGGCCAACATGGGGAAACCCCATCTCTACAAAAAATACACAAATTAGCCAGGCATGGTGGTGCATGACTGTATTCCCAGCTCTTCAGGAGGCTGAGGCAAGAGAATCTCTTGAACCCAACCCAGGAGGTAGAGATTGCAGTGAGCCGAGATCATGCCACTGCACTCCAGCCTGGGCAACAGAGTGAAACTCTGTCTCAAAAAAAAAATAAATAAATTTTTAAAAATCACATTATTGGGCAAGTTATGTATATTGAACTTAACCAGGAATAACTTTGCTAGTGACAGACATCCAAAAGTAATTTTTAAAATAAAAAATCAGGCATCGTAACAAGGAAAACAATGTTTAGAGCCAAAGTTACCATGGGTCCTGAAACAAATTCCTCCTATTGTTTAGTTTGGAATAACTGGCTGCTGCTCCCATCAGTGTCACCACCACCATGGATATGATGGAAGACACAATTTTTGCTACCATATTGCCTGCAGGAGTGGAGAAAAAGCAAGCTCATCTGAGAAAAAAATATGGCTGCAGGAAAACTGCTTAAATATTAGATTGGTCCAAAAGTTATTACGGTTTTTGCCATTGAAAGTAATGACAAAAACTGCAATAACTTTTGCACCAATCTAATAACATCTCCATCACATCCCTTCCCACCCTTGTACCCACAGAAAAAAAAAAAGAGAAAGTTAATTTAAAAAAAAAAAAACCTTAGGAAGTAATTCTGTTTTCACAAAGAGCCAAGCTTGTCAACCACATCTTATCACTGAAGACATCCAAGGCCAGGATTTGCACAGACGAGGCACTTGGTATTTTTGTTTGTTGAATTCAATTCATGTATGCCTTTTAATTAATTTTATTTATTTATTTATTTATTTATTTATTATTTTCTGAGAAGGAATCTTGCTCTGTCGCCCAGTCTGGCATACAGTGGCGTGATCTCGGCTCACTGCAATCTCTACTTCCCATGTTCAAGTGATTCTCCTGCCTCAACCTTTCAAGTAGCTGGGACTACAGGTGTATGCCATCACGTCCAGCTAATTTTTGTATTTTTAGTAGATGCAGGGTTTCACCATGTTGGCCAGGCCGGTCTCGAACTCCTGACTTCAGGTGATCCACTCACCTGGGTCTCCCAAAGTGCTGGGACTACAGGCACAAGCCACCACGCCTGGCCTGATTTATTTTTTTAGAGATGGGGTCTCACTATGCCGCCTAAGCTGGTCCTGAACTCCTGGGCTCAAGTGATCTTCCTGCCTCAGCCTCCTGAGTAGTTGGGATGACAGGCACATGTCAAAACTATTTTGTGCCTTTTTAGATGTAGAATGCCCACTCATGCAAAAATATTGTTCCACTAAAAACTGCCAGATAGGCTTGCTTTCAAAGGCATGCTGGAACTCTAGACCCAAGCACACACTAGACACAAGCATCCTCAATGCCTCGATGGCAAATTGCTCCAGAGCTTTGGCACTCCTGCACAAAGAACAAGAAGGAGCTTGATGTGACAAAAATCAACACTTCCAAAGGGAAAAAAGGAAGAAATCACTGTTTCCATTTGAAATAGCCACCCTTTCCATGCATGGCTTTCTTCAGACAGGGTTGAACACATGGGCCAATACATGGCATGGCATAGGTGAGGGACACAAGACTGCTCCAAGAATGAGGCTGCCATGTTGGGGGGAAGAGTGTTGTCACTGAATGCAAGAACCTGCTCTATGGCTGATGCTGCCACCTGCCACACCCTGCCTCCTGGGAGAGACAGCCTTCTATTCTTCCCCTCCCTACATGCACACAATCCATAGTATGATTTCACAGTGTTCCCCGTCCAGAGGTGGAGCTGCATCTTCATTCTGAGAATCCAGGCTTTAGCCAACAGAATGTCACACAAGTGAAGACATGTGGCTCTAAGCCCAGGCACGCTTCTCTTCATGCTCTTGGTACCCTACCTGGTCTGTGGTGTGTGATGAAGCCTGGCCTGGCTTCCTGGAGGGATGTGAGAGTCCACATGAAGCTGAGATGAACCATTCCACCTAAGGCCCCAAATACATAAGAAGACCCAGGAAACATGGTCAAAGCGCTGGCCACACCTACAGCTGACTGCACACAAGACAAGTAGTTCAGAAGAGACCAGGAGGACCACTAGAATGGTTTCAGCCCAAATTGCTGACTCACATAATCATGAACATAGTAAATGGTGGTTATTTCCAGCCACTAAGTTTTGGGGTCTTTTGTGACACAGCATAGCTGACTGATACATACCTTTTCCTCTCTCCCATCTCTTACAAATCAGTCAAGTACAATCAATTGTCATTACCAAGTGGTCATCCAAGCTGACTGCTTCTCTTTGCCTCCCTTGCCCAGGCTTTAATTCAGCCTGTCATCATTTCCAGAGGGTACTAAACTGGTCTGAAATGGAGTCTCCCTGGGCCTTAGTGAGTCCCCTCAGGTCCATTCTTCACCTACACATCCAACAGGGGCAGGCTGTTCCCCATGAAGGTTCTAAGAAATGCAGACTTCACCTCTGCTAACCTGGTGGTCTTTCTTTGTCACCATTGCATCCTTCCCTGGTTCCCGTTGCATTCCACACTTTGGCTACACAATCTCTAGTGTCCCCATATGTGTATCCAGCTCTACCTAGCACACTATCTTCCCTGACATCTCGCTCTTCTCCTGGGCACTTCCCACCCATATTTTGGGGATTGGTTTGGATATTGTTCTCTCCAGGAAGCCCTACCTCCCTCACCTAACCCAGTCTAGGAGTATCCCTTCTGCCTTGCTACAGGATCCCATACGTTCCAGCAAATTATTCATCAGATTTGACTGCAATTACTTGTTTATTTGCCTTGCCCTTTCCATCTCTGGACCTCACTTTACACCACAGTGGGAAAAAGGTGAATCCATAAATTTGTTTAAGGATGCCAACATATCCCAAAAATATTGATACTAGTACTCTGCATGTTCATTGAAAGGTAGAGGTCACGTTCAATCACTTTCTCCTCCCCCATAATTGAAAACTCACAAGAGCCTTGGGGTTGAGTGCATTTACTCTCAACTTAAACTCAAGCAGGTGTCAGCCCAAATCTCTAAGAATATGACTCTTAGGGAATGGGGAACCTGTTCTCCCAGCAATACAGGACATAAAATCAGCCTTCTGGGCTTCAAGTTCTCCCTCCTTTGACCTGAGACGGGATTGACAGTGCATTCTGACGGCTTCTTTGGGCAGAGTGTTCATAACTTCCTTTCTCCTGTCCTTGGGTTTCAAGTTAGTGCTGGTCAAAGAAAGGGGAGTAATGGTGGTACTGGGAGAAATGTAAGTCTCAGCACTCATTCACAGCCTTGCTTTGAGAGCTAAGGGGCATCTTCTGCAGTGAAAACCAATGCTTGCCTCTCCTTTCTCTGAACTCTGATTGGTCCTGTTCTGAAGGTCAGATATTTTTATTCAGAAGCTACTTTATATACATACAAAGTATGAGTGCTCCATGAAAGTCATGAGGTTGGGAAACAGAAGCCCACACAGCTCCTCCCAGTGCTGATTTAGGAGAGTGTGCTCTTATTAAAGGTTGGGACCAGGTGAGTCAATCAGTTACCTTCTGGATTGCCATAGGTTGAATGGTGATCTCCACCTGTAAGCAGAAAAGGATGCTCGTGTTTATTCAGCAGAGCTTATGGAGGGCTTTATATTGCCGGGCACTGTTGAGGATGCAACTATGAACACAGCACACAGATCTCTGTTTTCAGGGAATTTACATTCTTGTGGGGGGAGGGGGACAGCCAAGCAGCATAAGGAGGAGGAATGTGAATGTGTATGCCATGTCTAATGGTCATTAGCGGAATGGGGATAATACCAGGGAGAGGCAGATTCAGCTTTAATTTCAGGATTGGAGAGTCTACATACATGCGCATGCAAAACACACACAGGCTGACAACCCCATGGACACACATGTACACACATACACGCCATTCATACACACTCACATGCAACACACACTGACATGCACAAATGTGTGTGCACGTGCATACACACATGCAGCATGCAACAAACGTGCAACACACAGGCAGACAAGCACACATACACATATGCACACACACATGCATTTACACACATGTGCAACATGTAAATACAAATGCAACACAGAAGCACACATGCCCTCAATGTGCACATCCACACACATGCACATCCCACATATCCCCACATACACACACATGCACATACCACACACACAGGCAACAAAAGCACATATAAAGCACAATTCGCCTAAACAAACACATGTACACATGTGTGCATATGCACACACTGATGTGTGCACATGTTAACACCTGTATGCATAAACACATGCATGTACACACAAATATGCACACACACATAAACACATTCATGTGTTTATGTGTGTGCCTGTACACATGCATGTGTACACACAATCCACATGCACAGATGCACATGATATATTCATGCAGTATGCACATACCACACGAGCACACCCAGATGCACACTCCTGCATCTATCCACATGCACACATGTGCTTGCACACCCCTAAATGTATGCATGTGAATGGACACACACGGGAAACATGCAATGCATATGCAACCCAAGCACAAACATGCACACATGCAAAATCCACAAGCACATGCCAACACATCTGTGCACATACACAAACATGCATCGCTCAATCCACATGTGTGCACACAGACACTTGCACACGTGCATATGAAATCCACATGCACTTATGCACATGATTACAAAATCCACATGCACATGTACACATGCATGCACACACAATACACACAAGCATACCTGTGTGTGAACACATATGCATACACACACACGTGCACACACATGCACCCAGTAAAACCTGTAAGTGGGCCATAGTTCCTTTCAAGAAATTAAGTCCTCAGGGCATGCACAACATCTTCCCCCAGCATGGATGACCAAGGAAAATGCAAATTAAAGACCGGAACGGCCAGTTAGTGGTTGTGCATTGGATAAAAGCATGAGCTTCACATCAGTGCAGACAGTGTGTTAGTTATTTGCAAATGGACAGTTTTGCCTCACATATTCTGTAAGACATAATTCTTTTTCCGTAAGTATTTCCATAACAAGAGTTGGGTCTATAGCCCCCTCTTCCTGCAGGATAGAAAAGAGACCATGAAATGCTAGCTATTGCTCAGGAAGTCTACGTGATCTTACAGAAACAAGCAGGTCAGCAAACCTGAAGCAAGATGCTCTTAAAGGCTGCAGAGATTCCAATGGCTCTCCCAAGGCTAGGGAAGGTGCACAGGTGCCATCTGGCCCTTGTTTACTGTTTACACTGGTGGCTGAAGGTGCATTAGATGTGCATCCCTGAGGGTCTGGAGGCCTGACATAGATGGCCAAATGTGTTTTATTTGGCATAAAACAAATGCCCACAAATGTTGGTTAAAAAAAAGAGAATAGGATGAAAACGCAGGCCATAAGTAGGAATCATAACCCATTAAAAAAAAGAGTTCCTCCAGGTTGGGTGTGGTGGCTCACACCTGTAATCCTACCACTTTGGGAGGCCAAGGCAGTAAGACCACTTGAGCTCAGTTGGAGCCCAGCCGGAGAAACATAGCAAGA
Organism: Homo sapiens; assembly: GCF_000001405.40. Taxonomy (NCBI): domain Eukaryota; kingdom Metazoa; phylum Chordata; class Mammalia; order Primates; family Hominidae; genus Homo; species Homo sapiens. The sequence continues at coordinate 12,445,271 of NC_000024.10, forward strand.
CCCCATTTCTACTAAAAATAAAATTTTTAAAAAATTAGCTGTGTGTGGTGATGTGCACCTGTAGTCTCAGCTACTTGGGAGACTGAGGCAAAAGATTGCTTGAACCCAGGAGGTGGAGGCTGTGATCTATGATCACATCCCTGCACTCCAGGCTGGGCTACAGAGTGAGATTTTGTCTCAGAAAAACAACAACAAAAAAGTTTTTCTATATTTTTCTAATGTGTTAAGAGCAATTTTTAAAAATACAGATTTGAGATTTTTAAAACTAATGCTTTGTGCTGATTTTGAAGTGGAACAACTTATGTGGATAGTGGGTTCTATGGGCTGAACTATATCCCCCTCCAAATTCACAGGTCGCAGTCCTAACCCCCAGGGCATCAGACTGTGGCTGTATTTGAACACAACGTCTTTAGACAGCTGATTAAAATAAAACGAGATCACTAGGGTTGGCCCTAATCCAATAGGACTACAGACCTTATAAGAAGAGGAGATGAGGACACAGACACACACAGAGGGATGACCCTGTGAGGACACAGGGAGAAGATGGTGTCTACAAGCCAAGGAGGGAGGCCTCAGGAGGAACCAGCCCTGCTCACACCTTTATCTTGGACCTCCAGCCTCTAGGACTGTGAGAGAACCAATGTCTGTTGTGTGTAAGCCACCCCGTCTATAGTATTCTGTGATAGCAGCCTGAAATGGACTAAGACATCTCATAAGAAGAGGAGATTGGAACACAGACACACACAGAGGGACGACCCTGTGAGGACACAGGGAGAAGATGGTGTCTCCAAACCAAAGAGAGAGGCCTCAGGAGGAACCAGCCCTGCCCACACCTTGATCTTGGACCTCCAGCCTCTAGGGCTGTGGGAGAATCAATGTCTGTTGTCTATAAGCCACCAGTCTATAGTATTCTGTGATAGCAGCCTGAAATGGACTGAGACATCTCATAAGAACAGGAGGTTTTAACACAGACACCCACAGAGGGACGACCCTGTGAGGACACAGGGAGATGATGATGTCGACGAGCCCAGGAGAGTGGCTTCAGGAGGAACCAGCCCTGCTCACATCTTGATCTCAGATTTCCAGTCTCCAGGACTGTGGGAGAAGAAAACCCTTTTGCTTCAGCCCTCCTGACTCTAGTAATTTACAATGGCAGCCTTAGCAGACAAGAGAAACTTGTCCACCAGTATTTAAAAACGACGAGCGCAACATTTTCTCCCCAGTCTCCGCAGGGAGGCCAGACTTTGGGCTTCCCTCCGCGGCCAGCCAAGGTCAGCCCTCACCCCTCAGTGCTCTGCATGAAGCCAGAACAAGCCTAACACTCTCTGCCTCCTTTGGGGATTCGGGGAGAAGCCGCGTGACTCATCCCATGGCGGCGGCTTGCATCCCAGCCGGCACCTCCATGCTGATGCTAATCTGAGCGCTGACTCACAGCCTCGCTCTGCCGGGGCTGGAGAGCAGGGGTCCAGGCAGGAAGGGGAGCACAGGCATCCTCAAAAACAAGCGTCATGCTCCCAAAACTGGGCTGTGCCTCATGCACGCCTGATGCTCTTGGCCCAGCTGCTGCTTCCACCGGGCCCTGGCCCTGCCAAGGACCACAGGGCTATCTGCTATATTCCGGCAGTTTTGCCCCAGGGATACAGCAGCACCCTGACCAGTAAGCTTTGATCCATTCGGGAGCCAGATAATGGTCCCCCAAAAATGGCACAGCGCAGACCTCCCGAGACTAACTTCACAGGAAAACAGGAAACGATCAGGGCTCTCAGGGGAGCCGCTTGCTGAATCATTTCTTTCTAACTGATGAGTATGCCAGAGAACAAAAGAACATGTCCTGAATAGCTCCTTACAGAGAGAAGTTTCAGAGAATCGTGCATGAGGTGAAAAGGCTCATTCGTAGGCTGTAGGGGTGTGGGGACGGCTCGCTTTATATAACACGCTCCAAGGTGGGCCGGATGTGGTGGTGCAGGCCTGTAATCCCAGCACTTATGGAGGCCAAGGTAGGAGGATCGCTTGAGCCCAGTTCAAGACCAGCCTGGGCAATGTGGCGAAACCACCTTTGCAAAAATTGTAACTGAGGAAATGATGACAGTGAAAGAGGCCAGACCTAACCGACTCCATCTTGTTTCTAACCCTTAAGCTGTCCTTGTTCATTCCTCGGCATAGGCCCAACTAACTTTGGGAAGGAATTCAGTTCATGGTTTGACTCTGAAACAAGATTGATCATAGCCTTTTCCTGAAAACACCTCCTTCTTGCCTGGGGACCAGCTGGACTTTGTAGAACGAACAAATTAGCTACAAGATTAAAAACTATAGGGCTGGGCGCACTGGCTCAAGCCTATAATCCCAGCACTTTGGGAGGCCGAGGAGGGTGGATCGCCTCAGGTCAGGAGTTCGAGACCAGCCGGAACAATATGGTGAAACCCCGTCTCTGGTAAAAATACAAAAATTAGCCGGGCATGGTGACATGTGCCCGTAGTCCCAGCTACTGGGGAGGCTGAGGCAGGAGAATTGCTTGAACCAGGGAGGCAGAGGATGCAGTGAGCCAAGATCACGCCACTGCACTCAAGCCTGGGCAACAGAGTGATACTCTGTCTCGAAAAAAAAAAGAAAAGAAAAGAAAAGAAAAATTATGGTTTAGAGGACATGCAGCCTCTGGCTCAAGAGTCTGAACCTCTGCAAATTGCTCCTGGGGGTAACATCACCATTGTAAAATGTAAGTGCGGTATTTGAGATATTTTGCAGCCTCTGCACTGGATGGATCAGCTGGCACCACCCAGCCCGGTAATCTGGCTCAACCAGTTCCGCCATCCACCCAGGAACAGAAAACAGCAAGAAAACCTCACTTCAACCCCCTATGGTTCCCTCTGCAACCTGACCAATCAGCCCTCCCCACTTCCCAAGCCCCTACCCGCCAAATTATCTTTAAAAACTCTGGACCCTGAATGCCTGGGGAGACTGATTTGAGTAATAATAAAACTCTGGTCTCTGGCACAGCTGGCTCTGCATGAATTACTCTTTCTCCATTACAATTCCTCTGTCTCGATAAATCGGCTCTGTCTAGGCAGGGGGCGAGGTAAACCCATTGGGCAGTTACAAAAGTGAGATCCTATCTCTACAAAAATTTTTTTTTTAATTTAGCTGGGTATGATGGTGTGTGCCTGTAGCCCCAGCTCCTCAGGAGGCTGAGGTGGGAGGATCACTTGAGCCCAGGAGTTTGAGGCTGCAGTGAGCTATGATTGCACCACTGCACTCCAGCCTGGGCAACAGAGTAAGACTCTGTCTCTAAATAAATAAGTAATAGAATAATAAAAAACTACTCCCAGTGGCTTTCTGTAAAAACATTTAATTTGGTCTTTGCCTGACATTTTCAGTTAAATTGAAACCGCCTTTGCAAAAATTATAACAGTAAGAAAATTACGACAGTGAAAGAGATCTGACCTAACCGACTGCATCGTGCCTGTAGCCCTCAAACAGCCCTAGTTCATTCCTGAACACAGACTCAGATAACCATAGGAGGAATGTCCAGCTTAACATTCAAACAAAGATAACAGCTCTTTTCTGAAACAAACTCCCTTCTTCCCCGGGGATCAGACTGCCTTTGAAAGACTAACAAATTAGTCACAAGATTAGAAATTATATTAATAGGTTAGGAGCCATGCAGCCGGAGGCCACAAGATTCCAAACCTCTTCAGTTGCTCCTAGGGATGGCATCACTATTGTAAAACCTAAGGTTGAAGTTGAGATATTTTTTAAACCCTGCATTGAGATGCACCAGCCGGCACCACCCAGACTGGTAATGCGGCTCAGCGAGCTCTGCCGTCCCACACAAGAACAGAAGACAACAAAAAGAATCCATGTCCATCCTCTGTGACTCTACTGCCAACTAACCAATCAGCATTCCCCATGCCCAGGTCTCCTACCAGCGAAATTATACTTTGAAAAACCCTGTGTCCACATTTTGGGTGAAGCTGATTTGAGTCGTAAAACTCCAGTCTTGGCTAGGTGCAGTGGCTCATGCCCATAATCCCAGTTCTTTGGGAGGCTGAGGTGGGAGAAACACTTGAGGCCAGGAGTTAAAGACCAGCCTGGGCAACATAGTGAGACCCCATCTCTACAAAAATTTTTTAAAAATTAGGCAGTTGTGGTGGCATACACCTGTGGTCCTAGCTACACGGGAGGCTGAGGCGGGAGGATCGCTTGAGCCCAAGAGGTTGAGGCTGTAGTGAGCTATGATTTCACCACTGCAGTCCAGCCTGGGTAACAAAATGAAACCCTGTTTAAAGAAAAAAAAGCAAAACCTCCAGTTGATATAGGAGTTAAGAAGGAATTACTTTATTACTTAGGCACATAGCAAGGGTATGGGAGTCCTTGATAAGGCTCTTCTTTTTAATGAAAAGCAGCCCCAAATCATTTCATAACAAAAAGCAGCCTGTAAAGTTGAGCTGCAGACATAGACAAGCCAGCTAGAAGCCTGCATGGGTGAATGCCAGCAGGAACTAGGGCCTAGACATGTTCAAGATGGCAGCTTCATCTTCCCTCCTCTTTGTCAGCCCTATGTACAGTAAGAAGCAGACAAGATGGCACTGACCAACTGGAAAGCCCATTTACATAACAAGATTAGGGTGGGGCCACCAGCCTTCCCCACACACTATGTAGAAGTCATACCTGATTGAACCAATCTGTGAGCCCTGTGTAAATCAGACACCGCCTCCTCCAGCCTGCCTATAAAAGCTGCTGTGGTCCACAACCTCCCAACTTTTTCAGACGTTTCTCTCTCTCTCTCACAAGAAGATGCTCTCCTCTCTCCTTTCTTCTATCAAACTTTCAACTCCTTAACCCACTCACATGTGTCCGTGTCCTGAATTCTTTCTCAGGATGTGACAATGAACCCCAGGGTATGTACCCCAGACAGCATAGCTGCTTCACAGGTTCCCGTTCAGTCAGCTCTGTGTGAATTAAACTCTTTTTCTATTGTAATTCCTGTCTTAATAAATCAGGTCTATCTAGGTAGTAGGTAAGGGGAACCCCTTAGGTAGTTACAGAAAGATGGTGGAAGGAACCCATAATATGTGGAGTTGAAGGTGGTCAATTCTTTTTTTGTGTTCTTTTTTTGTTTTGAGACATTCCATGGCCCAGGCTGGAAGGCAGTGGTGCTATCATGGCTCACTGCAGCCTCAAACTTCCAGGGTCACTTCAAACTCCTGACTAGCTGGGACCACAGGTACACACTTCCATGCCCAGCTAATTTTTGCTTTTTTTTTTTTTTTTTTTTTTTTTTTTTTTTTTTTTTTTTGGTAGAGGCAGGGTTTCACTATTTTGCCCAGGCTGATCTTGAACTCCTGAACTCAAGCGGTCCACCTACCTTGGCGTGGGATTACAGGCGTGGGCCACCATGCCCGGCCAAAAGTGGACAGTTCTTGACCTCAGGTAATAAGCACCTTGTCATGAGCCCCCTCCCACCCTGAAGCTTGTCTGTGTCATAGGAAGTGAGTTCTGAGGATGGGCTACATATAGGGCCACAGCTATTGCTCCTTTGAAGTGGACGGTTGAGTGTCGTGCATTGTTTTCATTTTGTTAAATGGATCTGATGACAATACTCGCTTCAGAGTGTAATGAAGATGACGGACATCAAAAAATTTTACTCCAAAATATATTGCTTTGCCTTATTTTGAAATTGCCGCTCCAGGACCAGCAGACTGAGGTGGGGAAATTGGCATCTGTAGAGGATCTTTGCTGTTGCAGCCAGGCCTTCCCTTTCTAAGCTTTTCCTGGATGTAGGAGAGAGAAACGGAGACTCTGACACCTTTACAGGTCTAAAAAGAAACATTTACCATGGTCGTCTCTAATGGCTGCTACCTGGGAACCTTCATCTGCATAACAAGGACCCCCTTGCTAAGCAGGCCTCTTCCTGTCTCCCTCTCATCACCTGGCTTGCCACCCATTAAACCTGCTTTACCAACATCACCTATTTGGGGCCATGCTCTGAGCCCACATTCTTCCTGCAAAGAACAGCAAATAGCAAATTCAAATAGCAAAGTCATGGTATCAACCTAGGTTCCCATCAATGGTAGACTGGACAAGGAAAATGTGGCCCATATACATTGTGGAATATTACACATCCATAAAAAAGAACAAGATCATGTCCTTTGCAGCAACATGGATAGAGCTGCTGGCCATTCTCCTAAGCAAACTAATGCGGGAACAGAAAACCAAATACCATGTGTTCTCATTTACAAGTGGGAGCTAAACACAGAGTACGCATTGTGAAAGGAAATTAAATTTTGTGATCCTGAACTCATTTAGTCAAAGGGAAAAGTCAAGCTGGGAAGTGGGTCACACAAACCTGCCTCCCCCTTTTGGTTCCTAAATAAAATGGCTACAAGATGAAAAGCTACATGTCTCCCCCATATTTTGCCCACAAGGAAAATCCTAATGAGCTGTTAAGATTTCACCATGACAATGTATATCGATAGCTTATCTTTACAGGTGCAGTAACCCCCACCCACCAGACACAAATCATATGTGATTGCTCCCCTGCCCCATTTTGTCCAGATTATCTTATGCAGCATGCAGATTCCCTGCATTTTCCCTCTACCCCATTTGTCTATGTCATCTTATGTAAAAAACACAGATTCACTGAGCCAGACAAAAGCATGAATAACTATTTTCCCTACCCACCTCTTCCATGAAAATTATGTACTTCTTAATTTCCCGCCCTTTCCCCTTTAAATTTGCAGCCTTCAAAATCGTCTTCGGAGAAGGCCACAGACCTGTCTCCTGGGTGCATGTCCTTAACCTTAACTTTGGCAAATAAATCTTTTACACTCGTCTCATCATTTTTCTTGATTGACAACATAGACACAAAGAAGGGAACACCAGACACCAGGGCCTACTTGAAGGCAGAGGGTGGGAGGAGAGTGGGGATGGGAAAACTACCTATCAGGTACTATGCTTATTACCTGGGTGATGACATAATCTGTACACCAATCCCCTGTGACAAACAATTTACCTATATAACAATGCTACACAAGGACCCCTGAACCTAACATCAAAGTTAAAAAAGATGGTCTATAAGCTTTTGCATCCCATTGGTGATTGAGTCTTGGTTCTGAAGGTTTGCATGTATATCCACTCAATAAATTTATACGTTTTTTTCTCCTGTTAATTAAGCTGCCTCATTTCAGTGATTCAGAGAAAACTTAGGGGGCCAAGAGCCTTGGCTCTCACAAAGCCTAATCAGACTATATCAAAAAAAAGAAAAGAAAAGAAAAGAAAAAAGTACTTCCCACATTACCAGAGCTCTTGGCACGTATTAGTTTTTGTTTGTTTGTTTGTTTTAGTATTTATTGATCATTCTTGGGTGTTTCTCAGAGAGGGGAATGTGACAGGGTCATAGGATAATAGTGGAGGGAAGGTCAGCAGACAAACATGTGAACAAGGGTCTCTGGTTTTCCTAGGCAGAGGACCCTGCGGCCTTCCGCAGTATTTGTGTCCCTGGGTACTTGAGATTAGGGAGTGGTGATGACTCTTCACGAGCATGCTGCCTTCAAGCATCTGTTTAACAAAGGACATCTTGCACCACCCTTAATCCATTTAACCCTGAGTGGACACAGCACATGTTTCAGAGAGCACAGGGTTGGGGGTAAGGTTATAGATTAACAGCATCCCAAGGCAGAAGAATTTTTCTTAGTACAGAACAAAATGGAGTCTCTCATGTCTACTTCTTTCTACACAGACACAGTAACAATCTGATTTCTCTTTCTTTTCCCCACATTTCCCCCTTTTCTTTTCGACAAAACCGCCACGTCATCATGGCCCATTCTCCCTGGTCGCTGTCTCTTCGGAGCTGTTGAGTACACCTCCCAGATGGGGCGGCCGGGCAGAGGCACTCCTCACTTCCCAGACGGGACGGCCGGGCAGAGGCGTTCCTCACTTCCCAGACAGGGCGGCCAGGCAGAGGTGCTCCTCACTTCCCAGATGATGGGCAGCAGGGCAGAGGCGCTCCCCACTTCCCAGATGGGGTGACGGCCGGGCAGAGGCGCTCCTCACCTCCCAGACAGGGCGGCCAGGCAGAGGTGCTCCTCACATCCCAGACGCGGTGGCGGCCGGGCAGAGGCGCTCCTCACTTCCCAGAAGGGGCGGCCAGGCAGAGGCGCTCCTCACATCCCAGACGCGGTGGCAGCCGGGCAGAGGTGCTCCTCACCTCCCAGACGGGGTGGCCGGGCGGAGGCGCTCCTCAAATCCCAGACGGGGTGGCTGGGCGGAGGGTCTCCTCACTTCCCAGATGACGTGGCGGCCAGGCAGAGGCACTCTTCACCTCCCAGACGGGGCAGCCAGGCAGAGGCACTCCTCACTTCCCAGACAGGGCAGCCGGGCAGAGGCACTCCTCACTTCCCAGACGGGGTGGCGGCCGGGCAGAGGCACTCCTCACCTCCCAGACGCGGTGGTGGCTGGGCAGAGGTGCTCCTCACCTCCCAGATGGGGCGGCTGGGCAGAGGCGCTCCTCACATCCCAGATGATGGGCAGCCAGGCAGAGGCGATCCTCACCTCCAAGACCGGGTGGCCAGGCAGAGGCGCTCCTCACCTCCCAGCCAGGGTGGCCGGGCAGAGGCTCTCCTCACTTCCCAGACGGGGTGGCCGGGCAGAGGCGCTCCTCACTTCCTAGATGGGGTGGCAGCCAGGCAGAGGTGCTCCTCACTTCCCAGATGGGGCGACCGGGCAGAGGGGCTCCTCACATCCTGGACCATGGGCGGCCAGGCAGAAATGCTGCTCACTTCCTAGACGGGGTGGCGGGCGGGCAGGGGCTGTAATCTTAGCACTTTGGGAGGCCAAGGCAGGCGGCTGGGAGGTGGAGGTTGTAGTGAGCCGAGATCACGCCACTGCACTCCAGCCTGGGCAACACTGAGCACTGACTGAGCAAGACTCCGTCTGCAATCTCAGCACCTCGAGAGGCCGAGGCAGGCAGATCACCCAAGGCCAGGAGCTGGAGACCAGCCTGGTCAACATGGCGAAACCCCGTCTCCATCAAAAATACAAAAACCAGTCAGGAGTGGCGGCGCGTGCCTGGAATCCCAGGCACTGGGCAGGCCGAGGCAGGAGAATCACGGGAGCCCAAGGCAGGGAGGTTGCAGCGAGCTGAGATCATGGCAGTACAGTCCAGGCTGGGCAAGAGAGGGAGACCGTAGAAAGAAGAGGGAGAGGGAGACAGAAGGAGGGGGAGGGGGAGGGGAAGAGGGAGAGGGAGAGGGGCATGTATTAGTTTTAACCAAAAAGATGGTTACTCAAGGCTGGGTGCAGTAGCTGACGTCTGTAACCCCAGCACTATGAGAGGCTGAAGAGAGCAGATCACCTGAGGTCAGGAGTTCAAGACCAGCCTGACCAACATGGTAAAACCCCGTCTCTATTAAAACTAAAAAAATTAGCCAGGCACAGTGGCTCATGCCTGTAATCCCAGCGCTCTGGGAGGCTGAGGCAGATGGATCACCTGAGGTCAGGAGTTCAAGACCAATCTGACCAACATGGTGAAACCCTGTGTCTACTAAAAATACAAAAATTAGGGGGAGCTGGTGGCACATGCTTGTAATCCCAGCTACTTGGAGGCTGAGGCAGGAGAATCATTTGAACCCGGGAGGCCAAGGTTGCAGTGAGCAGAGATTGCACCACTGCACTCCAGCCCGGGCAACAAGTGAAACCCTGTCTCAAAAAAAAAAAAAGAAAGAAAAGATGGTTACTCAATTCATTGAAGGTGTGCAAAACTGTTAACAAAGAGAAAATGTTAAACTCAACCAAGCGAAGAACCCCTGTTTATGGCTCCTGTAGAACACTGCTTTAATTCTGGGCATAACCACCACCCAAAAGTGTTTTCTTGCTTTTTTCTTTTCTTTTATTTATTTATTTATTATTATTATTAATTTTTTTTTTGAGACAGGATCTCAGTCTGTCACCAAAGCTGGAGTACAGTGGCACAATCTTTTTGTTTGTTTTTTGAGATGGAGTCTCGCTCTGTCGCCCAGGCTGGAGTGCAGTGGTGCGATCTCGGCTCACTGCAAGCTCCTTCTCCCAGGTTCAAGCCATTCTCCTGCCTCAGCCTCCCGAGTAGCTGGGACTACAGGTGCCTGCCACCACGCCCGGCTAATTTTTTGTATTTTTAGTAGAGATGGGGTTTCACCGTGTTACCCAGGATGGTTTCTATCTCCCGACCTTGTGATCCGCCCAGCTCGGCCTCCCAAAGTGCTGGGATTACAGGCGAGAGCCACCACGCACGGCCGGCAGGATCTTATCTCTCTCTGCTCACTGAAGCCTGGACCTCCTGGGCTAGAGGGATCCTCCTACCTCCGCCTTCTGAGTAGCTGGAAGTACAGGCACGTGCCACCACGCCTGGCTAATTTTTGCATATATATATATTTTTTGTAGAGACAGGGTTTTGCCATGTTGCCCAGGCTGGTCTCAAACTCCTGGGCTCAAGCAATCGCTCCCACCTCGCCCTCCCAAAGTGCTGGGATGACAGGCATGAGCCACCGCGCCCGGCCATTGAAAGTGTTTTCTATTCTGTTTGAAGTAAGTGAACTGCGCCCCTACTCTCTCTCTGTAATTAGTTGTATAGTTCTTTGCTCTGTTTACTTTTACCTAAAGGGGTGTGTGTGTGTGTGTGCGTGCATGTATGCGTGTGTGTATGTGTGGCTGCACCCACCCTCCTGGGGAACAGAAGCGGAACAGCCCAGCACAGACAGGTTCTCAGAAGACCAGACACCAGCACACAGCACCCTACTCACCAAAGACTCTAGGTAGAAGGCCCAGGGCAGAATGCAACTGGGAGCCCTAGAAAGATGACCCATCTGGCCCTCCGCCCACCGCGTGCCTAGATGTGGGGGCACCGTGCGTGTTGCCGAACTTGTTATAACTGGAGTAGCCACCGCCACCACCTCCTGTTAGACAGAGAAGGTAGAGCTGAGGGATGTTCAGGTGTCCGAGCGTGGGGTTTCCTGCAGGTGTTGGTCTGTCCAGCTCGTTGGGAATGGCAACAAGTCGTGTGAACGTGTCACTGCCAAGAGAGCTCCAAAGAGTGACCAGCAGGGGAGAGTCAAGGGTGGCCCCACCAAAGCTTCCTCTTCCCCGTGGGAAAACTCATGCCAACACTGAGCTCTAGCTATCAAAAACACTTGCCGTCACGGGACTAACATTTACCCTGGGGACTCCAAATTCACGCAGGCGCACCCGCTTCCTGCCGAGAAACTGATATGAGATCAGCCACCCCGACGCCGGATTAGGAGGACCTTCCAGCAGATGGTCTCAATCTTAAATGTTCTCAGTTTCTCCTTTCAAAAATAACTAGTAATTTTTAATTTATTCCTGATCGTTATTGTAATAAATTCTAAGACAGTGCTTTTATTTATTGCAAGTAAACACGGCAGAAAAGGTGACTGGATGCAATCTGGTTGTCTGAAGGATGCAGATCCAGCTTTGCAAAACAGCTGGGACAAGTCCTTTACGTCTTCTAAAATAATATTGCAGAACTAAACAGACCAGAAATCTCACATGCTTGAAAATAAAGCCTCAAACATCACACTCTTCAGCCCAATGTTGCATGCATCTCTATCTCCTATTGTCTGTACTTGTATTTCTATATGAAAGATTCTTGGCAGACATTCACCTCCAATTATAGAGAAAATTTTATATTAGAAGTGTTTATATATGTCTGTGTGTATAAAGATACACGTACATATATAAAGGTATACACACACACACACACAAAAATACCTAAATGTATATACACATATACATGAAGGGACCTATACACACATATATAAAACAGTATGCATACATATATAAAGGTACACACATACATATAAATATGGAAACATATGTAAGCTATATATGCATACATATATGGAAAGACATATACAAAAGTGTGTATATACGAAGAATGCATATATACACATAAAATATATACTTATATAAGATATGTATACATATATAAAGGTTATATATAGATATATAAATACATTTATGAAGATATTTATACATATAAAGACATATGCATATATAAAAGTGTATATATAAATGTATGCATAGATACATAAAGGTATATATGTACATATATAAAGATATATAAAGATATAATTATATATGTATAAAAATATATATTTATATAACATACACATAAAATATAAAATGTATATGATGTATATAAGGTTATATTAAAGATATATATAAAGATACATTAAAAGATATACATATAGACCAGTTGCAGTGGCTCACACCTGTAATCCCAGCACATTGGGAGGCCAAGCCGGGTGGATCAGGAAGTCAGGAGTTCAGGACCAACCTGGCCAAAATGGTGAAGCCCCATCTTTACTAAAAATACAAAAATTAGCAGGGCGTGCTAGCAGCACCTGTAATCCAAGCTTCTTAGGAGTCTGAGGCAGAGAATTGCTTGAACCCGGGAGGCAGAGGTTGTAGTGAGCCACAGTCATGCCACTGCACTCCAGCCTGGGCAACAGAGTGAGACTCCATCTCAAAAATGTATGTGTATATATATAGTTAGATACATATATAAAGACATTTATATACCTATATAAAGATATATACACATGTATATATAAAGTTTTGTGTATATATAACATATATAAAAGTATATACACATAAAGGTATATGTGTATGTGTACATAGGTACATTTATACACACATATAAAGAAAAACATATGTATTTATAAAAGTGTATATATAAATATATACATACATATATAAAAGCAAATAGACATAAAGGTATGTATGTACATATGTAAAATATACATAAAGGAATATATTTAATTATATATGTAAAGATATATATAACACACATAAAATATAAAAATGTATATAAAATGTATATGTATTTAAAGATATACATGAAGATATATATTTTAAAAAGATATATTAAAAGATATACATATAAATACATAAATATATATAAAAACATATATCTGCATATAAAGATATATACAGATATAAATCATGTACCTATGTAAAGATATACATAGGCATACATATAAAGTCAGGAATATACATATATAAAAACATAGAAAGGTATCTACATAGTGTATATATACAAAAGCATGTATTTATACACATGAAAAAACCCATATACCTACATATGCAAATGTATTTATATCCATTTAAAAGTAATATACACACAAATATAAAGATATATAAACATTTATATACACACAAATGAAGATTGATAAGCATGCAGATACACAAAGGTGTGTCTGGACATATACACCCACACTTACACATATACAAGTCTAAACAGAAATGACCACAAGTGTTTCAGTGGACCCTCCAGGTCTACCTTTTCATTTTGTTTCCATCCAATTCACTAGCCTGGGGAAGAAGACAGATGCCCAGACTGCAAACCCCACTGATACAGCCATGGAGCCTTCTCCTTCATCCCCTGCACTAGCCTGTAGTCTACCCGTGACCAACTTTTCCCCAATCTCAGGCCTCTCATCCCACCTTCTCTGCACAAATTCAACGTGTCGCATGTGGAGAGGCTCAGCACCTACCTGCAGGCGTCACTCTGCCCAGCTAATTTTGTATTTTTAGTAGAAACGGGTTCACCATGTTGGCTGCTGGTCTCGAACTCAGGTAATCCATCTGAAGAGACCCTGGCCTCCCAAAGTGCTGGGATTACAGGTGTGAAGAACATTTTTTTTTTTTTTTTTTTTTTGAGACAGGGTCTTGCTCTGTCTTCCAGGCTGGAGTGCTGTGGTGTGATCTCGGCTCACAGCAGCCTCCACTTTGTGGGTTCAAGTGATTCTCCTGCCTCAGCTTCCCAAGTAGCTGGGATTACAGGCATGTGCCACTATGCTCGGCGAATTTTTGTATTTTTAGTAGACACAGGGATTCACCATGTTGCTCAGGCTGGTGTCAAACTCCTGACCTCAAGTGATCTGCCCACCTTGGCTTCCCAAAATGCTGGGATTACAGGCATGAGCCACTGTGCCTGGCCCCAAACACTTCTAAAATGGATTTTAATACTCATTATCAGGCTGGGCCACAATAGCTTGTGCCTGTAATCCCAGTATTTTGGGAGACTGAGGCAGAAGACTGTTTGAGACCAGGAGTTCAGGACTAGCCTGGACAACATAGCAAGATCCTGTCTCTGCAAAAAATTTTAAAAATAGCCACACATGCTGGTGCACCTCTGTAGTCCCAGCTACTTGAAAGGCTGAGGGAGGAAGATTGCTTGAGCCCAGGAGTTCGAGGCTGCGATTACATCACTTCACTCCAGCCAGGGCAACAGAGCGAGACACTGTCTCCAAAATAAACAATAAAATAAAATAGTAAAATAACATAGTATCAAATAAAATACTAAAATAAAGTAAAATAACATAGAATGAAATAAAATACTAAAATAAAAAAATAAAAATAAATAAAAAATACTCATTACCTCCACTGTTGCCAGAATTGCTGGGGTTGAGGGCATGGCTTCAGCTTTGGGTAGATATCTGTTGGGAAACAACAGGATGATTTCAGAAAATAATGATATCTTTCGGGGAAATACCATCTATAAACAAGAATGCCAAAATACAGAAAAGGTGTAACCATCCATCGCTTTTAAGGAGCTTATTAATCATGTAGACAATATTCACAATACCACCTCAGAGCTTACAATTAAAAAAATAAACTTCTATTTTTGTACCCTAAACTTACTCCCTTGGTCCTTTTGCAAGAAGTCCAAGGCTCTCTGAAATTAACAGGGCAGGAAGTGTGTTGTTGACCTTTCCCTGTTTAGGGCCATTACAAATGCCAGCATGGTTTATAGAAGTCACTCACCAATATTAGGATGAAACATCTGACCTTTTGATAGTGTGTTATATTTCCATCTTGCTTGAGTTACACCCTTTCATTTGAATTTGTTTTGTTGTTGTTTGTTTTGAGACAGAGTCTTGCTCTGTTGCCTAGGCTGGAGTGCAGTGGTGCAATCATAGCTCCCTGCAGCCTCAACTTCCTGGGCTCAAACAATCCTCCCACCTCAGCCGCCCATGTAGGTCAGACTACAGGTGCACACCACCATGGTTGGCTAATTTTTTAAAATTTTTGTAGAGACAGCGTCTTGCTTTGTTGCCCAGGCTGGTCTCAAACTCCTGGCCCCAAGCAATTGTCCCATCTTGCCTTCCCAAAGAGCTAGAATCATCATAGGCCTGAGCCACACTGAGTCTGGCTTCATTTAAATTTCTTAAAACTTTTTGTAATGACTTTTACATGTTCCTGAAGTTTACCATCAGCTTTCTGCCCCAGGACATTTTTTTTAAGATGCAGTCTTACTCTATTGCCCAGGCTGGAGTGCAGTGGCACAATCTTGGCTCACTGCAACCTCCACCTCCTGGGTTCAAACAGTTCTCATGCCTCTGCCTCCCGAGTAGCTGAGATTGTAGGTGGGCACCACCATGCCTGGGCAATTTTTGTATTTTTAGTAGAGATGGGGTTTCACTATGTTGGCCAGGCTGGTCTCGAACTTCTGACCTCAGGTGATCTGCCCACCTTAACCTCGCAAAGTGCTGGGATTACAAGCATGAGCCCCCACTCCCAGCCCTGCCCCAGGACTTTTGCAGGTGACATTACTTCAGTCATGACCCCTCCTGTTCCCTGTCCACCACTTTACATGCTCCCTAAATATTTGAAGAACACATTTGTCACCTGGAAAAACATTAGCTCGTCCCTCCTGTCTCAGCTTAAATGTCTTTTGACCCGATTCAAGCAGCCGAAATGAAATAATCAGTGCAAGCTCTTTGTACAACATGAGTCTGTATCTTCAGCACCTTTTTTGTCGCTGGACTAGAAACTTTATTTTCTGTACCCATTTTATATTCCTGGTACCTGGCACTGCCAGTACCTGGCAAGTGCTTATCCACATTGGCTCAAGAGTGAAATTACTTTAATTCACAAAAAAGGCAAGGGTGCTGTTCTCAAAGTCCTTCCTCAGGACAGACGTCTCAGAACACTGGAAATCTAGGCTGAGAATGACTAGTTTTTCACTTCTCAAAATAGTCTCTCTCTCTTTCTCTTTCTCTCTTGAGACAGGGTCTTACTCTGTTGCTTAGGCTGGAGTGCAGTGGTGCAATCATAGCTCACTGCAGCCTCCACCTCCTGGATTCAAGTGATCCTCCTGCCTCAGCCTTCTGAGTATAGCTGGGACTGCAGGCATGGAGTATCATGCCTTGCCAAGATTCTCTTTTTTTGTTGTTTTTTGAGACAGAGTCTTGCTCTGCTGCCCAGGCCGGAGTGCAGTAGTGCTATCTCAGCTCACTGCCACTACCACCTCCCGGATTCAAGCAATTCTCCTGCCTCAGCCTCTTGAGTGGCTGGCATTACAGGTATGCACCACCATGCCCAGCTAATTTTTGTATTTTTAGGAGAGTCAGGGTTTCACCATGTTGGCCAGGCTCGTGTTGAAATCCTGACTTCAGATGATCCACCCACTTCAGCCTCTGAAAGGGCTGGGATTACAGACGTGAGCCACAACACCCAGTCTAGACTCTCTTTTGAAGTCTCTAAAATGATACAAATGTGGGAAATTATGGAAACTTGGGGGCCAAAGAGAGAGTGGGGATGGGACACAAGGGAGCTTTGGTTTCCAGGCCAGAAGGCACTGCCCAGAGCTCATGAGCTGCATATTGGTGGCTTGGTTCAGGAAGTCTCTTGGTACCTCACTTTAAGGTCAGTCCTCCCTCAAAATGCCTTCTTCTGTGAGCTTCCCTCCTCCATTCACACACAGAATCACCAACTGCATTGATTCCTGGGCTTACTGCTGAGGCCTTTCTCCTTGGCTTGTAGACACCATCTTCTCCGTGTGTCCTCACAGGGTCGTCCCTCTGTGTGTGTCTGTGTCCTCATCTCCTCTTCGTATGAGGTGTCTTAGTCCATTTCAGGCTGCTATCACAGAATACTATAGACTGGGAGGCTTGTAAACAATAGAGATTGATTCTCCGGAAGTCCTGGAGGCTAGGAGTCTGAGATCAAGGTGTGAGCTGGTCTGGCCTCCTAAGGCCTCTCTCCTGGGCTTGTAGATGCCGTCTTCTCCCTGTGTCTTCATATAATCTTTCCTCTGTGTGTGTCTATATCCTCATCTCTTCTTATTAGGATACCAGTCCTATTGGGTCAGGACCCACTCTAGTGACCTTATTTTACCTTAATCTCCTCCTTAAAGACCCTGTCTCCAAAGACAATCATATTCTGAGGAAACTGGGAGTTAGGACTTCACGCTCTGAATTTGTGGGGAGACTTAATTTATCTCATAACAGATTGCATCAAATGGAATCCTTGCCTGTCTTGCTACTTTTAAGACAACATGGAGCCAGACATGGTGGGTCACGCCGGTAATCCTAGTGTCAGGCCTCTGACCCCAAGCTAAGCCATCATATACATACAACATATATGTATACATGTTACCTGCATGTATACATCCAGATGGCCTAAAGTAACTGAAGAATAACAAAAGAAGTGAAAATGGCCTGTTTGTGCCTTAACTGATGGCATTCCACCACAAAAGAAGTGAAAATGGCCAGTCCCTGCCTTAACTGATGACACTACCTTGTAAAATTCCTTCTCCTGGCTCAAAGGCTGAAGGGGTGGGTTGCCCCTCCACACCTCTGGGTGCTTCTCCTTAGGTGGAATGAGAGACTTGGAAAAGAAAAAGACACAGAGACAAAGTATAGAGAAAGAAATAGGGGGACCCAGGGAACCAGTGTTCAGCATATGGAGGATCCCACCAGCCTCTGAGTTCCCTTAGTATTTATTGATCGTTCTTGGGTGTTTCTCAGAGAGGGGGATGTGGCAGGGTCATAGGATAATAGTGGAGAGAAGGTCAGCAGATAAACACGTGAACAAAGTTCTCTGCATCATAGATAAGGTAAAGAATTAAGTGCTGTGCTTTAGATATGCATACACATAAACATCTCAATGCCTTACAGAGCAGTATTGTTGCCCGCATGTCCCACCTCCAGCCCTAAGGCGGTTTTCCCCTATCTCAGTAGATGGAACATACAATCGGGTTTTATACTGAGACATTCCATTGCCCAGGGACGAGAAAGAGACAGATGCCTTCCTCTTGTCTCAACTGCAAAGAGGCATTCCTTCCTCTTATACTAATCCAATTCAGCAAAGACCCTTTACGGGTGTTGGGCTGCGGGACGGTCAGGTCTTTCCCTTCCCACAAGGCCATATTTCAGACTATCACATGGAGAGAAACCTTGGACAATACCTGGCTTTCCTAGGCAGAGGTCCCTGCGGCCTTCCGCAGTGTTTGTGTCCTTGGGTACTTGAGATTAGGGAGTGGTGAAGACTCTTAACGAGCATGCTGCCTTCAAGCATCTGTTTAACAAAGCACATCTTGCACCGCCCTTAATCCATTTAACGCTGAGTGGACACAGCACATGTTTCAGAGAGCACAGGATTGGGGGTAAGGTTATAGATTAACAGCATCTCAAGGCAGAAGAGTTTTTCTTAGTACAGAACAATGTGGAGTCTCCTATGTCTACTTCTTTCTACACAGACACAGTAACAATCTGATCTCTCTCTCTTTTCCCCACAAGACTCCCCCACTGAGCACCTTGTGACCCCCGCCCCTGCCAGAGAACAACCCCCTTTGACTGTAATTTTCCTTTACCTACCCAAATCCTATAAAACGGCCCCACCCCTATCTCCCTTTGCTAACTCTCTTTTCGGACTCAGCCCACCTGCACCCAGGTGAAATAAACAGCCTTGTTGCTTACACAAAGCCTGTTTGGTGGTCTCTTCACATGGATGTGAGTGAAACCTAGCATTCTGGGAGGCCAAGAGGGGGTTGGATCATGAAGTCAGGAGTTTGAGACCATCCTGGTCAACATGGTGGAACCCGTCTCAACCGAAAATACAAAAATCAGCTGGGCATGGTGTCGCATGCCTGTAATTTCAGTTACTTGGGAAGCTGAGGAAGGAAAACCACTTGAACCTAGGAGGTGGAGGTTACAGCGACCTAAGATCATGACATCATGCCATTACACTCCAGCCTAGGCAATAGAGTGAGACTCAGTCTGAAAAAAAGAAAAAAAAAAAACATGGATAGGAGCTGTTGTGGTCAGAGAAAAGAATCGGTAAACAATGCTGACATCTCTCAAAGGGACAAGCACAGACATGAGAAGCAGAGTCAACAGTTGGGCTGAGAAATGCCTCAGGGACTCAGGGAAGCCAAGAAAAATGTGCTGAATTTCAAAGGACACAGAGAGAATCTTGGGTTCCTCCAGATCAAATTCTAAGGGAAAGAGACCACTGGGCTCCAAGCATGCCCGGAGTCATCCTGAGAAAGCTGGTTGGTGTGTGGTGAATACTTATAAATCCCCCAGCCACCTGTCAAGTCACTGGAGGAAGAATAAGAAAGAGAACATGGAAAGGCCTAGAACATTCCATCTCTGGGGTCTTCCCAATGTTGCCCATAAGCGATTGCCTTCGTTGTCTGAGAGAACGTTCCACCCCGTATTGAAGGGACTTTACACATTACTTTCTAGGGCACTTCTTCCTTCTCAACATACACATTTGAGAACCTAGGCTAGCCTAGGCTCATTTGGGATATCCTGGGCAGGAACACTGGTTAAGGGGAATTTCTGCTCATGTACCACAGTATCTGTAGCTATGTTCCAACCAGCTTCATGTTTCCTCTTCCTTGGGTGCGTAGGTTAAATTTGACCATTTCCTGTGCCAAATACTCCATGTTCTCATGTCCAATTATGAAAGGAAAATAATTATTTATCTTGGGACCCCAAAATATTAAGCCAAGGGAAAAATCAACCCAGAAAAAAAATGTCAGTCAGCCCTGCCTCCCATTTTCTTTCTAAATACGATAACTACAAAAAATAATTTTTTTTAAGTTTTTTAAAAGCTACATACTGTCCTCACAACTTGAGTAGATTGTTTTGTTTACCCTAAAACAGTTCTGTGGAATTTCACCCTGGCAATGTACACTGATAGCTCATCTTCACGGGTGTGGGACAGAAAGTCATCCCCTCTGCTCCCCTGAGACACACATGTCTGATTTCTCCCTCTGCCCTATTATTGATGTAAAAATGCAGATTCACTGGGCCAGACTGAGGTATAAGTAACGATTCCTTTGCCCTGTCTCACATGTAAATTGAGTTATCAGTGAAAGCCCAATCAAGGACTTGGAAGAAGGCAACTAGTTGTCTCTTAACTTCCTATGACCTGGAAGCCCCTGCTTCCGGTTGTCCCGCATTTCCAGATCGAACCAATGTACTTCTTATATATATTGATTGATATCTCATGTCTCCCTAAAATGTGTAAACCAAGCTGTGTCCTGAAGACTTTGAGCACTTGTCATCAGGACCTCCTGCGGCTGTGTCACGGGCATGTCCTTAACCTTGGCAAAATAAACTTTGTAAACTGATTGAGACCTGTCTCAGATATTTTGGATTCACACGGTATTAATTAATAATTCAGGACTGCCATGTTAAAGGCATCAGCGTGGCTGGATTTAAGCACAACATGAAAAACCAAAGTCGGAAAGGAAGCCTCCTCTTTGTCAAGGCAAGCATCAGGAGATTGAGGCTTGAGTCATGGGGGGTCACCTCCCCAGCCTGAGCCTCTCTTCCCCTACTCCTCCTCCTACTGGGGTTCATGAGTCACTTTGCTGTGGAAGGAGGTGAGTGTTCAGACTCTGAAGATGCCCTTCCTTAAAAGATCTTGCATTTTAAGCTTTCTTTTCTTTTCTTTCTTTTTTTAAGACAAAGTCTCTCTCTGTCCCCCAGACCTGGAGTGCAGTGGTGCCATCTCAGCTTGCTACAACCTCTGCCTCCAGGTTCTCAGCCTTCTGAGTTGCTGCAAATACATACCAAGACTAATTTTTGTATTTTTCGTAGAGATGGGGTTTCACCATGTTGGCCAGGCTGGTCTTGAACTCCTGACCTCAGGTGATCCAACCGCCTTGCTCTACCAAAGTACTGGGATTACAGGCATAAGCCACCATGCCCAGCTGAACTATGCATTTTAAGTCCTGATGAATTCTCTGGGAGGGAAGTCCAAGGTAGTCTGTTTAACCAGGCATTTCCCAAGTCTGTTTCAGCAAGAAACACGTTCCCTGTGGAATTCCCATGACTGCCTTGCAACATAGCCATGACCTATGGGACAATGGTTTTTAAAAGACTAGGAGGAAATAGTAGGAGAAAAAAGTTGGGTGGTATTTGGGATTTTCATCGTGAAGTGGGGGGATAAAAGAAAGACTAGCTGGCTCAACCAATACAGTTAAGGGTGAGGTGGTGTTTTGGGGTTTTGTTTTGTTTTGGTTTGTTTTGTTTTGTTTTGTTTTTTGAGACAAGCCTCATTCTGTTGCCCAGGCTGGAGTGCAGTGGAGCAATCTTGGCCCACTGTAACCACCCTTTCCTGAGTTCAAGCGATTTTCATGTCTTAGCCTCCTAAGTAGCTGGGATTATAGGTATGTGCCACCATGCCCAACTAATTTTTGTATTTTTGGTAGAGACGGGGTTTTGCCATATTGGCCAGACTGGTCTCGAACTCCTGACTTCAGGTGATCCACCCGCCTTGGCCTCCCAAAGTGCTGGGATTCCAGGCATGAGCCCCTGCACCTGGCCTGAGGTGTTGTTTTTCAAGTGGGTGTCATCTCCCTTGGGTCTTGGTCTCTATTTTTAATGATTCCTTGTAAGAGGAGATAATTTCCATCCATCTGGATGTGCTGTTTCTGCATCATATGGACATGCTGTTAAGCTGTGAAAGTTTAAAACCAGAACAAGCTACCAGGAAGCTTCCAGAACACCTCTTGACTTAGCCAGCTTCACGCTGCTCTGCCTGGCAAATATTTAAGTTTTTAAGGTTATTGAACTGCTGGTAACATTAACGGCCAGAATCTTTCTCTTCCTTTCTTCTTTCCCCTTTCTTTTCTCTCTTTCTCTTTCTGTCTCTCCACCCCAACCCTGCTTCTCTCTTGCTCACTTTCTTTTTTTGACTTGCATATTTTTCAACGATGAAAGTAATAAATCTGCGGAAAAAAGTGTCTGCCAGATGTTACAAAAAATGGAGAGAAACCAACTCTAAAACACATGAAAATGCACAGCACACTTGGGGTTTCATGAATGGTCAAGCCAAAGGTATTTGGAGCACTGAAAACAAGTGAGAAAAAAGACTTGTCTCTCAGCCTGATTAGCTTTCTGTGATGATAACATAAAGTGTCCTTTGAGTATAAAGCCACCTTTGTGAAAATTATGACTGAGGAAATGATGACAGTGAAAGAGGTCAGACCTAACCAACTCCATCTTGCTTCTAACCTTTTAAGTTGTCCTTGTTCTTTCCTGGGTGTGGGCCAAACTAGCCTTGGGAAGGAGTTTAGTTCATGGTTTAACTCTGAAACAAAATTGATAATAATCCTTTCCTTAAAAGAACACTTCCTTGCTTGGGGACCAGTCTGCCTTTGCAAATTAGCTACAAGATTAGAAATTTCAGTTTAGGGGTCATGCAGCCTCTGGCTCCAAGAGTCTGAACCTCCCCAAGTTTCTCCTGGGGGTAACATCACTATTGTAAAGCCTAAGATCAGAACTTGAGATATTTTGCAGACCCTGCACTGGATGGATTAGCTAGCAACACCCAGACCTGTATTCTGGCTCTATCAGCTCTGCTATCCACCCAGAAGAGAAGACAGCAAGAAATCCTGACTTCAACCCCCTATGATTCCATTTCTAACTTGACCAATCAGCACTCCCCACTTCCCAAGCCCGTACCCACCAAATTATCCTTAAAATCTCTGGTCTCTGAATGCCTGGGGAGACTTATTTGAGTAATAATAAAACTACAGACTCCCTTGGAGCCAGCTCTGCCTGGATTACTCTTTCTCCATTACAATTCCCCTATCTTGATAAATCAGCTCTGTCTAGGCAGCCTACAAAGTGAAGAAATTGGGTGGTTACAAGTATGCCATAGTGGTTTCAGATATCAAAGAAAAGGGAAAATATGATTGTTTCTCTCTACTGAACTTTCTTGCTACCCCCAAGTGAGGAAGGAAACTACATTTCCAGTAAGGTAGCTATTACACACATGTATTTCAAATGCAGCCAGGCTAAACCTGCTAGCAAATAAAAAGGGAAACATCATCAAACCAGAGTTAGAAAGAGTTTCAACTCCACAGATTCTTACTTCCACCACTGTAGAGATTCTCACACTGTGGGTAGCAAGGTGGTTTTAGCTTTGGGTAGATATCTATGGAGAAAACAACATTGCATTGTTATAAAAGAAAATTGTCCTTCCCTTAGGAGCAGCCTGCAGAAACAAGCACATCAGTGTGTCTATCAACCTTGCAGTTTGTTCTCATTTGCTGCCCATGGTGTGTTTATAGATTACCATTGTCCAGTTAAAAATCACTTTGCAGATAGAATTAAAACCTTGAAACCTGAAACTTAAAAAAAAAAAGGTTTCTGTTTTGTTCCTGAAGTTTGTTTCCATGGCAAGAATCCAGTGTAGCTGTCTGCCATGATGGAAGCAAGTAATACAAAAAAGAAATCTAGGAAGAATTGTCATGGAATAAATTTACCAACAGTTTGATGCCTGTGATGAAAATAACACCAACCTTATATTCCTGGACCAAACTAAGGGTTGGGCTGCTATTTCTCATGGCCCTATAATGAGACGCAGATGAACTGGGGAGGAAGAGAGTTTTTATTCTGCAACCAGTTACAGGGAGAAGGCCTGGAAATTATCACCAGACTGTTAGAAACAAATGCTTGTTCCTTGGTGCCAAAAAAAAAGAACTAGCACTCAGATGAAGAATTTTCTCAGCAAGGCAATTTTTACTTCTATAGAAGGATGTAACTTGTGGATGGAGCAATGGCAAGAGCACACCAGAACAAGGGAGGGGAAGGGGTTTTGATTCCTGTTGCAGGTCACCTCTGCTGATGAGTCATTCCTCTATCTGGTATGGCTGGGCCACACAGCCTAAGCTAATTCTGATTGGTTATTTTAAAAAGAGCAGGGGTATGAGTCAGAGTGGTGTGGTGAGTAGTTTCATGAGAAGGACGGTTACAGAACAGGTGACTCAGGATGAGTCAGGTCAGAGCAGGTGACCAGGGGTGACTCAAGATGGAGTACAAGACCAGGGGATCAGAGGTAAACTACTGATTAGAACTGACAGGAAAGTTGTTTACTGAAACTAGAGGCAAGGGGGTGAAGAGAACCAGGAAGTTGAACTTTAAAATGGAAAACAAAGAATAAAATAGCTGAACATATTGACATACTGATTCTTTGAAGAGAAACTTGGAGTTCACTATATTTAACAATCTCCCATCTTGAATTTTTACAGTTCTTTCTTCAAACTTCCTTAACATGTCTTGATTCAGTTGTTCTACTTGATTCTCTAAAAGAAGCTTCTCTGAATAAGGTGAAGAGTTGAGGAAGGTTTTAGTAAGTGCTGTCTCTATGAGTCTGTGCACCTGCCCATGATTCATGGTATGGCACAGCACCCTACAAGAATAAGTACAGCTGCTATGGCTGCGAGAGAAGTAAGAATTGAGGTTGTGATTCTTTTCCATTTACCAAAACATTTTTCTAGCCACCCTGTGAAAGGGTCATTTGCCCCCAAGTTTTTGGCTAACTCACTGGACAGAGCACTTAGACCTTGCAATGCCTTTGTTATACTTCCATCAGGAGTGGTGTTGTTTGTGATGAACGTAGTACATTGAGTTTTAATCATGAAGCAAACTCCTCCGCTTTCTGCTAATATCATGTCTAAGCCTATCCTATTTTCCCAAGCCATCTGGCAAGCAGCCCCTAATTGCTCAGCTATTCCTTTAACAGCATCTCTAGTGTAGTTAATAAAGTGCTGTTTGTTGTATAAATATAATTTATCTAATCTACATGCTTATTAATTGTCACCCACCAAAATATTGACAAAAATCCTGCAGCTATTTGATTGTGGGCTTTAAATTTATCTGGTACTCCTTGTGGGACTCCAATTGCATCTAGATAGATGTGTAGGTTAAAAGACCCATAAGGGGCTTCTCTTGCTTTATGATATTGCATTTTTCTTTCCTTTGGCTGATAAAATGCCAGTGTGAAAGGGATAGCCAATTGGATTAGAGCACAAGTGCTGCTCCAGTTACTCAGCAGAGTGTCCAGTAAAGCTCCACCACAGTGCCACCACACATCTGCTAGGGGATGAACAAGGGCCGACTGATTGATAAGCTCTTGAAAATTCTTACACTCACAGCATCCCCTCAGGTCTCCAAGGATTACTAAGTTTCCTCCTTGTCGTGAGAGACACGAAGTAACTTAGTGTTGGGAGACAGAAGCTGGATGGCCCTCAGGGGCTGGCCTGCAGGGTGTCAACCTTTGGGATATAGCAGAGAGAGAGCTTGGCACAACTTGTTACCCCAGACTGTGGAATCCTGGAAAAGAACTACCATACAGCCCATGCCTGGTCAACTGGAGGACCATCCTAGTCGAAATGTGACAATCTGGGCCTCTGGCCTGCCATGCGCACAAGCGTAACAATTGCTTTTGTTTAATGTGTGGACAGAATATTTGATCCATTCCAATCAGGCATTTGCATCTTGATATCCTGGCTCTATTGCCAGTTTGTTATAAATCATTTACCTTTTACAACATCTACTCTGGTCCTATCATTGGGTATGGAAAGGATGACAGTTTGATCAGAAGAAGTTCTAAACAGAGAAGAGGAGCTAGGGGGTGAAGAGGGTGAGGGATTAATAAAATGCATTTCAAATGAGTCTATGAGGTCTGTGCCAGCCAAGTTAGCTCCCATGTCATAGAAGCAACATAAAGTGGCGTCAGGATCAGTAGAGGTAAGAATAGAAAGCTGCATCAGATTGCATTGATATTATTGACAATTAGAGGGAACACTTTATTTGGTGAAATGGAGTAACGGTTCTAGAGAGGTGCAGCCCTTTGAGGAAGTCCACCCTTGTTCCTCAGTGGTCCATAGGAGGGACAGTGCTATGGAGGTCCATAGGACCTCATTAGTGCTATGGACCACTTGTTCCTCAGTGGTCCATAGGAGGGAGCTAGAAACTAGTCCATGTTTTGTTCCTAAAATGTGAGAAACATAAGGGAGTTGGTCTCTATGAAGCAAGAGTTGCAGAGGTCAGATGTGCCTTTGGAGAGACAGATATTTTTCTGAGGAGGCCAGTTACCTTTGGTTTTGGAGATCCCTGCAAGGTATGGTGAGCAAGCATCAAATGTGATTGTCTCAGGAAAAGGTGACCTGGTTACATTAATAACAAGGTGCTCAGCAGTAGAGCAAGGAAAGGAGGAGTTATAAAATAAATGGAGGGTTAAACTTTGCTTAGCTTTAGTTTGGTAGAGTTTTGTCCTGGGACTATGGCCCATGACTCCAGAGGGGACAGTGCTCTTTTGACTCAGGTGTGATGGGTCCAGCCTCTTTCTGCTGTCCAAACTGCAGTTTCAGTAGTTAGGAGCACTAAGTAATGTCCTTCCCAGGCTGGTTTGAGCTTTTTGCCTTCCAGCTTTTGATGAGGACATGATCCCCAGGTTGATATTGTTGCCTTGCGAACTCCAGGGGTGGCAACTGTGCTAAGAGACCTTTAGTTTTATGGAAGAGAAAATAGATGACAGACCAAGTGTATAATTTTTAAGAAACTGATCTTTTGTTTCAAAGGTAGGAATGTCAGCAGTGGCATGTAAATAAGGCAATATGTACTGCCATCTCATAAGGAGAAAGACCAGTCTCTTTCTGCAGGGAAGTTCAGATTCTCAGCAGGACAATAAGAAGGCATTTGGTCCATGGTAACTGAATCTCCAGAACCAATTTGGTTCAGTGGTTTTTTAGAGTTTGGTTCAGTCTTTCCACTCTTCCTGATGAAGGTGGGTGCCAGAGAGTATGATATTCCCATGTCATATCCAGTACCTGGGCTAATTTTTAATGACATGTGCAGTAAAATTGTAGCAGGACAAACCACAGACAAGCACCCCTCAGACATCAACTTGTGGAAGGAAAGGCCTTTATTCAGCTGGGAGCATTGGCAAACTCACATCTCCAAAAACCAAGCTCCCCAAGTGAGCAATTTGTGTCCCTTTTAAGGGCTTACAACTCTAAGGGACTCTGCATGAGAAAGTTATGATCTATTGAGCAAGCATGGGGTATGTGACTGGGATCTGCATGCACCAGCAATGAGAACAGAACAGTACAGGACAGGGATTTTCACGGTACTTTTCCATACAATGTCTGGAATCTATAGATAATATAACCGATAAGGTCGGGGGTCAATCTTTAACTACCAGGTCTGGAATGCAGTGTTAGGCTGCCTGACTAGTGATTTCATTTCTGTCTTTTCTTTAACTGCTACTTTTCCTTTGAGGCAGAAATTTAGTCATAAAACAATATGAGAGGTGGTCTCCTCCCTTGTTCCCCCACTTTGAAACCTCACTCATTAGTGGGAGTTCTCACTTTCATCCTCACTACTCATGTCTTCTTGCAAGACAGATCGATAGTGATTCATATGGTACACTTGTGCTGACACATTTTGGTGAACTTGGGTAGTGATGAAGCTTTTTATCCTTTGAAGAAGTACAGGTAGCAAACAAGGGAGTAGTAAGCAGGTTCCTATTACTATTATAACTCCTATTATAAGAGTTTTAAATCCTCCTAGCACTGGGAACCATTTTCCAAACATGGCCCCAGGATCAAATCCATGCCACACTTGCATGGGCACATGTGCCAGTTTTGTCATATCTCTAACAATGTCTTTAACTACTTCCCCTTGATCATCTATGTGTAGACAGCAATTACTAAGGTTAAATTTCCCACAGACCTCCCCTTCAGCTGCTAGCAAGTAGTCAAGAGCCAATCTATTTTGATAGATAGCATTTCTCTTCTGAGTTTCTTGCCAGGCCACAATAGTCAAGGCTCTGCGGTTTTATTAGTGATGATTTCTAAGACAGCTTGTAACCCTATGATTCGGTTGAGCATGTAAATGGGGCTCCAGTATCCCCATAAGCCGTCTTGCGCCTAAGTAGCAGGCTCATAATAGTGTATGATTCTCTGAGGGGGCCATTCATCATCTTTCCAATTTCCTACAGCCATGCTTCTCTTTTCATGAGAAGCATATACAGGGAAGCCCAGGAGTTCACCTGTTTTTATGGGCAGTAGGAAGAAAGATGGTTTAATAGTGCCAATAACACAACTACCTGCCCGTTGGTCGGGTAATTTGGCATAAGCTATATGCCCACATATCCAGTATAATCCATTGGGGGCTGTCCAGTCCCGGTGGGACTCCAGGTGGGTCCACACAGTTTGCAACTTTGGAAATTTATTAAACAGATTCCTCTCTGTGTGATTTGAACTTCACCAAGTGACAATTTTGGGGTATCATTATACAGTTTCTGTCCCAGACAACTAAGTCATCCTACAGGGTGAGAGAATTATTTTTCTTCTCCAGTATGGATTATTGTCCAATAATATAGGCTTTTAGGACCCAGAAATTATCACGGTGATTCTTTTGAGCCAGCAATTCATCAGTAACTGGGTCTATATTATCGAATTTCTCATGGCCATTGATCTCCCATCACAGTTCCTCCACATACATAACACGAAGTGACATTGAGAGACTGGGCTACATGCTCGGCTAATTGCAAAAATAAATTTCTTGTTTTTCCTGGAATTTCTGGTACTGGCACATTCATCATAGAAAGTTTGAAACACTGGCTCAGGATAGGGTTTAAAAGGAACATGTTCCTTTTAAAGTTCCTAGGCATTCATAGTAACTATAGAACAGAAAGATTGTTTTAACTTGCTGCCCTACCTTGGTAACCTGATATATACACTGAGAGCAGTCCTCCATGCGGGGAAAATCAGTGGAAGTTTTTACTATACAAGTCCAAATTATAAGGAAAATGAGTCCCATGATGATCCTCCTCATGCTTCAGCCACGTAGACCAGTCAGCTTCTGGGTGTGACTGGAACAGGGCTTGTCGTCCTCCTCAGAGTCACTTTGCAGGGGTTGTCCGGGCTCGGTTTTGCCTCCCAGGTTTCATTGGCTGCAGGTTTCACACGGCTGTGGTGGATCCAGGCTGGGATTCCTTCTACCTTTACAGCCGTGGGGGTGGTCAGGATGATGGTCTGAGGTCCTTTCCACCGTGGCCCCAAAGGGGCTACGTTCCAGTCCTTGATCCACATGCGATCACTTGGAGAGAAAGGGTGAACTGGAGAGAATAAGCTGATGGGACACCTCTCATTTGCCCAAGTTGAGATTGTCTGTGTAATTTTTCCCAATGCCTGTAGCTGTCAGTGTAATTCAATTCCACCTAACTCTCAGGGAGTGCCTGGAAGTCCCCACAGTATAGGAGGAGGCCTATGATACAGTATTTCATAAGGGCAGTATCCTGTTTTCTTAGAAGGCATGAGTCTTATTTTAAACAATGCCATAGGAAGGGCATGTATCCACCTTAATCCTGTTTCCTTAATTTTTCCAAATGTATGAGCCACTGCAAGACATACTTAGAATAAGTATAGATAGTTCCTTCCTGGTTTTGTATGTACTTCAAAACTTGGCTGAGTGCAAACAGCTCACATGTTTGACCAGACCAATTATTAGGCAATTTTCCTGACTCTATTATTATAAGAGTTTCTCTGTCAATTTACTGAATACCCATTGTGTCTTTTTCCCTCAATCACCCAGGAGGAACTATCTATAAATAAGTGTCATCCCATCCTGAAGGGAGTTTTCTCCTAGGTCTGGTCAGACCTTTATATGGTAATTATTTAAGGATATGATGACTTCAACCAATTCAAGCTCAATTTTCCATTTACTTTTGCTAATTAAATGACTTTTTCTAATATTTGACTGAATAAATTTGGAGACTTCGTAAGACTTTGGGTAAGACTGTCTATCAGTTTTACTGTTTTTGACTGCAGTGAGGTCTTGTCTCTCAAAGGCAAATAACTCTTGTCTGTCTTCTGCTAACAGAAAAGCCCAGAAGGCATCTTTTAAATCTATTACTGTAAACCACTGGTGACTGTATGGGAAAAACAGGGTGGGTAGTTTGGACTATCTGATTAATAATAGCTCTAAGGTCTTGCACTAACCATCTTGCTTCTTTACAGGGAGTATTGGAGTCTTATAGGGAGACTTACAGGGCTTAAGAAGCCCATCACAGAGAAGACCTTCAATTATCAATTGCAGGTTTTAAATTTACCCTGGCTTTTAAAGGAATGGGGTACATTGCTTTCTTGTTCTACTTTCCCAGGGGTGTTTAACTTTTTTAATTTAGCAGGAATTGGAGGAATCTGTAAATTTCCTCGATTCCCATCTTTTGTTATGGTGGTGAGAAAGTTTAGGAGATGGAGGAATTTTCTAAGATTGATTTAGAGGCCTAGGCCTAAGTGTAACATTAACTCCTGTTATATATAAAGTTTCAGTGCCACAAAAGAAATAGCAGTCGAATATAAAATTTTCTTTTAAATTCTCAGCAAGGCAAGTTACTTTTATAGAAGTTTGTCCATTACAGATGGAATAATGGTGAGTGCATACCTGGACAAGGGAAGGGAAGGGGTTCTTATTCCTGATGCAAGTGGCCCCTGCTGCTGTGTTGTACCCCTATTGGCTAGGGTTAGATTGCACAGGCTAAACTAATTCTGATTGGCTAATTTAAAGAGAATGATGGGGTGAGTGCCTGGTGGGAGTCAGGGCAGAGCAGGTAGCAGGTAATTGGAATGAGTTAGGGTGGAGCAGGTGATTGGAATGTAGGGTGGAACAGGTGATAGAAGGAGTCAGGGTGGAGTAAGTAATCGAAAAAGCTTGCTTTATGAGGAAGTTTAAAAGTAGAAGGCAAAGAATTGAACATACTGACATATTAATTCTTTGAAAAGAAATTTAGAACTCATATCTAACAATCCCTTCCTAATAGATTTGTACCTGCTTCCAGAATTAAAAGAAATTTAATATTAGCTGATGTGCTTTTATATATGACTTTTGTTCTTTTTCCCATTTGGGACATTCTCTTTTGAAGTGACCTATTTTTAATTTGAAGCATTTGTTTTGTCCTCTTTCTCTCCCTTTGCCTCTCCCTCTCTCTTTGCCTCTCTGTATCTCTCTCTCTCTCTTTCTCTGCCTCTCTGTCTCTCTCTTTCTTTCGCTCTCTGACTCTCTCTTTCACTCTCTGACTCTCTCTTTCTCTCTCTCTCACATATACATTTTGGGCTTCTCTTAGAAGCTCTTCTATAGGTTTATCTTTCTAGTTCTCTATATTTTGTAATTTCTTGTTAATATCTGGCCAGCTGTTAGTGACAAAATGAAATTTTAACATTCCCTGCCCAGGAGGATCCTCAAGACCAGCATATTTTCTCAATTGTTTCTTTAATCTGTCTAACAATTCTATAGGCCTTTCGTCTTTGTCTTGCTGTATATCAAATATTTGGGTAAGATTCTGGGTTCGGGGTACTGATCTTTTAATCCCCTTTATTATCAATTCCTTAATGTCCTGCACATTTTCTTGGTGAGCTGCATTGTTATTGTCTCCCCAGTATATGGAGTTCACTATATTTAACAAGACTAACCTAATATTAGTTTTCCAGAGCTTATATACCTTCCAACCTATATGTATACATGTAAGTGTGCATTTATCTAATGATGTAAGTGATTAACTTCTTTTAATCTATAACTAAGGTCTGAGTCCTGAGGACCTTCCTCTGGAGCCTCAGTAAATTGACTTAATCTAATGGGTCCAGGTGCCAGGGTGATTACCCATATGTTGTCTCCTGCTAAGTCACAGAGGTTTAGGGAGTTCCTTCAAACCCCCAATAAACGTGTTAGTGGAGGCCTGGGGAGTTTTTGCAGACCCCCAATAAAACTTGTTTAATCCTAAATGGGTCCTGTTAAGAATTCCTTCATTATTTTGTCACGCTTTAAGGCCCGGGAAAGTCCTGGAAAAAAACTCCTGGTGGGCTTTTTTTACATTCCAGCCTTTGTATAAGGGCACTGGCTTTTAATATTTAACCACTCAGTCTATACTGAATCAGGTGTTGTAGGGGCCTGTGTTAGTGAGAACTGGCCTGCCACACTTCCACTCTGTTTCCAAGTGCTCTCACTCATGCACTGTGAAAGGAACATAAATCTTGGGGCCCCCAAGTCAGTAAGTTAAAGGGAAATGTCAAGCTGGGGACTGCTTAGGGCCAACCTGCCCCCCATTCTGTTCAAAGTTATCCCACTCCTCACTGAGATAGATGCATATCTGATTGCCTTCTTTGGAAAGGGTAATCAGAAACTCAA
Organism: Homo sapiens; assembly: GCF_000001405.40. Lineage (NCBI taxonomy): Eukaryota > Metazoa > Chordata > Mammalia > Primates > Hominidae > Homo > Homo sapiens. The sequence goes on from NC_000024.10 coordinate 12,477,544, forward strand.
AAGAATGCAACTGTTTGCTGTCACCTATCTATGACCTGAAAGCCCCCTCCCTGCTTGGAGTCTTCCTGTCTTTGCTTCAAGCTGTACTGCCTTTCCAGACCTAACCAATGTACTTCTTACATATATTGATTGATATCTCATGTCTCCCTAAAATGTATAAAACTAAGCTGGGCCCCAACCACCTTGGGCACATGTTGTCAGGACCTTTTGAGTCTATGTCACAGGTGCATCCTCAACTTTGGCAAAATAAACTTTCTAAATTAACTGAGACCTGCCTCAGATTTTCTGTGTTCATAAAACTGATTATCTTCCTGCCCTCTGAAGCACTATGAGCTTAAATTAATAAAGATTAGATTTTGGCCTGGCACGGTGGCTCACATCTGTAATCTCAGCACTTTGCAAGGCTGAAGAGGGCGGATCACCTGAGGTTGGGAGTTAGAGACCAGCCTGACCAACATGGAGAAACCCCATCTCTACTTGTTGTAACCAAGCGAATTATAGAGAAACGCCACACTGTGAGACTAATTCAGGGGCCCTTTATTAGACAGCGACCGAGACATGGCTAGCGCTAAAAATTCTCTCAGCCGCGAAGAAGGGCCTATATTTTCTTTTATACTTTGGTTTGGAAACAGAAGGAGGAATTGAGCTGAAGCAATCTCACAGAAGTAAAACAGGCAAAAAAGTTGAAAAGACACATGGTTACAGGAAAACAAACAGTTCCAGGTGCAGGGGCTTTAAACTCATCACAAGGTGATAGGTGCGGGGGCTCTGGGTGCTATCTGCCAGACACAAAAGCGGGGGCTTAGGGTACTATCACCCAGGTGAATTCCTGGGAACTGTGGACATAGCTTGCCACCTTACCTTATCAGTTAATTGCACTCTTTGATGTGCTAAGTGTCAGCTTGCACAAGTTAAGTCCTTGAGGAAGGGGGTGGGTAACGAGCCCTTAATGTCTTGCAAATGAAGGAGCCAAATGGAATCCGTCCGGCTTTTTCAGCTAAGAGAGAGTCAATAAAATTAATACAAGTTACGGTATCACTTTCTAAAAATACAAAATTAGCTGGGCGTGGTGGAGCATGCCTGTAATCCCAGCTACTCGGGAGGCTGAGGCAGGAGAATCGCTTAAACCTGGGAGGCGGAGGTTGTGGTGAACCAAGATTATGCCATTGCACTCCAGCCTGGGCAACAAGAGTGAAAGTCTGTCTCAAAAATAAATAAATAAATAAATAAACAAATAAATAAATAAATAAGATTAGATTTCAATTAAAAAAAAAGAAGCAGTGAAAACACCCAAAAAGAAAGAAATTGTAGTTTACTTGCAAGTATTTTCTCTTTTCAAAATAGTAACTCCTAGCTCACCAACCTCTTTCCTAGAAAAAGTAAGGTAAACACTAAACACTACTCAATAGTAGGTGGGTGCCTCTCTATGTAATTTTTTAAAAAAACTTCTACTACAGGCTGGGAATGATGGCTCATGCCTGTAATCCCAGCATTTTGGGAGGCTGAGGCCAGAGGATTGCTTGAGGCCAGGAGTTTGAGACCAGCCTGCATAATATAGCAAGAACTTATCTCTACAAAAAATATAAATAAAGAAACAATAACTGGGTATGATGATGCATGCTTATCATCCGAGCTACTTGGGGGGCTGAGGTGGGAGGATCACTTGAGTCAAGGAGTTTGAGGCTTCATTGAATCGCGATCATTCCAGTGCACTCCAGCCTGAGCAACAGAGCAAGACTCCATCTCTAAAAGAAAAAAAAGCTTTATTACACAAGTGTGTGTGTGTGCATGTTCATAATCAAGCTATAGTTTTCTTTGGTGCATGTTAAGATAGACATCAATGTTGTCTTCCTTTGGTTACCTTTCTTCTCCTTGTCTTTTTAAACTGCTTGTGATATTTTTGAGAGGTATTCCTATTGGTGCTATAGACCCACTTCATTCATATCAGCAGCACCATCGCCCAAGTGTCCCGCGATGATGTCACTGGTGAGCATTTCATGTTCTTTCTTTTTCTTATGAACAATGGTGCCACCAGCTTTCCGAGCTTTCCCCCATGCCCACGTGGTTGCGCTGTTGCTGTTTGTGCATGGCAAGCAGAATCAGTAAGGGAGATTGCTCATATTCGAATGCCCCTGAAGGTCTCTTCAGGACTTTGATGGGGTTATAATCCCACCAGTAATTGGTCAGATCTTGGGCTGTCTCAAATTGCCATTGCCACACCTTTACTTGAACGTTTTTAAAAATAAATAAATAAATAAAGCCCAATTGTTTAATTGGTTTAAATTTAAACAGTGGCTTAAATTGGTTTGCAATGGATATGTGTGACCCTGAGGATTTCACACACATGTCAGTTGGGCAACTCTGTGATTCCCTCTTTGAATTTTTCTTTTCAGTGAATGGAATGATCATATCTCTCTTCTTTTAGTTGCCTCATAGTTTCTCTCCTCCATTTTCTTTCTTTCTTTCTTTCTTTTTTTTTTTTGCCATCCATCTGTTTTGGTAGGAGCTATCTATACATAGTTTGCGCTCTATAACCAGAATTTCTGCATCTATAGATCCAACCAATCTTGTATTGAAAATATTTCAAAAATAAAATATAGCAATCCAATAAAAAGTAATACAAATAAAAATAATATAGTATAACAACTATTTGCATAGCATTTACACTGTATCAAGAATTATGAGTAACATAGGGATAATTTAAAGTATAGAAAGGGCTGGGCACCATGGCTCATGCCTGTAATCCCAGCACTTTGGGAGGCTGAAGGGGGTGGGTCACTTGAAGTCGGGAGTTTGAAACTAGCCTGTCCAACATCGTTAAAACCCATCTCTATTAAAATAGAAAAATTAGCTGGGAGTGGTGGTGCATACCTGTAACCCCAGCTGCTTGGGAGTCTGAGTCAGGAGAATCTCTTGAACCGGGGAGGGGGAGGTTACAGTGAGCCAAGATCACACCACTGCACTCCAGCCTGGGCAACAGAGTGAGATTCTGTCTCCAAATAAATAAATAAAAATATACAGGAACATATACTTGCATTATATGCAAATGCTACACAGTTTTATATCAGGGACTTCAGCAGCTGTGGATTTTGGTGTCTACAGGGAAGCAGGGGTCTTAAAACTAACCCCCATGAATACTGAAGGGTGACTGTATTTTGCATATTAAACTTTGCCTGATGATACGAGCAGCAAGGAGCCTCTTCCAGTTGACAGCTCATCTTTTAACGTTTTTAGACCCTGAAGTGGAACATTATTATTATTATTATTTTTAAAATATACATATAATCTAGTTTACCCATTTTTAAAGGTTGTGTTGTGTTTTTTTTGTTTGTTTGTTTTCTTATGATAGATTCTCACTCTGTAGCCTCAGCTGGAGTGCAATGACGCGATCTCAGCTCACTGCAACCTCCACCTCTCGAGCTCAAGCAATTCTTATGCCTCAGCCTGCTGAGTACCTGAGACTGCAGGCGTGGTTATGCTTTTTGTATCTTATATAAGAAAAACTTCCTGACACTGAGGTTATAAGACATTTCCCTCTATTTACAAAAAATTGTTTTCTTCTACATTCACATATGTAATCCACCTGTAGTTAATTTTTAAGTATCACATGAGTCCCAGCATGGTAGTTCACACCTGTAATCCCATCACTTTGGGAGGCCAAGGCAGGAGCATCACCTGAGGCCAGGAGTTCGAGACCAGCCTGGCCAACTTTGTGAAATCCCGTCTCTACTAAATATACAAAAATTGTCCAGGTGTGGTGGCAAATGCCTATAGTCCCAGCTGAGGCATGAGAATTACTTGAGCCCAGGAGGAGAAGGTTGCAGGGAGCCTAGATCACACCACTGCAGTCCTGCCTGGGTGACAGAGTGAGACTCAGTCTTAAAAAATAAATATTGCATGAGATTGAGATTTCATCACATACAAGAACAGCCAATTGTCTCAGTCCTGCCTATGTGGAACTTGGTTTCTTCTTTCATTGTTTTATAGCTGCGACCCCTCTCATATGCCAAGACACAATTTAGTCAGTCTGTTTCAAACCCTTCTGAACCTATGCATTGCTCAGTTTCTTTGTCTCTGAGCTACGGTTTTCATTTCTTTCTTTCCTTTTTTTTTTTTTTTCTTTTCTTTTGAGACAGGGTCTCGCTCTGTCACCCAGGCTGGAGTGTAATGGCATGATTCTAGCTCACTGTAGCCTCAACCTCTTGGGCACAGGTGATACTCCCAACTTAGCCTCCTGAGTAACTGGGACCACAGGTGCACACCACCATGTCCAGTTAATGTTTTATTTAATTTTTGTAAAGATGGGGTCTCACTATGTTGCCCAGGCTAGTCTCAAACTCCTGGGCTCAAGAAATACGCCAGCCTCGGCCTCCCAAAGTGCTGGGATTATAGGCCTGAGGCACCACGCTCAGCTCCACATCTTTATTCTAAATAACATTTCCATCTACAGATCCTGGTATTTCAGGGGAAACGCTTTTTAATATCTCACACTTAGATCTTTAAATTTCCACTTTTAACTTAACCTGGGGTGCAGGCTGGGTCAATACTCCATTATCATTCAGGGAATCATTCTTTTACTGGGAAGAACCTCTATTTGGGCCTCAAAATTGTTTGCGCCTTGAAGGTTATTTTGTCAGATTTTGCTAGCCCAGCTTGGCTTTCTTTCCATTGATATTTGCTTTGTGCATTTCTTCCTGGGTATTTTCACTTTCTCTTTGGCATTTTGTTGCAAATGCTTCTCTTGTAAACAGCATGAAACATTTTAAATTGTACCACCTAATTTCCGTCTTTTTACAGATTTATTAAATCATTCAACATCTAACAGAACTAAGGATACTATTCCTACTATTTTACTTTATTTTTCCTTTTTAACTCCTTCCTTCCTAACTTCCATTTACTATTCATGTTTTTTATTTATTATTATAATTTTTTATTTTTGAGACAAGGCCTGGCTCTGTCACCGAGGCTGAAGTGCAATGGCATGATCTTGGCTCACTGCAGCCTCCAACTCTGGGCCTCAAGTGATCCTCCCACCTTAGCCTCCCAATTTGCTAGGACTACAGGCGCTCACTGAAACAACGTGGCTAATTTTGGTATTTAATTTTACTTTTCACTTCTTGTATTTAATTTTATGCTTCATTCTTCATTTTCCTCCACTAGTTCAGGAGTTATACGTTCAATTTCTATTTGTGTGTGTGTGTGTGTGTGTGTGATGGAGTTTCACTCTTGTTGCCCAGGCTGGAGTGCAATGGTGCGATCTCAGCTCACCGCAACCTCTGCCTCCCAGGTTCAAGCAATTCTCCTGTCTCAGCCTCCGAGTAGCTGGGATTACAGGCATGCACTTCCACACCTGGCTAATTTTTTTTGTATTTTTAGTAGAGACGGGGTTTCTTCATGTTGGTCAGGCTAGTCTCGAACTCCTGACCTTATGATCTGCCTACCTTGGCCTCCCAAAATGCTGAGATTACAGGTGTGGGCCACTGCGACCCGCCCAATTTCTATTTTTAACAGGAATATTTAACATTAAAATATCAAAATCTAGCAATATCTAACTACTTTTACTCAGTTCTTCCCTTTCTTATCCACCTGTGAAGGTAGCCTAATCTTTAGAAAATAAGGTTCACTTTATTGTTAACACCAGTTATTATTTTTTTTAAAACAGCTAACAATCACTTAGTTTTACCAGCTTGTTTGCAATGTCTTTGGCTGGCATTGCTATTCACATCCTGCTGTGCTATTCAGGGTGTGAATTTCTTCTTACATCAGAGCATAATTTGGAAGATTTTTTCAGCAAGAATTGCAGAGCTCCTTGTTGGAAATCTTTACACCATCATCACTCTCCAACAGCAATTTAGCTGCATTTTCAATTCTTGCTTAATAGTGAACATTTCCTGAACAACCTATAAACGCCTGTCTATTTACTTCCTGACATCTCTCATGGCCATCAAGGAGTCTGCTAGAAGTCTGGGAGTTATTTCTTTTTCTTTTTTTATGAGATGGAGTCTTGCTCTGTCACCCAGGTTGGAATGCAGTGGCGTGATTTTGGTTCACTGCAACCTCAAGTGATTCTCTTGCCTCAGCTTCCTGAGTAGCTGGGATTACAGGCATGTGCCATCATGCCCAGCTAATTTTTGGTACATTTAGTAGAAACAGGGTTTCGTCATGTTGGCCAGGTTGATCTCAAACTCCTGACCTCACATGATCTGCCTACCTTGGCCTCTCAAATTGCTGGGACTACAGGCATGAGCCACTGCCCTCCGCCAAAGGTTACCTTTTTAATCAAAAAAAATAAATTGAGGTGAAATTTGCATATAAATAACCATTTAAAAGTGAACAATTCGGGAGCATTTAGAACATTCACAATGTTATGCAACCATCACCTCTGTGTGCTTCCAGAACACTTTCATTTCCCCAAAAGGAGACCTAGAATTAATTAAGCAGTCACTCTCCTTTTCCCCTCCAGCCCCTGGCAGTCACGACACTACTTCTGGTCCTGTGGATTTGCCTAGTCTTGAAATTTAATATTCATAAAAATATCCACTATGTGATCTTTTGTGTCTGGCTTCTTTCTCTTTGCAAAATGTTTTTGAGGGTCAACCATTTTGCACAATTTTCAGTGCTTCATTCCTTTTCAAGGCTAAATAATATTCCATTGTGTGGATGGACCACATTTTGTTTATCCATTCCTTCCACTGTTGAACATGTGAGTTATTTCTACCTTTTAGCTATAATGAATAGTGCTGCTCTGAACATTTGCATATATGTTTTTCTTGGAACACCTGTTTTGAATTATCTTGAGTGTATACCTAGGAGTGGAATTGCTGGTTCATAGAGTAATTCTATATTTAACTTTTTTAGTATCCACCAAAACATTTATTCACAGTGACTGTACCATTTTAGACTCCCACCAGCAACATACAAACATTCCAGTTTCGTCACATCTTTGCCAACACTTGTTATTTTCCATTTTAGATTTTAGCCAACTCAGTGGGTACGAAGTGGTGCTTCACTGTGGTTGTGATTTACATTTGCCTTATACCACATTTTGCTTTCAATATCTGCTATCTGGTACAGTTGTTGCATCTCCTTCATACACCCTACAGTTCTGTAAAACTTCCTCAACCATCCCTCCATAAGCATCAGTTCAAGGACATTGCCTCAGTTTTCCCAGCCAAAGAGTCACTCACCTGAGTTTGGCTTCTTGGTGGGTTCTGTGAACAAAGAGAGAAAATAAATGCAATATGCATTGAAGTGTCACTGGAAGCACAAACAAAGGCCATAAATGCCCTGATGAAAGATGAAAAGGGAGTGACAAAGCAATACAAAGTAAATAATATGGACACAAATTCCATGTTGAATTCAGAAAAAAAGCAAGAAAACACCCTTAAAATTCATTAAAAAACAATCAATCCACCCTTGAGGCTATGAGGATGCCCACAGGATGGCTGAAGTAGCTGAGAACATCCAATACAGGTAAGTGAGCCACCTGCCCATAGAGCCACCATAGAGCTGGACGGTGGAGGGCGGGGCAGGGGGAAGGCAAAAGAAAAGATGGAGAAAGACTTGCAGCTTCCAGAATGATGGCTTTTCTCACTTTCTTTCATTCATTCATTTATTCATTCAGCAAATATGTATGCATGGATGTGGATATCAGGTCAGGAGTGCTCACAGTGCAGCCTGTGACTGCCCTGCTCAATGAACCTGGGTTTGCAGTGTGGATGGGCAGACAAGGGCAGGAGGAGGTTTGAGGAAGATGGCTCACAGGAGGCAGAGTCAGCCATAGCTGGGAAAATTGGAGCTTCAGGGCTGTGCAGGCCAGACTTCTTCCAAACAGAGGAAACAGTGTATTTGAAAGCATGGTTTACATAACAGCCTAGCATTGCCTTGATAGGAGGCAGCTAGAACATAGGGGTGTGTGTGTGGTGGGGAAATTCACTGGGAGTGCAGAGACTGCAAAAAGGAGAGCTTGAAGCTCCAAATGCAGCATATGGTTTCACATGTCCTGTATTTTAATTGAAGGTTTCCCATATCCTTTTCTCCCTATTGCCACCTCCCTCTCCCTCCCTGCCCTCCCTACTTCCTTCCTCCTCTCCTTCCTTCCTTCTCTCCTTTCTTCCTTCCTCCCCTCTTTCCTTTTGCTCCTTCTTCTTGCCTTCTTCCACACCTTCCTTTCTTCTTTCCTCCCTGTTCTCAATCCTTTCTTCTCTTCCTCTCTCCTTCCTTCCCTCCTTCCTCACCTTATTCTTTCCTTCGTTTCTTTCTTCCTCCTTTCTTCCCCAACTTTCTGTCTTTCCTTCCTTCCCTCCTTTCTTTCTTTCCTCCTTGCTTCCTACTCTTCTTCCTTCCTTCCCTCCCTCAGTCTTTCCTTATCTCCTCTCCTTTCTTCTTCCTTCCATCCATCCTTCCCTGTCTCTTTCCTTTTCTTCTCTTCTTCCTTCTCTCCTATTTTCCTGCCTCACTTCCTCTTTTCTCCCTCCTTTCTTTGTTTTCTTCTTTTTTGCTTCTCTTCCTTTTCCCTTTCTCCCTCGTCCTACCCTCCCTCCCTCTCTCCCGTCTTTCCTTTCTCTGTCTGCTTTTTAAAATGTAAAATTATAACGATTTTTTAAAATAGTGATACACTCACAGAGTTTCTTAAAGCCCAGGCAGTATAGACAGTGAAAAGTGAATTCCCCACAGTCGCCATGCAGGTGACTGTGGTTCCTATGCACTGGGGCTTCCTTCCCATAAGGAAGGGCTGTCTATGAACAGGCACATGCCTGCCCATTCATGGGAGGCTCTTGGTAGCAAAACGATGCTTTCAAAGATGTGTTTGCAGGCACTGGCAGTCCTCTAGGTGAGCAATGAAAATGTAGTAGCAGGTGAGTGGAAAGGGAGTTTATTTCTGTGATTTTTAAAAAATCAATGTGAAACTCACATATCATAAAATTTGACATTTTAAGGAGTACAATTCAATGGTGTTTCATATATTCACAATATTGTACAATCACCAGCTGTATCTAGTTCCAGAACAGTTTCATCCCCCCAAAAGGAGACCCCATAACCGTGAGCAGTCCCTCCCTTTTCTCCCCTCTTCCAGCCCAACAATCGCTAATCCACTTTCTGTCTCTCTGAATTTGCCTATTCTGGACATTTCATATTAATGGGATCCTACACCCTGTGGCCTTTTGTGCCTGGCTTCTTTCACTGAGCACATTTTCAAGGCTCATGTAGCACGCATCAGAACCCCCTTCCTTTTTAACAGCCAAATCATATTCTGTTGCCTGGAGGGACCACATTCTGTTCATTCATTCATCCCCTGATGGACAGTTGGGTTGTTTCCACCTTTGGCTTATTGTGAATATTGCTGCTGCAAACATGGGTACACAAATAACTGTTTGAGTCCCTGCTCCCAATTCTCTTGGGTATCTGTCTAGAAGTGGAACTCCTGGGTCACATGTCAGTGATCTTTCAGATCAATAACGTCTCGTTCTTTATCTGAGCCTACCAGCCAGCCCCTCCTTCACTATTGCACAGGGTTCTCTTGCAGATATGCCTCATTCTTTATCCAGACCAAACGCTGGTGCTACATACTCGGTCTGAATTTTGGAGATAATCCCCCAATGCTTCCAAAGTGGTTGCAACCACACACCTGCCTCCAACCCCCACCCCTCAATCTGCCTTGACAGGGTAGGATTCAACCTTCACCTTTTCTAACTTCATGGGAGAAATGGCATCTCCATGTTGGGGTGAGTCATTACATTTTCCTGTTGCACTGACAACAATTTTGTATCTGCTTTGTAGGATAATTATTAGCAAAAACATCACAGTGTGCAGAAAACTTGGAGAGAGATGAGTTCCTATCATCTTGTTTTTGGCTTTTTAGGATCAGATCTGGTTATCATTCTCTCTTCCTCCAACAAACACCATTATGCAACTGCACTGGTCAACCAGTTGTTCCCAATGCTAAAGCCCAATGGATTCTTCCTCTGTGTACACAAAAGTTTATTTTTCTTTCAAAATAAATCTTTGCATTGGAAACCAAATCTTTCCCTTTCTCCCAATCACCACTATCAGAATACACCTGAATCTCAATTAGACTCTCTGCCTCAAGCAGGACATTCTCCTGGGTCCGGGATGCATATTTTCAGCTTTCCGTTGAGCCACTAAGTTTCCAGCTGAACTTGGATGGACAAAAAACACAGAATGGGAAGATTCCAGGCCCTAAGTGCCCTGGAATAGAAAAATTCACAGCCTCATGAGTGAAGGTGACCAGAGAAGCCAGTGGGAAAATGGAATGTAGTGTGCTCTGGGAGGGTGTGCGACAATGAGGGATATGAACTGAACTGTAAGAAAAGCAGGTCCTGGTCCAGGCATGCTGGTGCACCTCTGTAATACCAGGATTTTGAGAGACCAAGGTGGAAGAATTGCTTGAGCCCAGGAGTTTGAGGCCAGCCTAGGCAACATAGTTGCCTACAAAAAATAAATAAAAATAACTGGCATGGGGGCACACACCAGTAGTTTCAGCTGCTTGTGAGGCTGAGGTGGGAAGATTGCTTGAGCCAGAAAGTTGAGGCTGTGTGTTAAGTTATGATTGCACCACAGCACTCCAGCTTGGGCAACAGAGAAAGACTCCCATCTCAATAAAATAATATAAAATAAAATAATAAGATACTAGCATATTCCTAAACCACAGGCTTCAGAAGTACAGACCTACCAGGAAATGAGTCTGAGAGTTTCAGAGAGTGTGTAAAGGTTTGTCTCAAGGTGTCTGCAATCTCCTGTGAAGAACAGAGATCTCAAAATGAAGAAATTCCCAACACTGGCCCAACCCAACCCCAAAGTAACTATACAGCTGATGCTGTTAGACTTGAGCTGAAAAAAGAAGGCTCCCCTTGAAATATCAGCTCTTACCAGGGTCAACAAGGGCGTCTGCTAAGTCTCTTTGACCTATTGGGAGTAAACAGGGCATAAGTCACCCCATGATGGAAAGGCCAGAATCACCTTTGTTCCTCACCTCACGCTGCTCCCCTCCTACTGCAAGCCTAAGGTCACCCAGAGGACTCAAACTAACCTGACCATGAGCTATGTGGGAGATGCAACCACCACCTCCACCTAGTCCCAGAGCATACTCATCACCCAGTACAAGACCAGTGTCCCCATTCAGCAGTCAATTCCCCTCTGCCTCCCCAGCCCCTGACAAACACTAATCCACTTTCTGTCTCCATGAATTGTCTATTCTGCAAATTTCATGTAAATAGAATCCTACAATATGTGGTATTTTGTGCCTGGCTTCTTTCACTGAGCATGATGCTTCCGAGTTGCATTGACATTGCAACTTGTGTCAGAGCTTCATTCCTACTCATGGCCAGGGAACTTTGAAGGAAGCTTCTCTCCAAGCACATAGACTTCTCTCCAAGCACATAGACTTCTCTCCTGGACTCTCCCACTCACAGCTTAAGATTGGGATTTCCCTCATACATAAACAAACACATACACACATACACACACACACACACACACACACACACACACAGAGTATAGGTTGAGAGGGGCTGCCTTAGGAGAAGGTGAAGCAGAACAATATGAGGGTCCCGGATCCCTGAGAGACTATATGGAGCAGAGGACTCCTTTGCCACATCCCCTGGATGCAACACAAGGGACAAACTTTTAATTCTTTGGGGGCTGTTTGTTACAGCAGCTAGCCTACACTGACAAATACAGATCAGGAAGCAACCTGTGTGGACAAGCTGAGGTTCCTACCTGATCCAAAAGCAGTTAACCTAATGAATGTGTCTGCAGCAGAGAGATGAGAACATTCACATCTTTGTGACTCATCATTAAAAATATACTGCAGAATTTGTGAGGGTGACGGGTCCCTCTTGCTGACATATATGCACACCTTGCCCTTGTTTCTCCCTTAACCCCTGCAAATACCAACCCTGCAGAGAAAATACCACTGGAGAACTTACCAGGAAGTAGAGGATGCAGCTGGGAGGGCACTGAATCAGCATTCCTATGCATTGAGTTCTATTGCAGTAATGCCAGGCACCAAAGCATCTCATCTGCCAACCTGAGGATGCTGGTATGACCAGCATGCATATTTCCCAAAGGAAGAAACTAAGTTCTGGCAGGTTTAGGGCAAGACAGGAGCAGTCAGAATTTTCAGAATTGTCCAGGGGTGAAAATGTCTTGCTCAAACACTAAGCCCTGGAGGAGGCTAAGCCTGGAGAACCCAGTGAGCTCTTTTTGGTGGGTCTCCCCCACCTCTGTTATCATCTCCCTTGCAGAAATCCATCTGCCTGGATGATGTTTACTCTGGGGTAAGGTTCAAGGGCTCCCATATAGATTCATACAGTCTGTGGCATGACTGCAACCAGATGCCACCAGGCATGCTTTATAGCTCCTTGTGGAGGCAATTAGGGCCTCTCCAGAGCAGAAGGTGCATCCCCAAGCAGGAGTCCCTAAGTGAGGACAAAATTACAAACCTTGGAGGGAAGGGGAACTCTGAGCCCAGGGTGCACACAACAGCCGCCCCGGGCCCAGACTGGAGGCTGGGAGCTGGCGGTGCCATCACAGGTCAAATCCCACACGGCCATTTCTCTCAAACTCTGGGAGCCCCCATGTCCCTCTCAGATGACGTTCTCTGTTACCAGTGATCACTACAGGCTCCCCTATAAGAACAACCTGGCCTGTCTTTGATCTCCCCAGCAATCTCCCAATTTTTTTTTTTTTTTTTGTATATTTGGTTTTTTAGATGGAGTCTCACTCTGTCGCCCAGGCTAGAGTGCAATGGCATAATCTCAGCCTACTCCAACCTCCTCCTCCTGGGTTCAATAATTCTTGTTCCTCACCTCAAGTGATCCACCTGCCTCAGCCTCCCAAAATGGTGGGATTACAGGAGTGAGCCTCCACATCTGGCCTCCTCCAACTCTCTTGGTCATCACCGTCCAAGCTGCTCAGACTGGGCTGGGGGACGGGAGCCATGTCAGTCTCTTGGATCCATGAGACATCTCCCCTCTGAGGCTGTCAGCAGTTCCAGTTGAGACACCTGTCCAGGACCCCAGAGTTAAGTGTCTTGGCTATGCATACACCCTGAGAATTTAGATTCCGATTTAGATTCACCATTGACCAATATCTTTCACTGTGTTATATCTTGGCACATCTCAGCAGTTCCAGGCATCCCCTCAGCAACCACTTAACAATCTCCTCTAATCTCTGCACCCAGACCACTCCCTGCTGTTGCCCTAAATAACCAAAGGCCTCGGTGTTATCTCTCCCCTCCCAGCCCCTCCTCTCGAAATGCTGTTGCATAAAACAGGCAGGTGGCACGGGAGGGCTGCAGACAGCTCGTCTCATCCTGCAGCAGGAGGCCAGGTTGCAGCGGAGGCTCCTTCAGCTTTGAGATGCTCCGGATGACCCTGAGAGATGACAGGAATTAGGGGTGGGGAGGATCACAGAGGAAGCGGAGCCTGGGGTTTTAGGCTTTGCTTGGTTTCCGGGGTTGCACTGCAGCCAGAAGTTGCTGCATGCGTGACTCACACACATGAGGCTGCTGTCGGTCACACCTAGACCTCGTTACATAAACCAGACAGACTCTGGCCAGCATATGGCCGCCTGAGCACTAAGAGTCTCCAGTCTTGCACACCAGGCAGGGCCCCCTGACCTCTCTCCTCTCCAGGGAAGTTATAGCAAAGCCATGGCTGGGGTCCTCATGGGCCTGGAGTAAGACCCCTGGGCTGGGAGATGTCTCAGGTAAACAGCGCTAACTCTGGTGTCTCTGTCTCCAAGGTCGGGTTGCACATGACACTATTGCTTTTGCAGGGTTTATTTTCTTCTGAGAACGTAAGATGGGGCAGGACAGGAGATCTGTTTCTGATTTGTTTTGCTTCTACTTAGTGAACTTAGCAGTTTTTAATCAAACCCTTGTGTTCTGGGATCCCTAAACCCCCAAGAAGAAAGCAATCTCATTTTGTGCTGCGACTATGGCATCCTGGAGATGTAGATTAAGTGGCTCACCTCAGGACCCTTTGGAGCAAAGCCATGTGATGTAGTGCTTGGAGGCATTCTTCTGTAGCCTGGAGTCACCAAATCCCTCTTGAGTTCAAATTCCACCCCTGCCAGATTCAAAGATTCTTCTTATTAGAGTTCCGCCACCCTCTGAATTCTTTACATTGATTCAGACATACAAGTTGTTCAGGTTCAGAAAATGATACCCCCAAATGCAGGCCTTAGTAACAGCCTCAGAAGCAGAAGCTTGTCTTAGAACTTCTCCAGCTCTCCTGTCTCTGAGTCCCATTCTCCTGAGGCACTGTAGGGACGAGAATCCATCTTCCCCAAGGCAGGTCCCAGAAACAAGAACGACTTTTTCCCGAAGCCAGCCATAAAACCTAAAAACAGGACTCTAACTTTCCCTCTATTCTATCTGTACAAAGACTGGCCATGAGGAAATTACCTGACCTCTTCTTGTTTGGGCATCCTAAGAACCCCATTCCAGAGAGGGTCCCGCCTCACACCCAGAAGGAAGGAGTGCTGCTCAGAGAGGCCAAGAAGAATCTAGACACACAGGTCTGGCTGGGTTTCCCCACTCAGACCATTAGCATTGGATCAGGCCCTTTTTGTCCAACCCTATTTCTACACAGCTGTCCAGACTTGGTTGAACTAAAGCATAAAAATGGACCATCTCCCCTTGTATCTGGGGTCTTCATTCTGAATGCTCCTGTGTATACACGTTAAGTACATTTGTTATGTCTTTTCTCCAATTAATCAATCTGCTTCATGTCCATGATTTTTAGCAAATCTTCAGGGGCCATGACCCCACAAAATCAATATAACAAACAACAATTTTGCAAAGCAGAGTGCTGTTGTTGGAATAATAATTACACAATGTCAAGGTCAATGCCCACTGAACATTACCTGCCTCCAGGCAATGGTTGCCACATAGCACAGAAGAGCAATCAGCCCACACCCAAACCTCCACTTCCCATTGAATTATTTACCTCAATCTAAAGAAGAAAATCAGCTCCCAGCAGGCTCTGAGCAGAAAATAAAAAGGAACATACAGAGACTGTCTAAATCCCTGACACCAATTATAGCTATTATCAGCAGAATTTATACACTGCGGAATTGAATGAGAACCAACTGCAATCATTACGGGACGTGCAACCACATTAGTAAATTCAGACAGGCTCTTCTGTTTCATTATTAAATCCAATGTCCTTTGATCTGTGTGTCCAGGAGAAACATCTGCCCTTTAAAGTAATTGTTTTCTTCTTTTTTTTTTTTTTTTTTTTTGGATACAGAATCTCACTATGTTGCCCAAGCTGGAGTGCAATGGCACAATCTCAGCTCTCTTCAACCTCTGCCTCCCTGGTTCAGGTGATTCATGTGCCTCAGCCTCCCAAGTAGCTGGGATTACAGGTGCGCACCACCATGTCCAGCTAATTTTTGAGGTTCCACCATGTTGGCCAGGCTGGTCTTGAATTCCTGGCCTCAAGTGATCCACCTGCCTTGGCCTCCCAATGTGCTGCAATTACAGGTGTAAGCCACCACCTCTGGCTTGTTTTTTATTTCTTTACATAGGATTGTACTGGTTTCCTGTGAAGTGTTCATTTAAACCAATCTTTCTGGGATCAGCTGCTGCAGTTGAAGACAGTGGGTCTTAAACCCATAGAACCCTTCTCACCTTGAGGAAACTCACAGAGGGGAAAGTTCTGAGGTTTTACAAAGCTGGCACAGGGACCCCAAGAAGAACAAATCTTGACTTCCTTTAGGCAAATCCTAAGGTTTCTCTTTGACTCCTGTTCAGCAATTAAAAAATATATATGTGTATATATAGAAAGCATATGATAATTGTTCTTAGGGGTCTGGAATCAGACCCCAGGAGAGGGTTCTTGGATCTTGCACAAGAAAGAATTTGCAGTAAGTCCATAGAGTAAAGTGAAAGCAAGTTTATTAGGAAAGTAAAGGAATAAAGAATGGCTGCTCCCTAGAATACAGCCACTGGTGGCCCATTTGTATGGTTCTTTCTTGAGGATATGCTAAACAAGGAGTGGCTTATTCATGCCTCCTCTTTTTAGACCATATAGGGTAACTTCTGATATTGCCATGGCATTTGTAACTGTCATGGGGCTGGTGGGAAGATACCAGTGAGGACCACCCGAGGTCACTCTCGTCGCCATCTTGGATTTGGTAAAATTTGGCCGACTTCTTTACGGCAAGCTGTTTCATCAGCAAGGTCTTTATGACTTGTGTCTTGTGTCAACCTCCTATCTCATCCTGTGCCTTAGAATGCCTTGACCATCAGGGAATGCAGCCCAGCAGCTCTCGGCCTCATTTTACACAGACCCTACTCAAGCTGGAGTTGCTCTGGTTCAAACACCTCCCACTAACTCAACTTAGGTCCACCGGCCCTGTGCAGTAAAGCCGAACACTGCCATCAGGATTGCAGCGTGAGGAAGTGAGGCGTTTATTCCAAGCTATTTAGAAGGCATCAAGCAACCTCCTTGATGCCTTAAGACCCAACCTCCTGGGTGGCCAGTAGGTGGGGGTTTTCAGTGGCAAGGAGGCAGAGGTTATAGGCAAAGCCATAATACATGCAGGCTATACATTGCTTTGATCTAAAAAGGCGGGATACCTGGAAGCAGGGGCTTAATGTGGATTCAAAGTTTCTCTGATTTGTCATTGGTTAAGGAGGCGAAGTTTGTCTGAGCATTTGGGGTCAGCAGAAATCAATGTTAGTTCTGGCCCATGGGTGTGACTTCCTCCAGCTCTCCACCCTCCATGTCTCTAGGAAGGAATTTACAGCAAATATTGGTAATGAGAATTCAGTTTCTCTTACCTGAGGTCTATAAGCCAGCAGATGGCATTTGTCATTTGGTGGGGGTCTGGGTTCCTGCAAATCAACTCAGGACCATATATTAAGATGTTATTTTGGCTGGGTATGGTGGCTTACACTGGTAATCCCAGCACTTTGGGAGGCCAAAGGGGGTGGATCATCTGAGGTCAGGAGTTTGAGACCAGATGAACATGGTGAAACCCCATCTCTACTAAAAATAAAAAAATTAGGGAGTGGTGGTGCACACCTGTAGTCCCAGCTGCTTGGGAGCCTGAAGCATGAGAATCGCTTGAACCAGGCAGGCAGAGGTTGCAGTGAGCTGAGACTGTGCCACTGCACTGCAACCTGGGTGATAGAGCAAGACTCCATCTCAAAAAAGATGTTATCTTTAGTCTTTACAGGAAACTAAACATCTTGAGGCTCTAACTTCCTTGGCTATTGTTCTACACTACAATCACCTTGCTTATCAAGCCGCTCCATGTACTTCTCAAGGCCAGCCAGGTGCCTGGAATTTCCCTTGAAGGAACTCAAGATTTTCCTTTATTTCCATGCTAGGGAGAGTGCCTGGCAAGCCCCTAAGAGGGGTGTTCTTGCTCCTCTCATTCTCTCCCAGGACGGCATGATTCACAGAGTAAAAAAAATTAAATCATATGACTAGGTTAGGACCGTAGGTTGCAACAGAAAGTGACAAGGAAGGCTGCTGCCCCAGTGGGGAATCTTATTCCCAGGGGGCTTGTTTGCCAAGGGCTGAATTCTACTTTAGCCCCATGGATAAGATGAAATCCATTCTGTTCTCTAATTGGTTAAGAAGTTTATATTTCCAGCAGGACAGGAAATCAAACACAGCTGGAGTCTCCTCCTCCACACCTCAACATGAATATCCAGGGACTCCCTAATGCTCAAGCTCACCGGGGCTGCAGACACCAGAGCTGAGCAGGCCGCCCTGGTGCATGATCTGCTCCTCGGAACCCATGAACCCTCCACGGTCTCAGCATCCAAGCAGCCCAGCCTCTCCCCAGAAGGTCAACCAACTGGCCCGTTCTTGACTTCCCAGTGACCATATTATGCAGTTGCAGATTGAAGCTCTATTACAGCAAACATTAGTAATGAGAATTCAGGCCTCAGTGTATGTCTGTAACACAACAGACAGGGTCTGCAGGGGTCGAAGTATTTTGTCATCAAAGAGGAAGGAATGATCATTCATCATAAAAGGCAAGACATCTTTGGTGCAAGGAAAACTCAAGAAAAATACCGCAGACCATGCAATGAGGCACTGGTCGATGGAGTGTTGTAAACCCGTCTTCCCAGAGTGGCATGCACATGGATCCCTCAGCACATGGGTGACACACAGACTATGCTTCAGCAGGTCTGTCTGGGCCCAAGACACATTGTTTCTCATCAGCTCCCAGGGGATGTCAAGGCTGCAGATCCATGGATCTCACTTTGCAGGACAGAGACTTGGTAATGGCTTCCCAGAGTTGTTACAAAGAAATCCCAAAGACTGGGCCCCTTAAACAACAACCTTGATTCTCACAGTCCTTGAGGCTAGAAGTCTGAGATCAAGCTATGGCCAGGGCTGGTTCCTCCTGAGGCCTCTCTCCTTGGGTTGTAGATGCTGTCTTCTCCCTGTGTCCTCACAGGGTTGTCCCTCTGTGTGTGTCTGTGTCCTCATCTCCTCTTCTTATGAGGTGTCTTAGTCCATTTCAGGCTGCTGTCACAGCATGCCGTAGACTGGGTGGCTTATCAGCAACAGACATTGATTCTCCCACAGTCCTGGAAGCTGGACGTCTGAGATCAGGGTATGGGCAGGGCTGCTTCCTCCTGAGGCCTCTGTCCTGGGCTTGTAGATGCTGTCTTCTCCATGTGTCCCCATGTGGTCATCCCTCTGTGGGTGTGTCTGTTTCCTCATCTGCTCTTCTAATGAGATGTCTTAGTCCATTGCAGGCTGCTATCACAGAATACCATAGGCTGGGTGGCTTATAAACCACAGAGTTTTATTCTTCCACAGTCCTGGAGGCTGGAATTCTGAGATCAAGGCATGGGCAGAGCTGGTTCCTCCTGAGGCCTCTCTTCTTGACTTGTAGATGCCGTCTTCTCCCTGTCTTTACAGGGTCATCCCTCTGTGTGTGTCTGTGTCCTTATCTACTCTTTTTATAAGGACCCCAGTCCTATTGTATCAGGGCACAACCTCCTGAGCTCATTGTACCCTTCTCACCTCTTTAAAGACCCCATCACCAAACACAGTCATGTTCTGAGGTCCTAGGGATTAGGCCTTCAGTATATAAATTTTGGAGGCACAGAATCCAGCCCTTACAGAAATAACTCACTCATTGGAATACAAATATGTTTGTCTGCTGGGGCTGCTGCCATAGCAAAGTCCCACAGACCAGCCTGCTTAAATAGTGGACATTGATTCTCCCACAGATCTGGAGGCTGGAAGTCTGAGATCAAGGTGTGGGCAGGGCTGGTTCCTCCTGAGAACTCTCTCCTTGGCTTGTGGATGCCATCTTCTCCCTGAGTCCTCACAGAGTCATCCCTCTGTGCATGTCTGTGTCCTTATCTCTTCTTTATAAGGTCCACAGTCCTATTGGATCAAGGCCCAACCTAGTGACCTCATTTTACCTGAATCACCTCTTTAAAGATCCCATCTCCAAACCCAGTCAAAATTGGAACTTCCATTTATAAAATTGAGGAGGGTACAATTCGGCTCACAGCAGATTTAAACCATGGGACACGGTCAACTACTACCGCTGGACAGCCTGGTTCAGTGGAGACAGCCAGGGTTTGGGAATCTGGAGAGAGAGTTTCATCTCAGCTACATCACAGGCCTGGCCCATGCCCTCAACAATACTCTTCCTTAATGATTTTTTTTTTTCTGAGATAGAGTCTTTCTCTGTCACCCAGGCTGGAGTGCAGTGGCACAGTCTCAGCTCACTGCAGTGCAATGGTGCAATCTCAGCTCACTGCAATCTCCACCTGCCAGGTTCAAGCAATTCTCTCACCTCAGCCTCCTGAGTAGCTGGGATTACAGGCACACGCCACCAGGCCCAGCTAATATTTTGCATTCTTAGTAGAGATAGGGTTTTGCCACATTGGCCAGGCTGGTCTTGAATTCCTGACCTCAGGTGATCCGCCTGCCTCAGCCTCCCAAAGTGCTGGGAGCCACTGTGCCCGGCCTCTTCCTTAAAGTTAATGTCAGTATCCTTTTCTTCATTGGCAAACTCAGGAGAACCATGATTCTGCTGAACACACAGGGCTGCGGGGAGAGGTGGGTGAGATAGCTTAAGGAAAGAGATTTACAAAACTAGACGTTTTTCAGCATGGAGGAACTGTCATTAAATATATAGAAACCCTGGCCGGGCGCGGTGGCTCACGCCT
Organism: Homo sapiens; assembly: GCF_000001405.40. Classification (NCBI taxonomy): domain Eukaryota; kingdom Metazoa; phylum Chordata; class Mammalia; order Primates; family Hominidae; genus Homo; species Homo sapiens. Next base: position 12,497,735 of record NC_000024.10, read on the forward strand.
GTAATCCCAGCACTTTGGGAGGCCGAGGCGGGTGGATCATGAGGTCAGGAGATCGAGACCATCCTGGCTAACAAGGTGAAACCCCGTCTCTACTAAAAATACAAAAAAAAATTGGCCGGGCGCGGTGGCGGGCGCCTGTAGTCCCAGCTACTCGGGAGGCTGAGGCAGGAGAATGGCGTGAACCCGGGAAGCGGAGCTTGCAGTGAGCCGAGATTGCGCCACTGCAGTCCGCAGTCCCGCCTGGGCGACAGAGCGAGACTCCGTCTCAAAAAAAAAAAAAAAAAAAAAAAAATATATATATATATATATATATAGAAACCCACCCAGCTGTTAAGTGATGATTCCGGAAGTCATGACATTCCTGTGCCCTGAATGAAAAAGAAAGGCTTCTTGGGAAGATCTGTGGAGCGCCAGGTTTACACAAGAATTGTTCCATCCACCTTGTGACATCTGCCTCAATGCCTCTCAGATCCTAAAGAGTGTGAGACTCAGACCAGAATCCAGCCACGTGCAGATTCTAGATCAGCAGGTCTGTGTGGGGCTATAATTACGTTTTATTGTAATTAAAATAAAATAAGAAAATATTTTTTAGGAAAACATCAGGAGGCATCCATTTGGGTTTAAGGAAATTGTCTTAGGTTGAAAAGTACTTTCCTCCTTCCTTCCCTCCTTCCTTCCTCCCTCCTTCCTCTTTCTCTCTTGCCTTCCTTCCTTCCCTCCATCTTTCTTTCTTCTGCTTCTGCTTATTCCTCTTTCTCTTCCTCTTCTTCCTTATCCCATTCCTCTTCCACTTCCTCCTTCCTCCTCCCTCTCTTCCCTCTTCCTCCTCTTCCTCCCTGCCGCTCCTGCTGCTGCTTCTTCTTCCTCTCCTCCTCTCCCTCCTCCTCCTTCTTCTTATTCTTCCCCTTGTTCTTCTTACTCCTCCCCTCCTCCTCCCCTCCTCCTCCTGCTGCTGCTTCTTCTTCCTCTCCCCTTCCCCCTCCTTCTCCTCTTTCCTCCTCTTCCCCTTCTCCTCCCCTCCTCCTTCCCCCTCCTCCCCCCCTTCCCCCCCTTCCTCCTACTTCTTCGTCATCTTATTCCTCCTCCTCCTTCCCCTCCCCCTTCTCCTCCTCCTCCTCCTGTCCCTCTTCCTCCTCCCCCACCTCCTCCTCCTCCCCCACCTCCTCCTCCTCCTTTTCCTTCTCCTTCTGACAAGGCCCCGCTCTATTGTCCTGGCTGCAGTGCAGTGGTGCAATCATAGCTCACTGCAGCCTTAACTCCTGGGCCTCCCAAGTAAGGAAAACAAACATGTTTTAGATAGATAGGTCAATAGATAGGTAGATGGGATAGATGATAGATGCATAGATAGATACATACATACATACATACATACATACATACATACATACATAGATACATAGATTAGATACATAGATATTGAAGATAGATATTGGAGATAGACAAAGATAGATGAACAGGTAGATAATAGAGAGATAGATAAACAGATAGATGGATAGATGATAAATAAATAGGTAGACTTTTGAGATAGATGAAAGACAGAGATATAGGTAGATATGGAGTTAGATATAAATGTATCTTATTGGTTCTATTTCTTTGGAGAACCTTGACTCATATACATATTAACAAACATCAAGAAGAAGAAAATTCTAAAAATCACCCCGCTCCCCTATCATGCAGAAAGCAGCATGTGCTGTTTTTTGGGAGATAGATTTGCAAACTTTTTTTTTAGTTTTTTCTACATAATTTTGCCACATAAAAATACGAACATTTTTGTGGATGAGATGACTCCTCTTGGGTTTTTAAACATCTGAAGCACTCCCAGAGGTTGGGATTCACAGACTACAGCAGAGTTTCCCAGCCTCAGCACCGTGGCTGGACACATCGCTCACAGGTTTAGGTGCCTCTGGCCCCTGATCCATCGGGGGAATCCCCAGGAGCTTAGCCATGTCTGGCAGAGCCCCACCTGCAGGCAGAACCCCACTTTTCTACCCCCTGTGTGCCAATGAGAAAGAGGAAAATGGCTGGAATGAGGGGGGCCCTCACAGGAAGGGTCAATTGTTATCCAAGAAAGGGGAGACATTTCTTGGACTCCGTGCTTGTCTGGTAATTGGCTCCAATATTTGCCAGATGTCTTCACACTCAGGTGCCAAACAGCCATAGACTTTTTCTGCACAGCCCCTTCCTACTCCAACAAGGAAACTATGGAATGCTTAGCTTCTGGGTTATATGTGCCATGGCTCTATGCCCTATGGGAAAAAGATCCTACAAGTGCATTCTAAAAGATCCATTTAGAAATGCCCAGACAACTATACCGTGCCTCCTATACTGTACAGGACAACTATACCTCCAGACAACTATACCTCCAGACAACTATACCTCCTACAGTGTACAGGAGCATGACATTTCCAATCTGTCCCCTTTCGCAGGGTTAGAAGTTACAACTAACAGCAGGTTCTCCGCTACAGTACTAATGACACTTGGGGCTGCATAACTCTCTGTCATGGGTGCTGTCCTGTGCACTGTAAGGTGTTGAACAACATGTCTTATCTCCACCCACCAGATGCGAGAACACCCATCCCAGTGCAACTGCCAAAATTGTTTCCAGACATTGCCAAGTGTTACTTGAGGAACACAATTATCCCTGAGTAGCAGAAGAATGTCATAGATAGATGATGGACTGCTAGATAAATAGATAGATTGATAGAGGGAGGGATAGATAGATAGATAGATAGATAGATAGATAGATAGACAGACAGACAGATACATAGATAATACAGATGAGAGTTGGATACAGAAGTAGGTATAATGATAGATAGATAGATAGATAGATAGATAGATAGATAGATAGATAGATAGACAGACAGACAGACAGACAGACACACACATAGATAATACAGATGAGAGTTGGATACAGAAGTAGGTATAATGATAGATAGATAGATAGATAGATAGATAGATAGATAGATAGATAGATAGATGATAGAAGACAGAAAATCATTGACAGATTAGGTAGATGATAGGTGTATATAATAGAGACAGATAGGTCGATGGATAATGGTAGATGATAGATAGATCTAGAGATAGGCAGACAGACAGACAGGATCTCTCATGCTAATGCAAGATTCCTCAGCCTCAGTCCTACTGACATATGAGGTTGGATCACTCTTTTCTGTGGGGCGTCCTGTGCACTGCAGGGTGTTGACCAGCATCCCTGGGCTCCACCCACTAGATGCCAGGAGCATCCCTGCTATCAGTGTGGCAACTCAAAGCCTCAAGATATCAACAAGTGTCCCTGTGGATAAACATGATCCCTGGTTGAGAATGGCTGGATGGCAGCATCTGTATCTGGGGGTGTCACCTTGGGCCTGCTTAGAGTGAATGACACATCACCGAATTGGAGAGCACAGAGCTGCCTCCCCACTGTGGCAGTGATCCATGAGACTCCACCCAAAGGTAACCACATGGTTGCACACAGAGTCATCATCTCTTAAAAGAAGCACATAGCTCCGCTTGGGCATCACCTGGGGTGCTTCTTAAAATGCAGGTCTCCCAGCTCCCAAATGCCTGACCCACACCTGCTGAATAAAGACCTCAGTGGGTGGGGACTGGGTGGCGCTTTTAATACCTCCTCCCTTCAAGGTGATGACCTGCACATCAAAGACAGAGAATCACTGCACGAAATGGCTACATGCTCGAGGTGACAATGGCAGGGAAATGACCCATTTGTGGTTCCCTTTCCACACCTACAAATTTGCTAGATCCTTTGCAGGGAAGGAGGGGGCAGGGAGAGAGGGGACACCAGAATAGAAACAAGTCAAGAAAAATATAACTGAGACGTAGGATGAGGCTGGCGTGGTTTGGGGTTCTGTACGCTGCCATGGTATGGCTTCTCACCTTAGGCGATCATCATAACGTTTTTTTCCTTTTTTTTTTTTTTTTTTTTTTTTTTGAGATGGAGTCTTACTCTGCCACCCAGGCTGGAGTGCAGTGGTATGATCTCAGCTGATTGCAACCTCCGCCTCCTGGGTTCAAGCGATTCTCCTGTCTCAGCCTCCTGAATAGCTGGGATTACAGACACCCCCCACCATGCCTGGCTAATTTTTGTATTTTTAGTAGAAACAGCGTTCTGCCATGTTGGCCAGGCTGGTCTCAAACTCCTGACCTCAAGTGATCCGCCCAACTCGGCCTCCCAAACTGCTGGGATTACAAACATGAGCCACTGTGCCCGGCCCACAACTTCCCCATATCCCAATTTTTAGAAGTAAACTAAACAGCCTGTGACAACCTAATGCAGCAAGTAATGAAAAATACTTGGCACAATCCTCACTTACCTTTACTCAACAGGAAGTACTCAGAAATATGATGTGCTACTGTTCAGAGGTCTGAGTGATCTTTTTCATAAGTCTTTTCTAGTCTTTACATAGAAACACAGCTCTATACAAATGCATACACATTTTAAGTCATGTTGATAAGGACAGGAGGCAGGAAGATACTAGTTAGAAGAGGGCAGTTCCCCAGCAAAGGCCCCGCCCTCAAGCCTGGAACCTATAGTCCTAAATGGAAACAGGCATTCCTATTTTTGTGCCCAAATGTTGCCTTTTGACCCACCATGCCTCCCTGTCCTGTACCCATATAAACCCCAAACCCCAGACCCCATGTGAAAACAGACAGATGAGCAGAAAAGGCGAGGAACCAAAGAGCAGCACAGCAGAGAAGGAGAGAAGAGAAGGAACAGCTGAACACTGAGAGGTGTTCAGCTGGGGTGGTTGAAGAAGAGATTAGCTGCAGAACAACTACACTCCAGGGGAAGATCATCTTCCCACTCCATCCCCTTTCCAGCTCCCCAACCATCCCACTGAGAGTCACCTCTACCTGGCAACAAAGTCTTCTGCATTTACCATCCTTCAGCTTGTTCATGTGATCTGATTCTTCCTGGATGCCGGACGAGAACCCAGGTACCAAGACGGCACTGAGCTGGCTAACACTTAAGCCACGTGCGGATGGCAGAGCTAAAAGAGCACCGTAACACACCCACTGGGGCTTCGGGGGTCACAGGCACCCACCCCTAGATGTTACCGTGGGGCCCAGAGCTCAAAAACACTCATGCTAGCTGCTGCACCTGCCCATCTGCAAGTTCTGCGTCCCATAAGAGGTTTCAGTATGTGGCGGTCAAAGAGATGAAGCACACCCCTGTCGCACATTCTGTGAGGGGGGTCAGGGAACTCTCAGGTTTTAAATCTGATAAGGGAATAATGTACAATAGACTTGGAAGAGACTGTCTTAGCTGGTGTATATCCTGGACATTATCCTTTTCTTTTAATTTATTTTTAATTGATACATAACAGATGTACATAGCTTCAGGATATATGTAAAAATTTACTACATTTATATAATTTGTAAAGATCAAATCAGCCTACTTGGGATATCCATCCACCTTAAATATTTGTCTTTCCTTCATATTAGAACCATTCTGACTCTTCTATTTTGAAATCTACAATAGATTATTGTAAACTAAAGTCACCCTACTGATTATGTAAACACTAGTGCTTATTTCTTCTATCGAACTCTGTCATTTTCTTTTTTTTCCCTCAATAAATGACATTTCATACACTGCCCTTTGGGGTTTCCACTTCTGGTTCTCAGCTTCTTCTCAGCTGTTAGAAGACCTGATTTTGTCTCGTGCTCCTTCATGCCCCTCTGGATTGGATGGCGAATACTAATTAAATACAGTGGAAATGTAGGGCTGCTAAAATGTCAACCTCTATTAGGAATATGGCCGTCTTGCTATTATCTTCTTTTGTATTGATAATTTAGTAATCATCATAATGATTTACAGCATATTAACGATTAACAATATTCTGTCTTCTTTATTTTATTTTAAGTTCCGGGATACGTGTGCAGGACGTGCAGGTTTGTTACATAGGTAAACATGTGCCATGGTGGTTTGCTGCACCTATCAACCCGTCACAGAGGCATTAAGCCCCACATGCATTAGCTATTGATCCTGAACAATAATCTGTTTTCTTAAGTACTTCGTAGCAATCATCGCACCAGCCTTGCAGAATGTTTTTGGGATCTTGGGAATGTGCTCCATTTCCAGCTGGTGATGGCTGGGGATGAAACAGGGTCGTCTGTGCATTTAACTAATTTTTACCCAGGACATACCCAGCTGCTGCATGTACATCATCTTATTTACACAGAAGGGCCCTGATCCAGACCTCACTTTCTTTCCAGGCCCTCCTGTAACCTCCCTAAGGGGCGCTACTTGTGTCAGAGGCACTGGAACCAGAGCGACTCCATCTTGAATAGGGGCTGGGCAATAGAAGGCTGAAACCTACTGGGCTGCATTCCCAGATGATTAAGGCATTCTGAGTCACAGGATGAGACTGAAGGTCTGCACAAGATACAGGTCATAAAGACCTAGCTGATACAACAGGATGTAGTAAAGAAACCGGCCAGAACCCACCAAAACCCAGATGGTGATGAGAGTGGCCTCTGGTTGTCCTCAGTGTTACCCTCCCACCAGCACCATGACAATTACAAATGCCACGGCAATGTCAGGAATTCTGCATGGTCTAAAAAGGGGAGGCATGAATAATCGAAGCCTTGCTTAGCATATCACTAAGAAATAACCATAAAAATGGGCAAGCAGTAGCTCTAAGAGCTGCTCTGCGGAGTAGCCATTCTTTTATTCCTTTACTTTCCAAATAAACTTGTTTTCAGTTTACAGACTAGCCCTGAATTCTTTATGGAGCGAGATCCAAGAACCCTGTCTTGGCGTCTGGATCTGGACCCCTTTCCTGTAACACTTGGAGGAGGGATGATTCTGATTTTCAGAAGACAAGGCTTGGGATAGAGCAGGATGCTCACTGGAGTCTTCCCAGACAGAGCTACAGGACAGCTCAGATTCCGCTGCCGGCTGCCCCCGTCCAAATCCTCAGTGCCTCAGTTTACCCATATCTGTGATGGTTAATACTGAATGTCAACTCGATTGGATTGAAGGATACAAAGTATTGATCCTGGGTGTGTCTGTGAGGGTGTTGCCAAAGGAGATTAACATTTGAGTCAGTGGACTGGAAGGGGCAGACCCACCCTCAATCTGGGTGGGCACCACCTAATCAGCTGCCACTGTGGCTAGAATATAAGCAGGCAGAAAAATGTGAAAAGAGACACTGGCCTAGTCTTCTGGCCTATATCTTTCTCCCATGGTGGATGCTGGAACATCAGACTCCAAGTTCTTCAGTTTTGGAACCTGGACTGGCTCTCCTTGCTCCTCAGCCTGCAGACGGCCTGTTGTGGGACCTTGTGATCATGTGAGTTAATACTTAATAAACTCCTCTCTATATATATATTTCTATTGCATTAGTTCTGTCCCTCTAGAGAACCCTGACTAATACACCATCTGTAAAATGACATCAGGCACGACACTCCCGTCATAGGGTTGAGGGACAATCAACTAAGTTAATCCATGCCTAGTGCATAGGAAGTGCTGCTGTCATTCAAAGAATTTAGCGCAGGACAGGGTGTGGTGGCTGATGCCTGTAATCTCAAGATTTGGGGAGGCCAAAGCAGGTGGATCGTTTGAGCTAAGATGTTCAAGTCCAGCCTGGACAACATAGTGAGATCCCGTCTCTACAAAAATTTTAAAAACTAGTCAGGCATAGCGGCAAATGCCTGTAGTCCCAGCTACTCTGGAGGCTGAGGTGGGAGGTTTGTTCGAACCCCTGGGGTGAAGACTGCAGTGAGCTATGATGGAAACACTGCACTCCAGTCTAGGTGACACAGTGGGCCCCTCCCTCAAAAAAATTAAAACACATTAAAAAAAAGAAAACATTTTATGTCATAAGTGCATTTAATACAACTACCCTACCAAATGCCATAGCTTAGCCTTACCTGCCTTCAAAGTGGTCAGAACACCAGCCAACGGATGGACAAATCATCTAGCACACAGTCAACTTTATAATGAGGTGTTGCATACCTCACATAATTTGTTGAATATTGTACTGAAAGTGAAAAACAGAATGGCTGTATGGGGCCGGGCATGGTATCTCACATTTATAATCCCAGCACTTTGGGAGGCCGGTGGATCACCAGAGGTCAAGATTCAAGACCAGCCTGGCCAACATGGTGAAACCCAGTCTCTACTAAAAATAGAAAAATTAGCTGGGTGTGGTGGTGGGCGCCTATGATCCCAGCTACTTGAGATGCTGAGGCAGGAGAATTGCTTGAACATAGGAGGTGGAGGTTGCAGTGAGCTGAGATTGTGCCACTGCACTCTAGCCTGGGCAACAGAATGAAACGACACGACACCTCAAAGAAAAAAAAGAAAAGTTGTATGGGTACTCAAAGTACAGTTTTAGTTTGTACTGAATGCATACCAATTTTACACCATTGTAAAGTTGAAAAATCTTAAATTGAACCATCATGTCAAACCATGGTAAGTTGGGAACTGTCTGTATCCGCACTTTGTAGAAGTTGATTTGCCCAAGGGCATATGGTTAACCTTTGGCTCTTACTGTGAATGATACAAACTCCTGGAAGTACTTTTCTGGGGAGGTGGGTTTGCTGTTGAACATCTCCCTGTAAACAGAAGCTAATGAATGCACGGCCGCATTGTCCACTTACTAGGTGAGATCTGAAGACAGCACAGAATAATAAAAAATTCTCACTGCAGATCCTAGACTATGTCCACCAGGATCTATCCATCCCGACACCGCCTCCGCCCATAAACAACCAACTCCAATCTTAATGACGTCCATGTCTTTAAATAGGATAAACAGGAAATGCTGCCACAGGGACATCTGAATGATGTGTTTTAACTCCTAACAGAAATACTTCTCTCTCTTAAGATGCGCCCAGGCGTTCCCTTCTCTGAAATCGCCACATTAAAATGACCAAAGAAACTTACTCAACCTTTGTTCAAATCCTATACTTTATGAGTTCGTTGGAGTTTCTTAAAGAGGTCCTCGCACGGAACTAAAAAATCTAATCTTGGAGTCTGGGACAGCCAGTCTGCAAGTTTATATTGAAGTTTTTGATGTGAACAATTCAGGTGGTTTTAATTTGCAAGAATGAATGACAGTGTTTAGGAAAAGGTTTAAAAATCTGAACAAATGCAACCCTTCCGGCAAACGAATCTCTGGTAATCTGCCCCACGGGATGAAGTAGTTTCAACTCTACTTTTACTGTATGGAAATGGTCAGAACTAATTTTTAAAATCAGAAAGAAATGACTGACATTCCCCACACACCCAGTCATGCTTGAATCATGGAGTTAAATAGGTCATTTTTTAAACGCTTGGGACACATGGATCAAAACAGGACAATATGGCGAATATCTAGATGGTATCAGCTAACATCCTGCCCTTCTGGATCTAATTCCCAGATTCCAAATGGGAGCAGCCCGTCTTCTCCCTCCCCTCTCAGCCACCCATCGCTCTTAGTCTCCTTTCTAATCCCATTGGGCAAATTATCCCCATTCACTTCATAGCAACTCCTTTGGAAAGAGTTTCTTAAAGCAAGAATAGAAAAATCCACGCCCAGGCAGATCTCCCTCAAAGCAAAATGCCTCTTACCTCGGGCGTGCATTAGAAAACACAGGAACGCAAGACAGGGAAGTCCCCACCAGCTCTCCATGGTTTGCTTCAGGATGCAAGAACCTCAGTGGACTCCCCAGCCAAGGGGATTGTGAGATCCAGCCTCTCCACCCTCCTGTTGTTGACTTCTGGTCTCCCAGCTTGGAAGGAAGGGAGGCGATGTCTTCAAGTGGAAAATATGAGCCGAACTGCCAGAAACAAATGGGCTCCAAGCTCAGATCCCAAACTCCACAGCTGAAAACCTGTGGGACCAGTGTAGGCACACTCAGTCGTGTGTCGGAGCCAGTCTCCCCGGGCTGCCCCAACCAATCTGCAGCAGCGCAGAGGATGGGGAAACTGGGGTGGTTCCCAAGCACCAATGGGCATCTCAGGCTTCTGGAAGCCGGCACACTTGCTGGGCAACTCTGCTCGCTGCGGGTGTGGGAGCTGTAGCAAGTTCAAAGTCACCAACCCAGAAATCAGAGAAGACACTGGCCGCCTGTAATCTTCCTCCTGCAGGACGTGATTGTACAGTGATACCCAGTGTGGGGTTAATGTACACATCAGTGCAAAGACCTCAGTTGAAGTCTTGGCTTTTATACCTAACAAACTCAGTGACTTCCAAGAGGCATTTTTTATCCTCAGCCTTCAGTTGTCTTTGTAGGTGGCAGAACTAATATTTCAGCAGAGACGGTTGTTCAGGAAAAGCAGATGACATGTGGCTTTTTGTGTCTTTCACTTACGCTGCATTGGAGATGATTGAAAGTCCCTGATTTGTAAAATTCCAGGCTTTTGCTTTCTGAGTGTGCAGTATCAAATTAGTTGATGCATTCATTCAACAAACATCCAATGCATACCACTCTTTTTTTGTAATTTTCTTTTTTATTATTGTTATACTTTAAGTTCTGGGGTACATGTGCAGAACGTGCAGTTTTGTTACATAGGTATACACATGCCATGGTGGTTTGCTGCACCCATCAACCCATCACCTACATTAGATATTTCTCCTAATGCTATCCCACCCACAGCTCCCCACCCCCTCAAAGGCCCTGGTGTGTGATGTTCCCCTCCCTGTGTCCATGTGTTCTCATTGTTCAACTCCCACTTAGGAGTGAGAACATGCAGTGTTTGGTTTTCTGTTCCTGTGATAGTTTGCTGAGAATGATGGTTTCCAGCCTCATCCATGTCCCTACAAAGGACATGAACTCATCCTTTTTTTATAGCTGCATAGTATTCCATGGTGTATACGTGCCACATTTTCTTTATGCAGTCTATCATTGATGGACACTTGGGTTGGTTCCAAGTCTTTGCTATATACCCAGTACCGGGATTGCTGGGTCAACAGGTATTTCTAGTTCTAGGTCCTTGAGGAATCACCACACTGTCTTCCACAATGGTTGAACTAATTTAAACTCCCACCAACAGTGTAGAAGTGTTCCTATTTCTCCACATCCTCGCCAGCATGTGTTGTTTCCCGACCTTTTAACGACCACCATTCTAACTGGCATGAGATGGTATCTCATTGTGGTTTTGATTTACATTTCTCTAATGACCAGTGATCATAAGCATTTTTCCATGTTTGTGGCTGCATAAATGTCTTCTTTTGAGAAGTATCTGTTCATATCCTTTGCCCCTTTTTTGATGGGGTTCTTTCTTTCTTGTAAATTTGTTTGAGTTCTTTGTAGATTCTAGATATTAGCCCTTTGTCAGATGAACAGATGGCAAAAATTTTCTCCCATTCGGTAGGTTGCCTGTTCACTCTAATGATAGTTTCTTTTGCTGTGCAGAAGCTCTTTAGTTTAAATAGATCCCATTTGTCAATTTTGGCTTTTGTTGCCATTGCTTTTGGTGTTTTAGATATGATGTCTTTGCCCATGCCTATGTCCTGAATGATATTGCCTAGATTTTTTTTCTAGGATTGTTATGGTTTTAGGTCTTATGTTTAAGTCTTTAATCCATCTCGAGTTGATTTTTGTATAAGGTGCACGGAAGCAGTTCAGTTTCAGTTTTCTGCATGTGGCTAGCCAGTTTTCCCAACACCATTTATTAAATTGGGAATCTTTTCCCCATTGCTTGTTTGTGTCAGGTTTGTCAAAGATCACATGGTTGTATATTTTTCCCCCCAAACTTTGTATATTGAAGCGCTACCCTTCAGTACTTTAGAATGTGACTTTCTTTGGAAATAAGATCATTTGCATATGGACGCAAAAGGAAAGGCATGAAATCGATTCTACCTCACAGCCTCAGAAGAAATTAGCCCTGCTGGCTGGGTACGGTGGCTAACATCTGTAATCCCAGCACTTTGCGAGTCCGAGGCAGGCAGATCACTTCAGATCAGGAGTTCAAGAGCAGCCTGGTCAACATGGTGAAACCCCATTTCTACCAAAAATACAAAAATTAGCATAGTGTGGTGGTGCATCCCTGTAATCCCAGCTACTTGGGAGCCTGAGGAAGGAGAATTGCTTGAACCCAGAAGGCAGAGGTTTCAGTGAGCTGAGATTGCACCGCTGCACTCCAGACTTGGCAACGGAAACAAAGTGAGACTCCGTCTCAAAGAAAAGAACAGAGAGAGAGAGAGAGAGGGATATCAGCCCTGTCTGCCCCTTGATTTCAGACCTCCGTGCTCCAGAACTGTGACAGCTTAACTGTCTGTTTTGTAAGCCCCCTCCCCACTCAAGCATGTTTTCGTGACAGACCCAGGAAGCTAATATAGGAAACAACTGCTAATGAGATTTCTATTTCGGGCAGTGAAAATATCTTGGAACTAGTTAGAAGTGGTGGCCACACAACACTGTGAAAGCAGCAAGTACCCTGAATTGTTCACTTTAAAATGGTGAATTCTCCTGTCATCCTGGCACTTTGGGAGGCTGAGGCAGGTGGATCACCTGAGGTCAGGAGTTCGAGACCAGCCTGGCCAACACTGTGAAACCCGTCTTCACTAAAAATACAAACATTAGCCGAGTGTGGTGGCACATGCCTGTAATCCCAACTGCTTGGCAGGCTGAGGCATGAGAATCGCTTCAATCCGGGAAGCAGAGGTTAAAATGAAATGACAGCACGCCACTGCACTCCAGCCTGGGTGACAAAGAAAGACTCTATCTCAAAAAAAAAATCTTAATTCTAAGACTTGTGAATTTCACCTTAATAAAAAAAAAGTTTCCCAAAAAGTAGTGAGGAATTAGATTAAATGGTTAAATTCGGGAAAGCCTCTCAGATGAAATGAAGATGCAAAATAATTGCTACGATTTCCACCATGCCTAACATGTGCCAGTGTTGTAAGTATTTTACATGCTTCTTGAGGCAAGAGTAGATAAGCTTTCTGTAGAAGGTCAGGTAGTAAAGGCATTTCTCTTTGCAAACTGTATGGATTCTGCTGCAATATGTAACCAATATCTGTACAACTGGACTTTATTTATGGACATAAAAATTTGAGTGTCACATAATTTTCATGTATCATAAAATATTGTTGTTCTTTCATGTTTTAAAAATTATTCAGACATATAAAAACCATTTTTGGCTGGGTGCCGTACCTCATGTCTGTAATTCCAGCACCTTGAGAGGCAGAGACAGGCGGATCACTTGAGGCCAGGAGTTCGAGACCAACCTGGCCAACATGGTGAAACTCTGTCTCTACTGAAAATACAAAATGTAGCCGGGCGTAGTGGTGCATGCCTGTAGTCCCAGCTGCTCAGGTGGCTGAGGCAGGAGAATCGCTTGAACCCAGGGGCGGAGGTTGCAGTGAGCCGAGATCATGCCACTGGACTCCAGCCTGGGCGACGGAGTAAGACGCCATCTCAAAACAACAATAACGACAATAATACAAAAAAATTCTTACCTCGAAAGCTGTACAAAAACACACCGTGGGCAGATTTGGCTGCCGGGTTCTAGTTTGCCGACATCAAAGCTGTGTGTTGCGGGAGTCCTGAGAAACCCAGTTTTATCACCTCTGCTTCACTAAAGTATGGTCAGGGCAGGCCGTGTGCCCAGCGGTAATACACGCAGGCTCCAGATCAGAGCACGTTAGGGGAAAAGCACTCTACTTTACCGCTCGAAGCCTCAGCTGATCAAATGCTGGGAGCTCACAGACACGGCAGAATTTACAAAGCCGACTTTAATTTTCACATCCTCGATAACCTTAAAAAGCGTGAATGCATCTCCTTTTCAATGTTCGTGGGATGCTCCTGAAAATTCACAACTGCACTACAAAGAAAGCTTTAGCAAACTGTTTTTTTAAAGTAGAAACAAGACAGAAGACATTCTGTTGCTGTAAAATTGGAAATAAGAATATTCTAGGCCACGCATGATGGCTCACACCGGCGATCCCAGCACTTTAGGAGGCCGAGGCGGATGGATCACCTGAGGTCAGGAGTTTGAGACCAGCCTGGCCAACATGGTGAAACCACATTTCTACTACAAATACAAAAATTAGCTGGGTGTGGTGGCATGTGCCTGTAATCCCAGCTACTTGGGAGGCTGAGGCAGGAGAATCACTTGAACCGGAAAGGTGGAGATTGTAGTGAGCTTAGATCAGGCCACTGCACTCCAGCCTGGGGGACAGAGTAAGACTCTGTCTCAAAAACAAAATAAAAAGTAATAAAAAATAAAAGAATCAAGATATTCTTATTCTGTGTCACAGTAACTTCCTGACTTTGTGATTCACCCTGGCACACATACAGACATGGATACAACAGGTTTTTAGATATAAAATCATGAAAAAAATCGATCTGTTTCTTTCTCAGGAGCATTTGTGAGGAATGGGCATTAGGTACAAAGGTGCGTGCATGTTTCATTGTTTATGGACAATGCCTGTGATGGTTCATACTGACTGTCAACCTGATTGGACTGAGGGATACAAAGTATTGATTCTAGGTGTGTCTCTGAGAATCTTGCCAAAGGAGATTACCATTTGAGTCAGTGGGCTGGGAAAGGCAGACCCACCTTTAATCTGGGTGGGCACCATTTCATCAGCTGCATCATGGCTGGAATATCAGTGAGGAGAAAAATGTGAAAAGAGACACTAACCTAGCCTCCCAACAGACATCTCTCTCCTGTGCTGGATGCTTCCTGCCCTGGAACATCAGACTCCAAGTTCTTCAATTTTGGGACTGGGATTGAGTCTCTTTGCTCCTCAGCCTGCAGAATATACACACACACACACACACACACACACACACACACACACACATATATATGTATATATAAAATATAATATATTATATAATATAATGTATATTATATATTATATTATAATATATATTACATAATATACAATGTATAATATATTTATATATTATATAATACTACATAATATGTTATAATACATGATATACTATATTATACATTATATATTATATTATATAATTATTATATATTATATAATAAATAAGATATTATATATTATATTACATATAATACAATATATTATATAACATATATAATATATAATATACAATACTATATATAAAATATCTTATATATTATACATATTTATATATAAAATAATAATATATACATTATATATTATAATATATAATTATATATAAATATATAAATATATAATTATGTATAAATTATATAACATATAATTAATATATATTATAATAATATATATAAATTATATTATATATTATATTATATATTTAATATTTAATATATATAAATTTATATATATTATTTTTATATATGATATATAATATATAAATATATTTATAAAGAAATATATATTTATAAATAAATATCTATATGTATGAAGAAACATATATTTATAAGTAAATATCTATATGTATAAATAAATATATCTATATTTATAAATAAATATCTATATGTATAAATAAATATATATATTTATATATAAATAAATATTTAAATATATTTATACATATATTCATATATTTATATATATATTTATAAATAAATATATATATAAATAAATATATACTTATAAATAAATATATAAATAAATATATAAAATATATATAAAAATAAATATATTTATAAAAATATATATAAATATATATTTATAATAATATGTATTTATAAATAAATATATATATTTATAAATATATATTTATAAATATATATGTATAAATAAATAACTATATATTTATATATATATTTATAAATACATATATATTTATAAATATATATATAAATATATATATTTAGAGTATACATACTCTAAATATATATTTATATATATATTTATAAATATATATATTTTTTTATTATATATATATTTTATATATTTTTTATATATATAAATTATATATATAATTAATATATATATAAATTATATAAATATATTTATAAATATATAAAAATTAGTATATATAAAAATTAATAAATATATTTTTATTTATGTATAAATAAGTATATAAAAATAATAAATACAATATATAAATATAAATATAATGTATTATATATAATATATATCATATATTAAATATAATTAATATATTATTATATATGATTTAATAATCAATATATAATATTCTATATTAATATAATAATCAATATATTATTACATATAATATAATATGGTATAATAATATATATCATGTATTATATATAAAATAATATATTATTTGTATATATAAATATATATTTATATATAATATTATATATAAAATAATATATTATTTGTATATATAAATATATATTTATATATAATATTATATATATAATAATATAATATATAAAAATATATAATATATAAATATATAATAAATAATAATATGATAATATATATTATATAATAGGTTAATATATTATATATTAATATATAATATATTCAATATTATATATACCCGTGTATTATATAATATGTTATATATTATATAATATCTTATATATTATATAATATACATTATATATATTATATATTATATCATATATTATTATATAAAAAAAGTAATATTACATAATATATAATATAATATATAATTTAATAATTAATATATGCTCTTATATTAATATATATTATATATTATATAGTGTATATATTATATATATAATATATTATATGTCTGTTTGACATGAATCCTGCTTGTCTGGGAACTTAGAATACATATTCTGCAGGCTGAGGAGCAAGGAGCGCCAGTCCCAACCCACATAATATTCCATTAGTTTTGTCCCTCTAGAGAACCTTGACTAATATATTGCCAAATCATTCCCACGGAGGTTGTGCAAATTCACAGCAGTAAAATTGAAAATGGATAATGAAACCAGGAAAGCAAACAATGCAACAGTATTACCCGGATGTTTTAAAAAACTTTTAATGTTGGGTTGACAGGAAACAAAAACTGAAAATGCTAAATACTAGAAAATGACCATGATATAAACTCCCCATGAAAGACCCGTAAAGCTTGCTTTTAGCAGTGCACAGATGAAAAGTTAGAACCTCACATGTTTATAACATTAAACAAGAAAGAAAGAAAATAAATGGCATGAACATTCAACTCAAGAAGTCATGCCTGTGGGGAGAGTGAGTATCACGTTAAACCTCAGAAAAGCAGGAGGAGGGAATTAATGAATTAAAAATTGAGACATTATTTGTTAAATAATTTAAACATTATATGAGAAAACTAAAATTGACAAAGATAAATTAAAATAATGATGGCACTAAACAAGAAGAATGCGAGCTTCTCCATACACTTGGAGGATGCACAAGAATTATAAACAACTACTTTGCTCTAATCTGCACTGTGATATTGGAAAACTTAAGTAAATATGGATGACTTTCCAATGAAGAAGTAGAAATACAGAAAGTTTTTTAAAAAATTCATTTCCCAGCCGGGTACAGTGGCTCATGCCTGTAATCCCAGCACTTTGGGAGGCCAAGGCGGGCAGATCACTGGAGGTCAGGAGTTCGAGACAAAGCTGGCCAACATGGTGGCCCATCTCTACTAAAAATACAAAAATTAGCTGGGCGTGGTGGTGTATGCCCGTAATCCCAGCTACTTGGGAGGCTGAGGCAGGAGAATCACTTGAACTTGGGAGGTGGAGGTTGTAGTGAGCCAAGATTGCACCACTGGACCCAGCCTGGGTAACAGAGTGAGACTCCATCTCTAAATAAGCAAACAAACAAACAAACAAATAATTATCTCTCCATCGGAGAGAAACAAAAACCTTTTGCCCCTTCTAAAACACACACACACACACACACACACACACACACCCCATGCCTAGAAAAGTTTAGCCAATCAGATTTTCCACAATAGAAAGAAGAAAATCTACCAAAATATATGTATGAAGAAAGTACAATATTGAAATTTATTATGTGCAAACACATAACATACATGAATTTGACTTTCGAATATTGACACAATAATCCTAAAGAAAATAACAAAACTAAGGCGTAATACCAAATAAGATTGAATTGTAGAATGGAAAGATGGCTAACATAAGGTTATCTATTATATGTAATTATATTTAATTCACCATATTAATAGATCAAAGTAGAAAATCATACAGTAATCATGATGCATCCCCAAAAAGGCACTTGATTGAATTTAATACCCATTTCTCAATAATGTTCTTAAGAAAGGAGTAGATACACTTTTTCATGATTTTATATATGAAAACCTGTTGTATCCCCACAAAGGTGTTAGAAGAATAATTTTTCATGGTTGTATATATGAAAACCTGTTGTATCCCCACAAAGTGCTAGAACAGATACATTTTTCATGCTTTTATATATGAAAACCTTTTGTATCCCCACAAAGTGTTAGAAGAATAGATACATTTTTTTCATGATTTTATATATGAAAGCCTGTTATATCCCCCAAAATGTTAAAAGAATAGATACATTTTTTCACAGTTTTATATATGAAAACATGTTGTATCCAGGACTGTATGTATGCCCATATGAATCATGAATTAAGGAAATTAGCAGGGCACAGAATTAACATAAGTAGGTAGTTTAAACGTATAAAATACTAAAGGTAAAAATCAATATAAAAATACGAAACCACTGTGAAGAAATACAAAAGAAGTAACTAGAAAAAGAGATGTAGCTTATTCTTACACTGACTCTAGATTACAAACATTCCTACATTAATCTGTAAATTTAATGTAATTCTTACAAAAATATTAATTGAGTTTTTCTTAGAATGGGCAAGTTGATTCTAAAATACAAATGAAAAATTAAACAGCAAAGGATGGCCAAGAATATCCTGAAAATATGAATGGGAAAGGCAGTGAGTCTTGTCACATATGAAAAACTATAATTCTCAAGCAACTGTCATTAGAATCATGTGGCATTACCTCATTTGCAAACAGAGTGATCAATGAGAGACAGGAGAGGTTGGAAAGTATCCCCACCAACTCCTGGACATACAGGAAGTTAGTGCATGATGTAAACTGCATTTCAAATCAGTGGAGAAAACATAAGATTACCTCATTTTGGGGAAAATACTGGATAGAGAAGCATCTCTTCCTCACTTCCTATACAAAAAGTGCATCCCTGGAAACCCAAATATTTTCATGTAATAAAGAAAAAAAATTCCCACAAAAGTGTTAGAAGACTATGAGTGTTCTTTTTTTCAATAAAGAAAAAAAATATGGACAGAGTATGTTCTAGTATGTTTGAGTATGGACAAAGCATTTCTAAATATTACACAAAGACCAGAAACCACTCATTTTACCACACAAAAATAATAAATACTAGAGTAAAAAATAAAATGCCACTTAAAGATTCAAAAGGCTAAGGATAAAGTGGAAAAGCATATTTGCTGTCTACTTCACTAAGGGCATTATCTTTCACATGTAAAGGGTTCCTATAGCCCAATAAGAAATGGACTGATAACACATAAAAATGAAAAAAGTGCAGTTCAGATGGTTTCTGGTAATGGATTCTCAACACACAGACCCTCAACCTCACTCAAGATATGAGAAATGCAACGTTAACAGAGTTGATTTGATTCCATTTTTCAAATGAGAGATTGGCAGTGACCAGAAAGTTTGGAGGGCTCCTAGGAAAGAGATCTGAAGCATCCTTCCAATCCTGTGAATTTGTACAATGTGTAGGGGGAGTGATTTGACAGTCTCCATAAGCAATTAAACATGCAACACTTTTTTACCTAAGAAAGCTACCTTTAGACATTTATTACAACAAATTCATTTACATAAGCTCACAATCATGTACTTCCTAAGATGTTCATGGCAGCATTTCCCCAACAGTAAAGACTTGACCACAGCTTAAGTGGGTTGGTTAAGTACATTGTGGTCCAGGTAGCAATGAATCCTCTGCCTTCTTTAAAAGAACAAATGAGTCAAGGGGCTTTTTCTTTACTGACACTGCCAGCATGTACTGAAGCTTAGTAAGCACATGCAGAATAAATCACATAAAAAGTCTCTCTTCCTTAAGACGTTAGGGATTGGCTCTGATACCAACAACTACCATACTATTTCAAATACTATTATTTTAAAAATTTATAAAGTATTTTATCCTATGTTCTATTACCCCTTAAATAACTTCTTTTTTTCTTGAGACAGACTTTTGCTCTGTCACTCAGACTGTAGTGTAGTGGGGCAATCTTGGCTCACTGCAACCTCTGCCTCCCAGGTTCAAGCAATTCTGCCTCAGCTTCCCAAGTAGCTGGGACTACAGGGGCACACCAGCACCCCTGTCTAATTTTTGTATTTTTATTAGAGGTGGGTTTCACCAAATATTGTTCCATGTGTTTAGAAGCATGGTCGATGTTATTCTTTTTTTGAAGTAGAAGTAGATATGTAATGATAGAGGTAGACATTCTGAACTCTGTTGAAAGGAAAGCCTTCAGGCCACAGGAGATTTGGTTGATGGGAGGAGAGAGAAAAGGCCTCATGACATTTGCTAGCTGGTTTCACTGAGTAGTTGCTTAAAGGACTCTTGGGAAGAGGGATTAAACTTTTGCTCTGAAGGATCCACAGAAGCGACTGTGTAGAATCCCTATTTTGTGTTCTGCAGAACTACTTTCCTTTAAATGAGTGGTGCAGACAAAATGATAATGTGGTTTAGATATAATTTTAATTAATACATAAAATTGGACATAAAGCAAACGAGTTTATTTACATACTTTTATGTTCACACAGACTTTCTTTTTTTCTCTCTCTCTTTTTTTCTTATACTTTAAGTTCTACGGTACATGGGCACAATGTGCAGGTTTGTTACATATGTATACATGTGCCATGTTGGTGTGCTGCACCCATTAACTCATCATCTACAATAGGTATATCTCCTAATGCTTTCCCTCCCCCCTCCCCCCTCCCCCCACCCCATGACAGGCCCTGGTGTGTGATGTTCCCTGCCCTATGTCTAGGTGTTCTCATTGTTCAATTCCCACCTATGAGTGAGAACATGCGGTGTTTGGTTTTTCATTCTTGTGATAGTTTGCTGAGAATGATGGTTTCCAGCTTCATTCATGTCCCTTCAAAGAACATGAACTCATCATTTTTTATGGCTACATAGTATTCCATGGTGTATATGTGCCACATTTTCTTAATCCAGTCTATCACTGATGGACATTTGGGTTGGTTCCAAGTCTTTGCCATTGTGAATAATGCCGCAATAAACATATGTGTGCATGTGTCTTTATAGTAGCATGATTTATAATCCTTTGGGTATATACCCAGTAATGGGATGGCTGGGTCAAATGGTATTTCTAGTTCTAGATCGTTGAGGAACCACCACACTGTGTTCCACAATGGTTGAACTAGTTTACAGTCCCACCAACAGTGTAAAAGTGTTCCTATTTCTCCACATCCTCTCCAGGACCTGTTGTTTCCTGACTTTTTAATGATCGCCATTCTAACTGGTGTGAGATGGTATCTCATTGTGGTTTTGATTTACATTTCTCTGATGGGTAGTGATGATGAGCATTTTTTCATGTGTCTGTTAGCCATAAACGACACTTCTTTTGAGAAGTGTCTGGTCATATCCTTCACCCACTTTTTGATGGGGTTATTTTTTTCTTGTAAATTTGTTTGAGTTCTTTGTAGATTCTGGATATTAGCCCTTCGTCAGATGAGTAGATTGCAAAAATTTTCTCCCATTCTGTAGGTTGCCTATTCACTCTGATGATAGTTTCTTTTGCTGTGCAGAAGCTCTTTACTTTAATCAGATCCCATTTGTCAATTTTGGCTTTTGTTGCCATTGCTTTTGGTGTTTTAGACATGAAGTCCTTGCCCATGTGTATGTCCTGAATGATATTGCCTAGGTTTTCTTCTTGAGTTTTTATGGTTTTAGGTTTAACATTTAAGTCTTTAATCCATCTTGAATTAATTTTTGTATAAGGTGTAAGGAAGGTATCCAGTTTTCAGCTTTCTACGTATGGCTAGCCTGTATTCCCAGGACCATTTATGAAATAGCGAATCCTTTCCTCATTTCTTGTTTTTGTCAGGTTTGTCAAAGATCAGATAGTTATAGATGTGTGGTATTATTTCTGAGGGCTCTGTTCTGTTCCATTGGTCTATATCTCTGTTTTGGTACCAGTACCATGCTGTTTTGGTTACTGTAGCCTTGTAGTATAGCTTGAAGTCAGGTAGCATGATGCCTCCAGCTTTGTTCTTTTGTCTTAGGATGGTCTTGGCCATGCGGGCTCTTTTTTGGTTCCATATAAACTTTAAAGTAGTTTTTTCCAATTCGCTGAAGAAAGTCATTGGTAGCTTGATGGGGATGGCCTTGAATCTATAAATTACCTTGGGCAGTATGGCCATTTTCATGATATTGATTCTTTCTACCCATGAGCATGGAATGTTCTTCCATTTGTTTGTATCCTCTTTTATTTCGTTGAGCAGTGGTTTGTAGTTTTCCTTGAAGAGGTCCTTCACATCTCTTGTAAGTTGGATTCCTAGGTATTTTATTCTCTTTGAAGTAATTGTGAATGGGAGTTCATTCATGATTTGGCTCTCTGTTTGTCTGTTGTTGGTGTATAACAATGTTTATGATTTTTGCACATTGATTTTGTATCCTGAGACTTTGCTGAAATTGCTTATCAGCTTAAGGAGATTTTGGGCTGAGATGATGGCGTTTTCTAAATATACAATTATGTCATCTGCAAACAGGGACAATTTGACTTCCTCTTTTCCTAATTGAATACCCTTTATTTCTTTCTCCTGCCTGATTGCCCTGGCCAGAACTTCCAACACTATGTTGAATAGGAGTGGTAAGAGAGGGCATCCCTGTCTTGTGCCAGTTTTCAAAGGGAATGCTTACAGTTTTTGCCCATTCAGTATGATATTGGCTGTGGGTTTGTCATAAATAGCTCTTATTATTTTGAGATACATCCCATCAATACCTAATTTTTGAGAGTTTTTTTAGCATTAAGGGCTGTTGAATTTTGTTGAAGGCCTTTTCTGCATCTATCGAGATAATCATGTGGTTTTTGTCTTTGGTTCTATTTATATGCTGGATTACATTTATTGATTTGCATATGTTAAACCAGCCTTGCATGCCAGGGATGAAGCCCACTTGATCATGGTGGATAAGCTTTTTGATGTGCTGCTGGATTCGCTTTGCCAATATTTTATTGAGGATTTTTGCATCGATGTTTATCAGGGATATTCGTCTAAAATTCTCTTTTGTGTGTCTCTGCCAGGCTTTGGTATCAGGATGATGCTGGCCTCATAAAATGAGTTAGGGAAGATTCCCTCTTTTTCTATTCATTGGAATAATTTCAGAAGGAATGGTACCAGCTCCTCTTTGCACCTCTGGTAGAATTTGGCTGTGAACCGGTCTTGTCCTGGACTTCTTTTAGTTGGTAGGCTATTAATTATTGCCTCAATTTCAGAGCCTGTTATTGGTGTATTCAGAGATTCAACTTCTTCCTGGTTTAGTCTTGGGAGGGTGTATGTGTCCAGGAATTTATCCATTTCTTCTAGATTTTCTAGTTTATTTGCATAGAGGTGTTTATAGTATTCTCTGATGGCAGTTTTCACTTCTGTGGGATCAGTGGTGATATCACTTTTATCATTTTTTATTGCATCTGTTTGATTCTTCCCTCTTCTTTGTGAGTCTTGATAGAGGTCTATCAATTTTGTTGATCTTTTCAAAAAACAAGCTCCTGGATTCATTGATTTTTTGAAGGGTTTTTTGTGTCTCTATCTCTTTCAATTCTTCTCTGACCTTAGTTATTTCTGGCCTTCTGCTAGTTTTTGAATGTGTTTGCTCTTGCTTCTCTAGTTCTTTTAATTGTGATGTTAGCATGTGGATTTTAGATCTTTCCTGCTTTCTCTTGTGGGCATTTAGTGCTATAAATTTCCCCTCTACACACTGCTTTAAATGTGTCCCAGAGATTCTGGTACATTGTGTCTTTGTTCTCATTGGTTTCAAAGAATATCTTCTGCCTCCATTTTGTTATGTACCCAGTAGTCATTCAGGAGCAGGTTGTTCAGTTTCCATGTAGTTGAGCGGTTTTGAGTGAGTTTCTTAATCCTGAGTTCTAGTTTGATTGCACTGTGGTCTGAGAGACAGTTTGTTATAATTTCTGTTCTTTTACATTTGCTGAGGAGTGCTTTACTTCCAACTATGTGGTCAATTTTGGAATAAATGTGATGTAGTGCTGAGAAGAATGTATATTCTGTTGATTTGGGGTGGAGAGTTCTGTAGATGTCTATTAGGTCTGCTTGGTGCAGAGCTGAGTTCAATTCCTGGATATTCTTGTTGACTTTCTGTCTCATGGATCTGTCTAATGTTGACAGTGGGGTGTTAAAGTCTCCCATTATTATTGTGTGGGAGTCTAAGTCTCTTTGTAGATCTCTAAGGACCTGCTTTATGAATCTTGGTGCTCCTGTATTGGGTGCATATATATTTCAGATAACTAGTTCTTCTTGTTGAATTGGTCCCTTTACCATTATGTAGTGGCCTTCTTTGTCTCTTTTAATCCCTGTTGGTTTAAAGTCTGTTTTATGAAAGGCGAGGATTACAACCCCTACCTTTTTTTGTTTTCCATTTGCTTGGTAGATCTTCCTCCATCCCTTTATTTTGAGACTATGTGTGTCTCTGCATGTGAGATGGGTTTCGTGAACACAGCACTCTGATGGGTCTTGACTCTTTATCCAATTTGCCAGTCTGTGTCTTTTAATTGGAGCATTTAGCCCATTTACATTTAAGGTTAATATTGTTATGTGTGAATTTGATCCTGTCATTATGATGTTAGCTCATTATTTTTCTCATTAGTTGATGCAGTTTCTTCATAGCATCAATGGTCTTTGCAATTTGGCATGTTTTTGCAGTGGCTGTTACCAGTTGTTTCTTTCCATGTTTAGCGCTTCCTTCAGGAGCTGTTGTAAGTCAGGCATGGTGGTGACAAAATCTCTCAGCATTTGCTTGTCTGTAAAGTATTTTATTTCTCCTTCACTTATGAAGCTTAGTTTGGCTGGATTTTAAATTCTGGGTTGAAAATTCTTTTCTTTAAGAATGACGAATATTGGCCCCCACTCTCTTCTAGCTTGTAGAGTTTCTGCTGAGAGATCAGCTGTTAGTCTGAAGGGCTTCCCTTTGTGGGTAACCCTACCTTTCTCTCTGGCTGCCCTTAACATTTTTTCCTTCATTTCAACTTTGGTAAACCTGACAGTTGTGTGTCTGAGAGTTGCTCTTCTCGAGGAGTATCTTTGTGGCGTTCTCTGTATTTCCTGAATCTGAATGTGGGCCTGCCTTGCTAGATTGGGGAAGTTCTCCTGGATAATATCCTGCAGAGTGTTTTCCAACTTGGTTCCATTCTCCCCATCACTTTCACGTACACCAATCAGACATAGATTTGGTCTTTTCACATAGTCCCATATTTCTTGGAGGTTTTGTTCATTTCTTTTTACTCTTTTTTCTCCAAACTTCTCTTTTGCTTCATTTCATTCATTTGATCTTCAATCACTGATAACCCTTTCTTCCAGTTGATCAAATTGGCTACTGAAGCTTGTGCGTTCATCACGTAGTTCTCGTGCCATGGTTTTCAGCTGCATCGGTTCCTTTAAGGACTTCTGTACACTGGTTATTCTACTTGGCCAATCGCCTAATCTTTTTCAAGGTTTTTAGCTTCTTTGCGTTGTGTTCAAAGTTCCTCCTTTAGCTCAGAGTAGTTTAATCATCTGAAGCCTTCTTCTCTCAAGTCGCCAAAGTCATTCTCCATCCAGCTTTGTTCCATTGCTGGCAAGGAGCTGTGTTCCATTGCTGGCAAGGAGCTGTGTTCCATTGCTGGCAAGGAGCTGCGTTCCTTTGGAGGGGGAGAGGTGCTCTGATTTTTAGAATTTTCAGCTTTTCTGCTCTATTTTTTCCCCATGTTTGTGGTTTTATCTACCTTTGGTCTTTGATGATGGTGATGTGCAGATGGGGTTTTGGTGTGGATGTCCTTTCTGTTTGTTAGTTTTCCTTCTAACAGTCGGGACCCTCAACTGCAGGTCTGTTGGAGTATGCTGGAGGCCCACTCCAGACCCTGTTTGCCTGGTTATCAGCAGCGGAGGCTGCAGAACAGCAAATATTGCTGAACAGCAAATGTTCCTGCCTGATCGTTCCTCTGGAAGCTTCGTCTCAGAGGGGTACCTGGCCATGTGAGATGTCGGTCTACCCCTACTGGGCGGTGCCTCCCAGTTAGACTACTCGGGGGTCAGGGACCCACTTGATGAGGCAGTCTGTCTGTACTCAGATCTCAAACTCCAAGCTGGGAGAACCACTACTCTCTTCGAAGTTCAGTCAGAAATGCAGAAATCACCTGTCTTCTGTGTCACTCATGCTGGGAGCTGTAGAGTGTAACTGTTCCTATTTGGCCATCTTGGAACCAAGAATTCCACACACACTTCCAATAACTGTGTTAGGAAAAAACTCACAAGCTGTTTTTTGTCTGCCCTCACACAACAATCAACACAGAAGACTTCCGTGACCAAATCTGTGCATGGTGAGACCTTCTAAAACTACAGCTATCTACTGTTTGTTTTGTTTTATTTGTTTGTTTGTTTGTTTGTTTGTTTGTTTTGAGACAGAGTCTTGCTCTGTCACCCAGGCTGAAGTGCAGTGGTGCGATCTTGGCTCACTGCAAGCTCCGCCTCTCAGGTTCACGCCATTCTCCTGCCTCAGCCTCCCGAGTAGCTGGGAATACAGGAACCCACCACCATGCCTGGCTAATTTTTTGTATTTTTCATAGAGATGGGGTTTTACCATGTTAGCCAGGATGGTCTTGATCTCCTGACCTCATGATCCACCCACCACAGCCTCCCAAAGTACTGGGATTACAGGTGTGGACCACCATGCCCAGCCAACTACAGCTACCTTTTTAGGTGGTTATCCTTATTGCAAAAGCAGCAACAGATACTTTCAAAATTGATCTTCTTAAAGCCAGAACATGTATACTCCTCTATGTAAATTTAAATCTCTCTAAATCTCCCTTCTCTTTCTCCATTCCTAGGCAACCACTAATCTGCCTTCTGTCTCTATGGATTAGGTAGCATTTTCTAGCATTTTAAGTAGAGTTCCAGGATGGAGTGTGTACCTTTATAAGTGGCTAGCTCATGAAAAGAACACTGCAGGTAGTTCACAGATTGAGACACCAACATATTCCTATTCTATATTGCTCCAATTAAAAGCATGACCAGATGGTAAACTAGCTTGCCCAAGCCTTGTTTGACTTGTTGCAATTGCCTGCCCCCATCTGCAAAAATGTGGTGAGTTATAGAGGTACATACATCTCAGTGTAAGGTGCAGATATCTATGGTTTTTTTGTTTGTTTGTTTGAGACAGTTCTTGCTTTGTTTCTCAGGCTGGAGTGGAGCAGTACAAACAATCATAGCTTACTGGAGCCTCTAACTTAGGCTCAAGCAATCCTCTGAAAGTGTTGGGATTACCAGCATGAGCTATTGCACCTGGCCTCTCCATGGTTTTTTATTTTAGTTTTTAGTCCCTGTCACCCAGGCTGGAGTGTCGTGGTATGATCTTGGCTCATTGTAACCTCTGCCTCCCAGGTCCAATCGATTCTTCTGCCTCAGCCTCCCAAGTAGTTTATTTTTCCCACCACCACAATCAGCTAATTTTTGTAGTAGAGACAGGGTTTTGCCATGTTGGCCAGCCTGGTGTTGAAATCCTGACCTCGGTGATTCACCCACCTCAGCCTCCTAAATTCTCTACATGGTTTTTTAAACATCACTTGAACGGTGGTTCATATATAAACTCTCCTCCCTGTAGTGGCAGCTGCTATGTGTCTTATTTTGTAGGCTCATTTTATCTTTGCATGTGTGGGGACCAGGCAGCCAGGATAGGGTTGTGATGGACCACTTTCACAAAGCAGTGGTATCTTGTTTCACAGGCATGGGCAGCACAGACTTTGTGGTCCTTGAGAATCTGCTGCTGGGAAAGCAATGCAGAAGGAGACAGGCAGGTAGCTATATCCCCAGACAAATGAGAGCCAGTGCTTCCTCTTGCCCAGGGCACGGAAAGTTCAGGGCAGACATGTGCCCTTTTATTGTGTGTATGTGTGTGTGTGAGAGTGTGTGTGTGTGTGTGTGTGTATCCAGTTTTCATCTGTACTGTTTTCCTAGGTCCCAGGTCCACTGCAGAAGAGTCCTGGACAGGTCTTGAATGGATCCAGGCTCTGAGATTTTCACAGAGGCTCACAGGCTATTTTGACTGGCAGAAAAGCAGTTCTACCACTTACTGCCTTAAGCACATGTGCTTAGGAAGGTTAAGGCTGGAAACCTGGTGGCCTATTGGCATTTTCCTCATAACTTAGCCCAGCTGGGTCAGTGCAAAAGGGAGGTCAGCCTGATGCCCTCGAGCTGCACTGGAGGAGAGGGAGCAGCGTGGTGAAGGACGGAGAAAGGGATGGCAGGTTCTAGCTTAGCTGAGCTTGTCCTACCACTCAGTGCTACGGTTGATGGCTGTTGTCTGTTGTCGTGGTCTGTTGCTATTCTCTCTCTGGCATCTGTATTAACAACTCTGGGGACACAGTAATCTATTTTTCCTACTTCATAGGCAAATTGCCAAAAGTTCAGCCTCTAAAAAACACCTATAATTTCAAACACCCTGAGGAAAATTTCTTTTAAATATCATATCATAAATCATTTTCTAAAGCTTTACAATTACCCTTTTGATCTTTTCCCAAATTTACATTATTAGTTTTGTTTACAACAAAGTCTGCCTGCTGCCTTGTCATTGACCCCACTCTGGGGAGTTTCTCTTGAACCGATCAAGTGTTGCAAGTCATTTTGTGGGGGCCAAATCCTGGATAGGGTCAATTCAGTTCATTTCCTGCCACTTTGCTGGCAGTGCTAAACCCTCTTGTGAATCTAATTACATCTGCTAAGCTTGCATTCAAGAGCAGCTTAGAAGCAGAGGGGAGGGTTTTCTGCAGCAGGCTGTAAGGGTTTGTAAGACTGTGTAGTGTGGTCCTACCTTTGAAGAGAAGAGTCTGCACATTGAGGGACAGCATTCGTCTTGCTAGGAGCAAGTTTCTTACAACATGCACACCCTCTTGGCCATTGCTAAGGTGCCCTGACTGCTGCTCCAAGCCCACATTGTGCTGTGCCCCCCTCTGCTGCTGGCTCCTTGGAGCTGTCCTGGAGCAGGTGGCCCTGTGGCCCCAAGATTGATTAGCACAGATGTTCCAGCAGCTGCTACTTGAAACTCTGGCAGCCAGTAACGGGCCTGCCTAATATGTCAGCAGGTTTACATCCCCACCCCATCTTTCCCAGCCCTCCCTACTCCCTCCAAAGCTACTCCTGGGGCAGAAACTGTGTATGTTTAGATGGAGAGTATGCTCCTTAGTGGGGACACTGGAGGATGTCTGGTGAAACTCGTGCCTTGAAGGCTGTCTGATATCATTGATATCATTTGTCTGTGATTCAGGAGTGGGTATTTTGTTTCTTCTTTTTTTTTTTTTTTTTTCAGATGCACTCTCACTCTGTCACCCAGGCTGGAGTGCAGTGACGTGATCTTGATCTTGCCTCACTACAGCCTCCACTTCCCAGGTTCAAACAATTCTCTTGCCTCAGCCACCCAAGTAGCTGAGACTATAGGCATGCACCACCATGCCTGATTAATTTTTTGTGGTTTTGGTAGAGATGAGGTTTCACCATGTTGGCCAGGCTGGTCTTGAGCTTCTGACCTCAGGTGATCCGCCCACCTCAGTGTCCCAAACTACTGGGATAACAGGTGTGAGCCACCACACCTGGTCCAGTATTTATGTTCTATGAGCATTTGGGGGCTTATGGCTGTTTGCTACTGTGCTTATTTTCTTGTTAAAACAAAAGAGACCATGCTTTTTTGGCTTATTTTCCATTATTGTTTTTATTTAATTTATTTTATTATGAATGCAGGAAGGGAAGGAGAAAGGGAGGGAGGATACAAGGAAGGAAGAACAGGATCTCACTCTGTTACCCAGGCTGGAGTGTGGTGGCTATTGATAGGCATGATCATACCTCATTACAGCCTCAAACTCCTGGGCTCAAGCAGTGCTCTTGCCTCAGCCTCCTGAATAGCTGGGACCACAGGTACATTCCACCATGCCCAGCTTATTGTTTTTATTAAGTAAAATGAGGAGAAAAAAGAAAACCACATAGATCAGAATTGTTTTATTTCAGGGAAAATTGTTAATACTTCTATTTGGGTTTTGCCTTAATGTGTGGCTTAAGTAATTTAACCAGATGAATCTCTAAATACTTGCGGCATTTCATATTGTAAGTCAAGTAGAGAATGGTAAATAGTTAAGATTTTGCTTTTCATGTCTCCCCTTATTAGTTATCATAAAAGAACTAGAGCTTTATAAGGCATATAATGCATGCTAATAATAACCAAGACATAAAAGTGATGTCTTTAAGATTTAGTTTGGAAGCATTGGTGGTTTCTCATATAGTAAGACTTATGGAGAATGTTTAGCTTATTTCTTGGTTATTTGGGATATCTATAGTACCTGTGAATGTTGTGCAGTGGGATCCACACTATACAGGTTAAGTTTATTTTGAGGTTTGAGGAATTGAGAGGTTAGTAATAGCATTTGCAAAGAAGCTTAAATGACTTATTTTTGTGTGTATTCTGCAAATGGAGTAGACTTAGGAAAAGAGATTTACCCAAACTGGTCGAATTCCTAGTTTACTAATGGATTGGAAGAAGAGTGTTCTGGTGAGATTTTAAGAGCAGACCCTGGAAATGTCCTATCTTGAGACTTGAGGGCACAGGGATCTGGGGACAGGTCTTGATGTCTGTTGTCTGGAAGGTGGTGTCCTGTAAGAGGCAACAGACACCAAGGGCCCCTGGGCCGATATGCCGAGTTCTTAATGAGCTTGGCAGGGCAGGAGGCCTGCATATGGCTTCTGTCCAGTGTGCTACTCACCCTTGCAGTTACCTCTAAGGTACAGGTAGATCAGCCCTTTCCAGGTAGAGAAGCCTCCAGAGGCTCTCTTTGCCCACATGGAACACAATGAGCAGGTCCGCTTTCTGTCCATCCCATCCTTGGCTTTGGCAGCACTGGCACACTGTGATATTCTGCTCTGTACTGGCCACTTTGTTCAGATGGAAACAAACATGCTTTCAAAGTGTTGCCAAGGTGCAGGGAGAGGTGATGTTGGCTGAGCCATGAGTGGTGGCTGCCCAGTAGCTTATAAAGCTGGAGAAAATGTTGCCTCTTGAAACTTTTACCTCACGCCCAGCTACCATGAACACCCCTGGGTTCTAAGGTAGGTGAGTCTTTGGGGGAAGAAATGAAGTTCCCAATACAGCCTTGGCTATTTCTGCAAAGTGAGGGGCATACTTTATCTGTAAAAAAGCCTGATTTTGTTTTGTTTTAGCATCACTCGCTAATTTATTCACACAAAGAAAGTGCTCCATAATGAAAACAACTTCATCCTATGTCTCCGTCCCAAACAGACACACTCACCTCCCACCTGTCCCCAACTGCAAAGATGTGTCTTGGCTATCTCAAGGTACTTTTAGAACCAAATCCTCATAAAAACAATTTGGAATAGTTGCCTGATAACATGGTTTTATTGCTGAAGAAAGCTTGTTTGTGGCAGTTAGAGTCCAAAGGCCTTTTGAATTGAATGAAGTGGCATGTTTAAGTAGAGTGCTGAGAAGGATTTGCTGAGCGGTAATCATGACAGCATTGATGGGGATATGAAATGGGCTGATCAAATAACTGGGGCAGTTCTGCCATCCAGACTATGTTTCTGTGGGGTAGCCAGCATCATGCACAGGGCAGGTGCCAAGAGTTCTCTCCACCATGGAGGGTGTTTTGCCATTTTCTCTGCTGGTGGTGGGTGTGCTTGCCTTTAATAATATGGAAAGCAAGATCATTGGTCTGTAGCTTCTAGTAAATAACAAAAAAGAGGAAGGAACCAGATCTTTCTTCAGTGATTTCACTACTTTGATTTGCTAACTATGACATGATCATTTATTAAATCTAAAGACACAAAGAAAATTTCTCTGGCTCAATGCTCTTGCAAAGAAAAGGATGCCTCTCACCCTCTTGGTGAGTTGATAAGTGATCAAATAAGGAAAGATTTTTATCAGCCACTTGGCGTATATTGATGAACACATGTGAGTGGATGGCTGGCTTACCATAGTGACCACACATGTGTGGTGGTATTTAATAGTTCTCTGAATGTGTACAGATCTGTAGAAAGTTTGCAGTAAAATCACAGGCTTCCTTTGGAGAAATGTTATTTAATCATTATAGCATTTCACTATTGCCACATTTAGTTAACCTACATTTAACCTACAGTGCCTACAACTTTACATTTAAAGGAATTCGTGGACCTTGTTGTTGTTTTTTTTTTCCTGATTTGCCACTCAGTTTCACCTCTTTTCATGATCATGGCTCAACGTTTCTTTGCTGTGCCATGACTCCAAAGTCTGTTTTACTGGTTACTTTCCCTAAACTTCATATCTCTTCTATATACCCTGTTCCTTGTTTTTGTTTTTATTTTTTTCTAGGAGGAATATTTTCTTAACTCTTCTAGTACCATGAGTAACCATGGGTCTTGGGAAGGGAATTTGAGGACAAATTGCATAAATATACAGTAAATTGCTATGGGCTTTCTGTAGTGAGCAGAATTCCAGAATGGGATAAAGGAGATTGTTTCACATGATCTTCTGCTGGGCAGAGAATTCCAGAAAGGGCTAGGATAGATTGTTTCTTTAAATCTCATTCCTTTCCCTTTACATATATTTATATAGCTAGAACCCATTATACACAGCATTTAGATGACAGTAGTTGGCAATCTCTAGTTGCCTTGTCTTTTTTGTTTTGTTTTGTGTTTGTGGTTTTTTTTTTTTTTTTTGGTGTGGCTTTTGCTATGTTTATACTGATATGTTGACTAAGTGAAACTTTTTGGCCTTTATTCTTATATCCCTGGTGTTCATTCTTAAGGCTATATAGAACTAGTCATATTAATGATTGTGCACTTGGATATGCTGAGTTTCTTTGCCAACAAATTCATTCTGTTGAAACATAGCCAAGAAGCTGTGTAGATGCCCTTCTTTTTTTTTTCTTTTTTCTTTTCTTTTTGAGAGGGAGTCTCACTCTGTCACTGAGACTGGAATGCCATGGCACGATCTCAGCTCACTGCAACTTTTCCTCCCAGGTTCAAGTAATTCTCCTGCCTCAGCCTCCTGAGTAGCTGGGATTATAGGTGCCCGCCACCGCACCCAGCTAATTTTTGTATTTTTAGTAGAGATGGAGTTTCACCATGTTGGCCTGGCTGGTCTTGAACTCCTGATCTCAGGTGATCTACCTGCCTCGGCCTCCCAAAGTGCTGGGATTATAGGCATGAGCCACCATGCCTGGTGGGATGCCCTTTTTAAAACCTCAGGCTGAATGAAATGATTATTTGACACTTGGGGTATGTTGAACTCAAATGGTTTGGATACCTGGAGAGAGATCTTTTTTTTTTCCTTTTCTTTCTAACAGTAATGGGTTTACCAAAGTGAAGATTACAGAGGTCAATAGGAAAAAATAAGTCATTGAGGTCTGCTCCACTCCTCTGTTTCATGCCACTCTGTTTGGCCTATGGATTCTGTGGCATTTCTCTGCAGTCTTTTCTGCTGTAGGACCCAGGTTGCACACCAGAGGCTGAGGACAGAGGTGGGGCACGCTCTTGCTAGGGGAGAGAGGGAGAAGCCTGGTGGGGCACAGAGCAGCTCTGGGGCTTTCACACCCATGAATGCTGCTGCTGGGCCCTGGTATTTGCTTACAGTAGAGCTCTGATATCTTGTCTCAGTCTCAGCTACATAAGTCATTAGGTAGTTTTTATCTTGCCCCAGTTCTCTTCAGGTATAAAAGCAGGAACTAGTTTCCTCTTACCTTCTATGACCTTATCAGCCATGCAGGCAGTGGCCTCACCATGCCTGGAAAAAGACACACTGTGTATAAATCTTCCCAGAGTGCCCTTGGGGGCCAACTTTTTTCTTATAAAAAATATACACATGCAAAATTGTGTGTGGCTCATGCCTGTAATCCCATCACTTTGGAAGCCCAGGCAGGCAAACCACATGAGGTCAGGAGTTTGAGCCCAGCCTGACCAACATGGCAAAACCCCATCTCTACTAAAAATACAAAAATTAGGGTGGCCCATGCCTGTAGTCCCAGCTACTTGGAAGGCTGAGGCAGGAGAATCACTTGAACCCAGGAAGTGAAGGTTGCATTGAGCTGAGATTGCAACAGTGCACTCCAGCTTGGGCAACAGAGCCCCTGTCTCAAAAAAAAACAAAAGAAAGAAAATACACCCACACAGAATTAACCATTTCTAGTTAACATATTGTATGCACTACAAATTGTATTGTACATTATGAATTTGTATTGTATACAAATATGAATGGCATATTTGTATACATTCATGTAATGTATGTGAGAAGCACTCCCGCCACATGGCTGTGATCATTCCTTTAGGTCCTGCCTCATGGGAGTTTGCAGGTGAGTGGGCTGAAGAGCTCTCACCAGTGTGGACTCAGAGAGGAAGGAAGGTTAGAAGCCAACCCAGGAAAATCTTTGCTGAGGACAGGCCAGCAGAGCTGGGTCATTCATGTTGTAGCATGTGTCAGAATTTCCTTTTTATTTCCTAGTAATATTTCATTTTGTGGATAGACCACATTTTGTCTGTGCATCCTTCCATCCGTGGAGCAGTATATGTTTTGATAAAATGGCTAGCTGTTAAAGTCCATATTAGATGTAAGCCAAATAACATTACAGAGTAAACATCTAATGTAAAAGAGCAAATCTGAAATAATAATATTATTACAATTTCATTTTAAAACATAATATCCGGATTTCAACAGAATGACATTTTGGTCCAGGAACAGAACTGTTTAGGACTCTCAGCTGCAAGAGGGCTTCTGTGGTCATTACCTTACTTGTTCCCAACACTTAATTAATTCTTCTTTTAGCCTGAGGCCAGTGGAAGGGTGAGATATGTTTTGGGTTTTTAGCTAACTGCTAGTATAGGTTAATGTTACTAACAAGCTGCTATCTCCTCTGATGTAACTGACCAAGCTAGAGAGCTAATTCCTGTTCATACTTGGATTTAAAGAATCAGTGCATGGGGACAATTCACTTTCTTTGAAACAGTTCTGCAAAATGAAGCTCTGTGTACATGGGAAGGAAGATGCTTCCAGGACATTTTCAGAAGCAGATTAAAGACATGCCTGTAATCTCAGCACTTTCAGTGGCCAAGGCAGGAGAGTTGCCTGAGGCCAGGAGTTTGAGACCAGCTTTTGTGACATATCAAGACCCCATCTCCACAAAAAATAAAAATAACTTTTTTTTTTTTGAGACGGAGTCTCACTCTGTCGCCAGGCTGGAGTGCTGTGACGTGATCTCAGCTCACTGCAACCTCCGACTCCCTGGTTCAAGGGATTCTCCTACCTCAGCCTCCTGAGTAGCTGGGATTACAGGCACGCACCTCCACGCACAGCTAATTTTTGTATTTTAGTAGAGACAGAATCTCACTATGTTAGCCAGGATGGTCTCGATCTCCTGACCTCGTAATCCGCCCGCCTCGGCCTCCCAAAGTGTTGAGATTACTGGTGTGAGCCACTGCACCCGGCCAAAATAATGTGTTTTAACGCACATTGAATATGGTTACTCTACAGAGCACCCTGGTGCCCCTAGTGGTGTAAAATAGAATTTCTAGTTGTAAAATTGAGCACAAAGCAGTTGGCTAACATGAAGGTACTTAGAAGCGTTCTGTCTATTCCGGGCTGGCTTTTGTTTTGTTTTGTTTTGTTTTGTTTTGTTTTTGAGACAGAGTCTCGCTCTATTGCCAGGTTGGAGTGCAGTGGCGTGATCTCAGTTTAGTGCAATCTCCATCTCCTGGGTTCATCTGCCTCAGCCTCCCAAATGGCTGGGATTACAGGTGCCCAGCTAATTTTTGTATTTTCAGTAGAGATGGGCTTTCACCATGTTGGCCAGGATGGTCTTGATCTCCTGACCTCATGATCTGCCCACCTCTGCCCCCCAAAGTGATAGAATTACAGGCGTAAGCCACCGTGCCTGGCCATATTAAAAATATGATTAGAAAATCTCACTAGAGTGGTTATCTGCACATTATGGAAGGGTGGTAGGGAAAGATGTGGTGCAAGTGGATAGCAGTGTTCCTGCCATGCAGAAGAGATTGACTTACTGTATCTCTAAGGCAATGCTCCAGCTGCAAGGTTACAGATGGCTCTTATCTGTGCTACCCAGTGCAGTAGCCACTGTCCACATGGCCACTGAGCACTTCCAATGTGGACAGAATGACCAAGGAACTGAACTTTGGATTTTGTCATTTAAATAACTCCATGTGCAGCTGTGGCTGCTGGATGGCACAGCCAATCCCTGAGAGACTGTCCTTATTCTACCTCATGACTTGTCAGTGGCCATACCCAGGACTGACATACATTCTATTTGGGACAAAGCTAGGAATGGAGGCAGGGCACAGCAGAGACTCAGTGTCAGGCCTCTGAGCCCAAGCCTGCACGTATACATCCAGATGGCCTGAAGCAAGTGAAGAATCACAAAAGAAGTGAAAATGGCCAGTACCTGCCTTAACTGATGACATTACCTTGTGAAATTCCTTCTCCTGGCTCAGAACCTCCCCCACTGAGCACCTTGTGACCCCCATCCCTGCCCACAAGAGAACAACCCCTTTTGACTGTAATTTTCCACTACCCACCCAAATCCTATAAAACAGCCCCACCCCTATCTCCCTTCACTGACTCTCTTTTCGGACTCAGCCCACGTGAACCCAGGTGATTAAAAAGCTTTATTGCTCACACAAAGCCTGTTTGGCGGTCTCTTCACAGAGACTCAAGTGACATTCAGTCTCTCCCTTCCCCCATGGCAGAGGCCTCTACAGGGCTGACTTCAGCAGCTACAGAGGCTCAGAAGCTTTGGGCTTTGGTTCTGGCTGCCAGCTGAGTTCCTCAGTCTTCTTCCATGTTCCCTTTGCAGGTGCCAAATATGCAAATGACTTCTTTCCCTCCTGTGTCTGACGCGTGGGCCAGGAGGCTGGACAACAGCTGGACCTGCCTGGTATCACTGTCTGTGTAGCATTTCTGTGTAGCTCACTTTGGCTTCCTCACACCATGGCATCACAGGGTCAGTGGATTCCTCATAATCTATCACATGTATATATTTTTTAAGAGACAGGGTCTTGTTCCATCACCCAGGCTGGAGTGCAGTAGTATGAACATGGCTCACTACAGCCTCAACCTCCTGGGCTCAAATCATCCTCCCACCTCAGCTTCCTTAGTAGTTGTGACCACCGGTGCACACCACCACGCCTGGCTTTTTGAATTTTGTGTAGAGAGAGGGGTCTCACCGTGCTGCTCAGGTCAATCTCAAACTCCTGACCTAAAGCAATCCTCCCACAGCAGCGTGGCCATTTACACACATACTTTGTGAGACAAAAATCTGTTCCTAATATTTTTATACATGCTTGCTAATGATGGTTTATCTGGGAGAACTTTTATTGTATCCATGGGGAACTGCTGTCCCACTAACCCAGCTGGTAGCCCAGTTTTTCCCACAGCAGGGTTGAACTAGCATCTTGAGTGTCAGATGTTTTCTCTTCCTAGCTTTTTCTTTTTCTCCCCTTTCCTCCAGTTTCAGTCAGTCTAGCTTATTTTCTTCATTAATTAACTGTAAAAGAAGATGAAAGAAGTTGTGGATATCATAGCACAGAGAAACCCAGCTGAAAATGAAATTAACATGGCTAGACCCTGCCTTAAAGGATTTTGAGAAATTCCATGAGGTATAGTCTGGGTTTTACAATTGCTTTCCTTCTGTGGTGTGATGAATTTGTCTTTTATACTTTCTCTTTGGCTCCTGTGAAAGTATCATAAAGTCAAAATGTTCCACATTTTGCCACCCATATACTTTTCCTCGTTAAAATGATCTGAGTCATCAAAAGTTTTGTGTTATAAATGCTTTTCAGTTTTCTTTTGTAAGATATTCTTTATTACATAATACTCTTCAATATTTTTGCCTGCTGGGAAAAATGTCTGATCTCCACAGAGTACTTAAAGAGGCCCCACATGAGCTCTTTCTCCATTCTTGATTGGGCTATCAGTGTCAGTACTGTCCCAAATTAGAGAAAAGTAAAGTTGGCTTCCCACCGTGAAGCTAGAGAAGTGAGCTCAGGAGGGTCTCCATGCAGCATTCCCCTGGAAGCCATATTTCATCACCAACATCCATTGGGATTTGCAAATGGACACACCTTATCACAGCTGGGCAGGTGTGGCCAAGATACTAAGAAGCCACACATAGGATGGTGCAGACTATGGCATGGAAGCCCAGGAAAGCTCCCCTGTCAGGAGTCCTGGCTAAAGGGACTCTAGCTTGTTAATGTAGGTCGTCATGACTCCCAGGGGGTATCCTTGGTTGATGAGACAGATACAGACTGAGTGGCTCAGGGGAAGTTGTGGCTACTAGTCTCAGTTAACCAGAAGGCAGCTGTCTTTATTTAGTTACCTAGGTAAACAGCCAGATACGCTGTGTGAACTCTGTGACCCAGCCTCCTGGGGTACCCATATGCATTTTCTCCAGCAAAAGATAGGAGATTCTGTTTGTGTTCATATTGGGGCAGGGAGAGGGCATGATTTGCTTGCTTTTTTATCTATTTGGAATAAAAGTTCTTTACGTATTTTTACATATGTAAGATTTTAAATGGACAACTAAGAGTGTCCATATTTTTGAAGAAATACGTTTTAAAGATAAGGATAGCTGAATATCTGGAGGCTGTCATTCGTGCTCTGCCTCAGGGCAAATGGGAGGCGAACAAAATTCTAAAAAGAAGGTATCTGGGCCCGGATTCAGTAGGCAGCTCTTGAATACAGTGCTGTAAACCCGCCTGAGTCCCTGTGACCCAGCGTCTGTCCCAGCGCCCGCACATTGTTCAGTCCCTGAGCACCCTGCACTGTTTGGCATAAGCAGGCATGCTGTATGCAGTCCGCGAGCCCACTGCACTGTTTGGTACAAGAGCACCCATCTTGTGCGGTCCCTGAGCCCCGGTGCACTGTTTGGCACGAGCTCTTGTGCGTGTGCAGTCCCTGAGCCTCCGTCCACTGTTTGACACGAGCGCGTGTGCCCTGTGCCATGCTTGAGCCGTCTGCACTATTTGGTATGGACATCCGCCCC
This sequence comes from Homo sapiens, assembly GCF_000001405.40. NCBI lineage: Eukaryota > Metazoa > Chordata > Mammalia > Primates > Hominidae > Homo > Homo sapiens. The sequence continues at coordinate 12,536,873 of NC_000024.10, forward strand.
GTGTGCAGCCTCTGAACCCCCTGCACAGTTTGGCAAAGAGCACCCACTGGGTGAGGTCCCTGAGCCTCCCGAGCACTGTTTGGCAAGACCGTGCAAGCCATGTGCAGTCCCTGAGCCTCCTGAACTGTTTGGCACGAGCGCGGGCGCCCACTGTGGTCCCAGAGTCCCCTGAGCCACCATGCACAATTTGGCACAGGGGGCTAGCCATGTGCAGTTCCTGTGCCTCCTGCAGTTTTGCACAAGCGCGCGCATTGTGTGCGGCCCCTAAGCCCCCTGAGATGTTTAGCACGAGCGCCCGTGCCGTTTGCGGTCCCCTGAGCCCCCTGCACTGTTTGGCACGAGCGCCCGTGCCGTGTGCGGCTCCCGAACCACCTGCACTGTTTGGCACGAGAGCGCGCGCCCTATGCGGTCCCTGAGCCTCCAGAACCACCGATCACTGTTTGGCACAAGCGTGCGCGCCGTGTGCAGTCCCTGAGCCTCGTGGACTGTTTGGCACAAGAGCACCCACTGGGTGCGGTCCCCGAGCTTCCGTGCACTGTTAGGCACGAGCGCGCAACCATGTGACCTCCGTGAGCCTCCTGCACGGTTTGGCACGAGCGCCCGTGTTGTGTGCGGTCCCCGATCCCCCTGCACTGTTTGAAAAGAGCACGCAAGCCATGTACAGTCCCTGACCCTCCTGCACAATTTGTCACGAGCGCGTGCACCGCCTGCGGTGCCTGAGCCTCGTCAGCCACCGTACTCTACTGGACAAGGGCGCTTTTGCCGTGTGCGGTCTCTGAGCCACCTAAGCCACTGTGCCCTGTTTGGCACAAGAGCCGTGTGCCGTCCCAGAGCGCCCTGCGCTGTTTGGCAGCAGTGCGCGCTGTGTGAAGTCTTTGAGCCCCCTGCGTTCTTTTCCAGGAGTGAGCTGGGCTGGAGTCCTCACTCCTGGCATGACACCAAGTTCACCAACAACCACCCTGAACTAACGGCCTCACGGTTCCCCTCCGCCAGCTGCTGCCCTTCCTGGCCTGGCTGTCACCACTGGAGGTAGACAACTGTTCCTGTCCGACGCCAGGTTTGTTCAGGCTTCTGCAGTCTCCCAAGTTTTCAGGCTTGTCCGACACTTCTTGACTGAAGAATGATAATGTTTTTGGTAAGACTGTGCCACTGACAGATGATCACAATTTGAGCGCTGTGAGTTTTTCATTGAACAGGCAAGCGTGTGACGCTGAGAAACAAAATGACATGGCAAGACAGGGCATGAGTGACAAGGAGATTGCAGGACGGGGCTGCCCAGCGAGATGCCAGGTATAGGGTTCTTAGCCAGTGGGGCAGGGTTCATTGCACCCCCGTGTCCGCAGCCACCATCCTCTTTTCCAGGATTTTACGGGTGGACTGGAATGCAGGAGATATTTGTGGGGCGGCGGGTGTATCCTGTAAAAGCTCCCAGGAGGTTCTGTTAAGTTTTGGCAGCCTCTCCTTGAACCTCAGGGCATTAGCGGCAGTATCCTCACTTGTCTCCTGTTAAAAGGGTGGCAGTAACAGCAGATAGTCTCGTTTTGGTGTGTGTATGTGGATATCCTCCTGCTTGTGTGAGTGTGCATATCTGTGTGTGTTTGTGGTTGTGTGTATGTATGTGGGGGGTTGGACATGTATGTTTTTACATGTTTGTGTGTATGTATTCATGTGTCTATATGTATATTTGTGTCTATGTGTGTGTGCATGTGTATCTCTGCTTGTATGTATGTGTGCACATATGTATCTGTATGTGAGTATATGAGTTTGAGCATGTTTGTGTGTGTGCAGGTATGTGTGTGAATTTAGAGCTAATGTAACCACTCAGTTTTGGCTGTTAGTAACTGGTCTTGGCTGGTCACAGTGGCTCTCGCCTGTAATCCCAACATTTTGTGAGGCTGAAGTGGGAAGATTGCTTAAGGCCACAGAGTTTGAGACCAGCCCGGGCAATACAGCAAGACCACATGTCTACTAAAAATTAAAAACAAAAAACAAAACAAAAAAAAACTTGGTTGGGCATGGTATCTCATGCTTATAATCCCAGCACTTTGGGAATCCAAGGCAGTCAGAACATTTGAGGTCAGGAATTTGAGTGCAGCCTGACCAGCATGGTGAAACATTGTCTCTACTAAAAATACAAAATAATTAGCTGAACTTGGTGGCACACACCTGTAGTCCCATCTACTTGGGAGGCTGAGGCAGGAGAATTGCTTGAACCCAGAAGTTGGAGGTTGCAGTGAGCTGAGATGGTGCCACTGCACTCCAGCCTGGGCAGCAGAGAGAGATTCTGTCTCAAAAACAACACCAACAACTCCCTTTTAGGTAGCCAGGTAGGATGCCAGGCAGCAGGGTTCTGATCCAGTATGGTAGTGTTTTGGTGCACACCTGTAATCCCAGCTACTCAGCATATTGAGGTAGTAGGATCACTTGAGCTCAGGCATTCAAGGCTGCAGTAAGTTGTGATTGTGCCACTGCATTCCAGCCTGGGTGACAAAGTGAGACCCTGTCTCTATAAAAAGAAAAAAAATACTGGTGTGTGAAATTGCAAGGTAAAGATTTATGTGGCATGAAGGAAATATATTGAAATACAACATTACCTACCTAAAGTGACAAAAGATGATGGTACTTCGAGCCAATTTTATTGTTGAAAACAACCAAAGATTCCCAACTGAGTTGTAAAACTTAAGTGAACAGTGGGCCTTTTATTTTATTCCTGAAGTGACTTTTAAGGTAAGGAGATCTCCATTAAGCCCATTTGGCAGTCTCTTGATGAAATAAACATGCACACTGCCCACATATCTGTGGAAACAGTGCTCAATGTTCTCTAGGTCTGCTTGGACTTGGTATTGCCTGGAAAAATCCCCTCTGGAATATTGGTGAGTAGTCAGGAGCATGCCCCATGTTTGAGGATATGTGGTCTGTTCTTATAGAAGATGGTGGGAAACCCAAACAGTCCTCTCCCTCCCGCGGATGACAGCCAGTCATTCTCTAGTGTTCTGTCCTGGTCACGCGGTTCTCTCATCCTCACTGTCCCCCAACCTAGTGGAGCCACAGCTTCTTCCCCTTGAAGGGTCAAAGTCTCAGCTTTGTTGAGCTTTAAAGAAAGCATTTTACATCCTGGATAAATAGTTTCACCATTGAGAACTCTCACACAATTATCACCTTTCAGAGGAATGTCTCAATGTCTCAGTCACTTTATTTCATCTTCTTACATGCCATCCTATTAAGGAGCCTGTTTCTTGGTGTTCACATATAGCTTCAATAACTTCACAGCGTGCAACTACTCAGCTGAAAGCTAAACACAGCAGTTTATGGTATTTCTGTAGATTGGTGGAAAAGTAATTGCAGTTTTTGCTATTACACCAACTTCCTTCTCCCCCTCCTCCTCCTCTTTCTTCTCCTATTGAGACAGAGTCTCAGTCTCCTGTCCAGGCTGGAGTGCAGTGGTGCAGTCTTGGCTCACTGTAGCATCATGTGATCCTCCCACCTCAGACTCCTGAGTAGCTGGGACTGTAAGAGTGTGCCACCACACCTTGCTAATTTTTGAAACATTTTTATAGAGACAGGGTCTTCCTACATTGCCCTAAATGCTTTGAAACTCCTGGCCTTGAGTGATCCTCCCACCTCAGCCTCTTAACGCACTGGAATTTTAACCCTGAGTGACCAAGCCTGGTCTATATAACAGGCTAGATAATACGTATTTTCACTTCACTTACGAACTGAAATTTGAATTTCAGATCATTTTTATAGGTTAAATAGGAGAAATAGTATACCTTTATTTCTTCCCCCCACCATTAAACATATAAAAACCATTCTTAGCTTTTGGGTTGTCATGTGCCCACCTCTGCACTTAACTATTGATTGACCATAGATGTGTAAATTCAGACTTTACCTGCCAGTAATCTGGGCATCAGGCTGATAATTTGCCCTACTATTGAAAGGCATCTGTTTGTAAAAAGACATGCTACCGGGAGGACACGTTCTTTTCAGCCTGCACTTTCTTTCTGCCTGTCTCTACTAAAATCTATGTGTGTTAAGCTGAAACCTCAGCCCCAGTGATTTGACCCTGAGAAGTTACTGTTTGGCATTTTGATATTTCCACAGAGGGCCAGCTGTGTACGCCACGTTGCTCTTTGCCAATTACTGACACTAAAGAACAACATGCCTTGTACTTCTTCTTGTTCTTGTAGTTCTTCCTCCCACAACCTATCCAGTTCCTGGGAGCATACAAATCTACAGTGTACCTTGGATCACTTCAGCTCCCTGGGGAGTCTCGACAGCCTGGACCCCTCTGGGCGCCTCTTGGTGGCCAAGTCCAACAGCAACATCGACCACCTGGGCAGCCACAGCAAGTGTGACTCTGCCTATGGCTCCTTCTCCACCAGCAGTAGCACTCCTGACCACACCTTGTCCAAGGCCGAAGCCTCCTCTGCAGAGAACATCCTCTACAGCCTGGGCCTCTGGGAGACTCCCAGGCAGGGCAGCCAGCAGGCACAGGCCACAGGGGCCCCCCAGGGCTTGGAGGAGAGGCCTGGGTGTTTCCTGCCTGTGGTTCTTGGTGACAGTGCCAGAGGCCCCAGGCCAGAGTACAATGCCGAGCCCAAGCTAGCTGTCCCTGGGATGTTCAATTTTGGGCCAATCTTGTATGTTCCTTATAAGGAGAAGGCACCAGCTTCCCCCTTCCTCCCGCTTCCCCTCTGCACAGTGACAGCTTTGCTGCCACCAAGAGCCTTGAGAAGGCCCAGGGCCCTGTGCTTGTAGAGGTGACCATAGCACAGCACGTTATGACCCCAGCCCAGCCTCAGCCCTGCAGCGACTGGAGACCAGAGCCCACCAATTAGCTGTGGAGGCCAGGGAACCGGGGAGCTTGGGGAAGGGAGCAGGAGGCACAGGCTGCCCACAGGAGGCTCATGCAGACTGCAGCTGGCCATCTACCAAGGACGGAGCTTCAAGTAGGCTGCAGGCCTCTCTATCCAGCTCACACATGCACTTCCCGCAGTCTCCCCATGGCAGCTGTCACCCTCTTACAGTGACTACAGCCCACTCTGTGCTGACAGCCTCGGGCAGGAGCCAGCAGCCGTTGGCTCCCAGGACAACAGCTCTCCTCACCTGAGCCAGAGCCCACAGCATCACCTACCTCAGCCCAAGGGTTCTCTGGATGCCTGTGAGACATGACAGTGTTACCCACTGGACACAGTCTGGGTTGTCCCACAGGAGCCCAGGAGCCTCCCAGGGCTAGCCATGCCGAAAAAGCCAGCCAACTGCCAGCAGCCGGCTTCACATGGGCAGACATGGAGAGCAGCAGGATCTCCCCTCAGGAGATACCCCTGTTGCACTCCCTGACCCAGGAGAGGAAGTGTTGGCCACAGAGCAGCCAGGAGGGCAGCTCCAAGAGGCCACCACCATTTGATGCCCAGGTGGACAAGCCCACTTGGAGAAGAGACCACTTTTCCACCACCTTACAGAATGAGATCCAGATGCATAGAGCCAAGCTGCAGAAGAACTGGAGAACAGTGGCTCTGACTACAGTAGGTGACACAGAGGATGCCACTGATCGCTGGAGGGCAGGGTTGGGAGGTGGCACCCAGGAAGGACCCATTGCTGCTCCTATAAAGACCACCTGAAGGAGACCCAAGCATGGGTCCTGAGGGCCACTTCAAGTGCTATGACTTGGACCCCAGCCCAGAAGACCCTTACCCAGAGTCACTGGAACACCAGACAAAAGATCTGGATGCTGCCCCCACTTCTAGGAGGCAGGCGTGGCCCAGCTGCCCTCATCTGCAGGTTGCGGGTGGTCCCACCCGTCCTGCATCAGAGCCTGAAGACAGTTCATGGCTGAGCAGAAACTGAAGTCCTACTCAAAACCTGAGATGAACATGGTGGGCCTCACAGAGGGCAGCTGTGGTCCTTACCAGTATCTCAGGACATCTGAGGATACCATGGCACGTTTGCCCACAGGTGCAAGTTTTTTGAGGAAGTGGGCAAACTCATTCCCCAGAGGCCTGCACAGAGGCAAGCTCTTCAGGGGGTCCTCAGAGACAAGCCGGAGAGGTCACGGACAGTGGACCGCACATGTGAGGGCATCGAACCCTGGTCGCACACTACCTCCCTTGTGGAAAGCCTCAACAGTCACAGCACAGCAGAGAAAGCAGGGATGTTGGACGTCTTGGCACCTTTGCAGAGTATCAGGCCTTCTGGAAGGAACAGAGGAAGCCTCTGGAGGCTAGGAGCTCTGGGCGCTGCCACTAGGCAGATGAGATCCTAGAAGTGGGCCTGGACCAGAAGGAGAGGCCACAACACATTCACAAGAGGTCCTGGTTGCCCTCCATACACCACTACAAGCTGGTAAGCCATGGAGCCAAGCGAGGGCATGACCCCCCTTTGACCATCATCTTAACACATGGACAGGACACACCCAGGATGCAATGGCTGAGGCCAGCGCTACTTAGCTCCAGCTGTTCAGGAGTTTACCTTTCCCATACCTCCTAGTGTCCACTGTGTCAGAGTTACTTGGGGACAAAATCAACATATTCAAGGTAATTTAAAATGCCAGGTTCTCAAAAACCCACTTTTTTCATTCCCGTTCTTGCTGCCATAATCTCTGGCTTTAACTGTCTTTCACCTTAAGTAGCCTGTTCCTACCTTCAGACTCAGCAAAGAACTTGGAGAGAAACTGTCGAAAATGATAACGAACCACCTTGACCTGGAAAAATGTGTGGTTTATTTAAAGGCTTAAAACAACATACAATAGTCACCAAACACTGATGATATTTAATGTCTATGGTATTTGGGTTTTTATACTATTCTGTTTTTTATCTGCAAATATTTTTAAGGATTGCTCTGGAACAAAATGTAGTCTTTTTTGAAAACACCTAAAACACATTAAGTTATTGCACATTTTTAAGGTGAGAGTTTTGATGGTCAGAGTTTACATCAAGCTTTCTAGAAAACTGTGTATTTCACAGCCCTGCTTCAAAGTTGACAGTCCCTTTCTCTCTTGCCCCTGCCCCTTTGAAAGCTTTTTCTCCCTATTACATCTGCACCTGTATATTTCAAAGAAAAAAAGTTCTGCAGTGATAGATACAGTTCCTTTTTAAAAGAATAAGAGGTGAGTGGGCTGGTGCATTTGCAGTCCTACCAGTTTGGATGGCCAGGAAAGGATGATCACTTGAGAACAGGAGTTCCAAACCAGTCTGGGCAACAAAGCAAGACCTTGTCTCTACAAAAAAGGAAAAAATACTTCGCCAGGTGTCACAGTGGTGCCCAGGAGGTATAGGTTTCAATGAACTGTGTTCTCAACACTATACTCCAGCCTGGGCAAAGGAGCAGTAAGTAGTACCCTCTCTCAACAAAAAAAAAAAAAAAAAAAAAAAAGAACCACTAATAAATTTAATAGAAGATATTTAATATGTGCATGGAAAGAAAGCTGCTGGTTTGCTCTGTGGTGTCCCGGCTCTGAAAATCCATGCAGATGGTGTGAGTGTGTGTTTTCAGCATTGGAATACCCTGGCTTGTGGGCTATTCAGCATTACCTCTGAGAATATCATGCTTGCTCTTTCAGGAGCAAAGAATCTGGGGCCCTGACATCCTAGAGCTTGAGGTTTCACCACTATAATTTGTGACCAGCTATATTTTATTTTATTTTATATTTTATATTCTATTTTATTTTAAATTTTTTATTTTGTTTTATTTATTTTATTTTATTTTAATTTCTTTTGGCCAGTTGTGCCACACGGTTTTACAGGCTTCACGTAGGAGTTCTGTTTCCTGCCCAGAACAGAAGTGGTTATGGGATCTTAGTTGTTTCAATGAAATGCTTTGTAGAGCTGCACTGGCAAGGTGAACGCACAAATGACGGCTTTCATAATCACAGCCAGCTGTGGACTTAGTGTCTCATTGTGTTACCCTTTGCAGGATGCTTCCGTCAAACTGCGAAGGCAGGCAGAGGACCCCGGCAAGCACATAGAAGAGCTTCCCTCTGCAGTCTGGGCCAAAGAGGAATAGTCCATGCCGACGTGGATGAAATTTGGATTCAGAGTTACTGAAGAAGTGTCTGGAGGTGGGCCTCAGTACGTATGGTGGGTGACATCTGGTTTTTGCCCAACATAAAGCAGCTGAAACCCGGCATGATTTCCAGCATCCCTGATGCCCTGGAGGTCTGGACAGAACCTGTGCATCCTGCAGCCCTGCCCAGAGACACATCCCTAGGGCAGGAAGGCCTTCTTATGCAGCAGTGACATTTTTGGTTCTTGAAATAGCTGCTGTGTTTTCTGCATAGTAAGACTGTTTTTGGAGACAGAATGAGAAATCCAGTTTACCACACTGGAGCTGGACACTTTTCACAGAATGCCTGGTGGAAGGTCAGCTTTAGCTGTCTAGCACACAGCTGTGTGCCTAGCCATGGCGTGGAAATCAGAGTTTTCTCTAAGGATAATCAGTCAGAAAGGAATAGGGCAGTCCTTCCTAAATTGGATCTAGTTAATGAGTTAATTTTGAGCTTTAAAATAGAAATCTAGTCAGTTGACTCCCAGAGAGGCTGCAAGCATCTGCAGGAACCATGGCAGGAGCAGCAGATTAGAGCATTTTGTGCCATAATTCCAGAACATGCCTTGTAGCTGCTTAGCTGAGGCAAGGACAGAGTTAGATAAAATATATAGTATAATCTGGGCCAGGCATGGTGGCTGACACCTATAATCCCTGCACTTTGGGAGGCTGAGGCAGATGGATCATTTGAGTCACTCGCTTGCTCAAGATCAGCCTGGGCAACATGGTGAGACCCTGTCTCTACTAAAAATAGAAAAAAAAAATTAGCCAGGTTTGGTGGCAAGCACCTGTAGTCCCAGCTACTCAGGAGGCTGAGGCATGAGAATCACTTGAACCTGGTAGGTGGAGGTTGCAGTGAGCTGGGACTGCGCCACTGCACTCCAGCCTGGACAAAAGAGTAAGACCCTGTCTAAAAAAAAAAAAAAATAGTATAATCTTGCCCTTCATTGTACAAGGAGGGAAGGAAGAGATAGTGTGTGTCTCTGGAGAAGATGTGGTGCAGTCTTGTTACGGGAATAATTGTGCATATGGATTTTTCTGTCGCTTTGAGAATCTTGTGTGATTGCCGTGACTTTCAGATTAAACACTGACCTCAAAACTCAAGGTTCTCTTGCAGAAATTGCAAATTAAAAAGTTTACTTTCAAGCACCTCATGTTACCGGGTTTTATTCATTTCGCTTTTTTTTTTTTTTTTGAGACGGAGTCTCACTGTTGCCCAGGCTGGAGTGCAGTGGTGGAGTCTTGGCTCACTGCAAGTTCTGCCTCCCGGGTTCGCGCCATTCTCCTGCCTCAGCCTCCTGAGTAGCTGGGACTACAGGAACCCACCCCCAAGCCCAGGTAATTTTTTGTATTTTTTATAGAGATGGGGTTTCACTGTGTTAGCCAGGATGGTCTCGATCTCCTGACCTGAAGATCTGCCCGCCTTGGCCTCCCAAAGTGCTGGGATTACAGGCGTGAGCCACCGCGCCCAGGCCGGCTTTTATCTTTTTTGAGACAGAGTCTCACACTGTCACCCAGGTTGGAGTGCAGTGGCATGATCTTGGCTCACTGCAACTCCACCTGCCAGGTTCAAGTGATTCTCTTGCCTCAGCCACCCAAGTAGCTAGGACTACAGGAACACACGACCACACCTACTAACTTTTGTATTTTTAGTAGAGATGGGGTTTCGCCATGTTGGCCAGGCTGGTCTTGAACTCCTGACCTCAAGTGATCCACCGGCCTCGGCCTCCCAAAGTGCTAGGATTACAGGCGTGAGCCACCGTGCCCAGCCTCATTTGGCTTTAAACTGAGAGCTGGTAGCCTTCTACATGGGGATCAAATATTAATGTGACTCTGCAGCAACGGGATTGATATTGTGTGTGTGCTTGTGTAGGAAGTCTCTGTAGTTACTTAATTGACTCTGAGGCTGAATCCAAGAATGTATGTGTCAGAAAAGCTGACGAATAATCCACCTACAGAATGTAGCTGTGTCTGAGAAGCACAGTTGGAGCTTTATGACTGTGGATTCCAAGTAGGTCGGGTGCTGAGGGCCAGATGCTGTCTGTTTTCCAAGCCAGCTCTCAGACGGTGGAAGACGGCTGTGTAGTGCATTGCGTGCAGTGCTCAGTGAGCTCTGCACTGCGGGCCCTTGCTCTGCTGCTGAGCTCTGCCTGATGCCCCAAGAATTTCAGCTGTGCAGAGGGCATCCATGCTGGTGGGGTTGTATATCTCTTCTGTGCATGGAGAGGGTCACCCTGAACAGCTGTCATGTGCAGACTGTGTGTGTGTGAGTGAATGGCAGTATTAATGCTGTAAAAGGTCGAGAGGAGGTGGGGGTTGCCCATGCTTCATTCATCAAGGCCATGTCTTTCAGCAGACTGCATAACCACTCTGAAGAAATTAGTTCCAGGAACTCTGCTTTTGAGCTACCAACTTAGCAATTTTCAGAATTGTGTGCGTGTTTTTGAATGGCAAGACATGATGATATTCCAGCATATGTAGGTTGAAAAGGTATCTCCAGCTTATTTCAGAGACTCTAATTTCTGAAGGGTCAATAAGAAAGAATACACTTCAAAAATTAAAATGGAGAATAACAGAAGTCAGAATTCAGGCTCACCAAAAAAAAAAAAATCTAAAATACAAAGGTTTGAAGATACCCAATGTTTTGTATAAGTTTAAAGTAACGTAAACATGTCTGGGTAAGTCAGATAAAGTACTGCTGTGATAACCGATGCATAACAAGAAAAAGTGTTGGTTGTAGTGTTCTGTTTGGATAACAGAAGCACGTTAAGATTGGAATTATTTTTTGTTGTTCTTGGTTGTTCATGGGAACCAAATAGAGGTAACATTTTTTGTAAGGTTCAAGATGCTATGTTAATATAAAGCAAAGTAGGGTAGATTGAAGTGATGATACATACATATTTGTAATTTTTTTTGGAACAAAGAGGAATGTTTCATATAAGTACAATATCTCAAAACATGGAATGACCTTGAACCCTTTTTGCACCACACACCATAGCTACCAAATAGATAAAGCAAAAACTGTTGATACACTGGGTAAAAATGACAAATTCATAACCATTATGTGATTTTTCTGAGGAAATCTATTTATGACCTGAAAATGAGACCCAGACTTTGTCTTACATAGGGTTTTGGGAAGAATGGAGATGCTAAGGTATTGGTGGATTTTTCTCAAAAGTGGGAATGTTCAGGAAGTGCTTGCCCTTTATCTGTAAAAGTGTGGATATTCCAACAAGACTTGCTGATTGGTTGATATAAAATGAGCTCATTAGGGTGAAGCTGTTACTGATTGGCTTTTTTTTTAATCTGTTTTTAATACTTTAAGTTCTGGGATACACGTGCAGAACGTGCAGTTTTGTTACATAGGTATACACAGCCATGGTGGTTTGTTGCACCCATCACCCCATCACCTACATTAGGTATTTCTCCTAATGCTATCCCTACCCTAGCCCCCCACCCCACAACAGACCCTGGTATGTGATGTTCCCCTCCCTGTGTCCATGTGTTCCCATTGTTCAACTCCCACTTATGAGTGAGAACATGCAGTGTTTGGTTTTCTGTTCTTGTGTTAGTTTCCTGAGAATGATGGTTTCCAGCTTCATCCATGTCCCTGCAAAGGACATGAACTCATCCTTTTTTATGGCTGCATAGTATTCCATGGTGTTTATGTGCCACATTTTCTTTATCCAGTCTATCACTGATGGACATTTGGGTTGATTCCAAGTCTTTGCTATTGTGAATCATGCCACATTAAACATATGTGTGCATGTGTCTTTATAGTTGAATGATTTATAATCCTTTGGGTATATACCTAGTAATGGAAGTGCTGGGTCAAATCGTATTGCTAGTTTTAGATCCTTATGAAATTGCCACACTGTCTTCCACAATGGTTGAACTATTTACTCTTCCACCAACAGTGTAAAAGCATTCCTATTTCTCCACATCCTTTCCAGCATCTGTTGTTTCCTGACTTTTTAGTGATTGCCATTCAAACTGGTGTGAGATGCTATCTCATTGTGGAAATAAGAGAGAACATAAAGAAATGGAAAAACATTCCATGCTCATGAATAGGAAGAATCAATATCATGAAAATGGCCATACTGCCCAAAGTAATTTATAGATTCACTGCTATCCCCATCAAACTACCATTGGCTTTCTTCACAGAATGGGAAAAAACTACTTTAAAGTTCATATGGAACCAAAAAAGAGCCCTCATAGCCAAGACAATCCTAAGCAAAAAGAACAAAGCTGGAGGCATCATACTACCTGACTTCAAGCTATACTACAAGGCTACAGTAACCAAAACAGCATGGTACTGGTACCAAAACAGAGATATAGACCAATGGAACAGAACAGAGGCCTCAGAAACAACACCACACATCTACAACCTGCTGATCTTTGACAAATCTGACAAAAGCAAGCAATGGGGAAAGGATTCCCTATTTAATAAATAGTGTTGGGAAAACTGGCTAGCCATATGCAGAAAACTGAAACTGGACCCCTTCCTTACACCTTATACAAAAATTAACTCAAGATGGATTAAAGACTTAAACTTAAGTCCTAAAACCATAAAAATCCCAGAATAAAACGTAGGCAATACCATTCAGGACGTAAGCATGGACAAAGGCTTCATGTCTAAAACACCAAAAGCAATGGCAACAAAACCCAAAATTGACAAATCGGATCTATTTAAACTAAAGAGCTTCTGCACAGTAAAAGAAACTATCATGAGAGTGAACAGGCAACCTACAGAATGGGAGAAAAATTTTGCATATGTCCATCTGACAAAGGGCTGATATCCAGAATCTACAAAGAACTTAAAGAAATTTACAAGAAAAAAAACCATCAAAAAGTGGGTGAAGGATATGAACAGATACTTCTCAAAAGAAGACATTTATACAACCAACAAACATTTGAAAAAATGCTCCACATCATTGGTCATTAGAGAAATGTATTTGTAATTTTTTTTAAGTTACACGATGCTTCATAAGCTCAGAGAAGAGATGGTTGGATGGATGGATGAGTGGATGAGTGGATGGATGGGAAGGTAAGTGATGGATGGATAGATGGAAGGGTTGGTAGGTGGATGGATGGATGGATGAATGGAAAAGTAAGTGGATGGACGGATGAATGGAAAAGTAAGTGGATAGATGGATGAATAGGTAAGTAGATGGATGGATATATAAAAGGGAGGGTAAGTGAGTTGGTGGGTGGATGGATGGATGGATGGATGGATGGGAGGGTAAGTGGATGGATGGGAAGGTAAGTGGTGGATGGATTGATGGAAGGGTAAGTGGGTAGATGGATGCATGAATGGAAAAGTAAGTGGATGGATGGATGGATGGATGGATGAATAGGTAAGTGGGTGGATAGATAAGAGGGAAGGTAAATGAGTGAGTGGATGGATGGATGGATGGATGCATGGATGATGGATGGATGGATAGTGGATGGATGGATGGATGGATGGATACATGCATGTGTAGATGGATGGAGGCATGGGAAGGTGGATGGATGGGGGAGTGAGAAGAAGGATGTAAGGATAAATAGGTGGATATATAACCAGATGGACTGGTGGCTGAATGGTAGATACCAGCCAGACTTTCCTTGAGTCAGTCAGTCTTGATTTTGGTGAATAATCTTTCCATATTGGTACATTCTGTGTACTGAAATTTTATTTAGCATTTTAATTTACACACTAATAAGTGAAATGGGCTTCTCTTACTTGTCTGCACTAGCAAGGCATTTGGAATCAAGAAGACATAAATACCTCAAAATAAATTTGGTAGCACAGATTTGTTTTTTGGTATGAGATTTTAGACCTTGTAGGAAAGTTTAGATGTAGCATATTTGTTCGTTGTTCCTCAAGTTCAAGAGGCCTTGGGTGAGGACTGGGTTCTGGGTGTCTCTGAAGACTGGTGCTGAAATGGGATCTGGAGGTGGTCCTTGGAGCTGTGGGTGCTGGCATTGTCTTCCTTCTCTCCCATCTTGCAGAGTGCAAACCACTATGCTGGGCCAATTTTTGTATTTTTTGTTCAGACGAGGTCTTGCCATGTTACTCAAGCTGGTCTTGAACTCCTGGAAATATATTTCCAGCAATCCACCCACCTTAGCCTCCCAAAGTGCTGGGATTACAGGCGTGAGTCACCATGCCTAGCCCTGTTTTTATGTCTTACTTGCAAATATGTTTTCCCCTTGCATTTATACCCATGGGGACTTTGGAAACCCAGAGCCAATATAGGCAGCTGCCTATTTGTTTACTTGTTAGTTTCATATCATGACTCCACATTATTTAGAAGGAATAGTTTTCAGATAATACTTTAGGGTTACAGGACCACTATGTTGCACAGGCTGGCCTTGCACTCCTGGCCTTGATCCTCTCACCTCAGCCTCCCAGAGTGCTGGGATTATAAGGGTGAGCCACAGGACCACATCCAGCCAATGTGTTCATTTTTGAAGTTTGACTTAAGAGTCTCGTAGATTCAGTATCTTATGTGGCTGTAGTCACTGTCCTTGCCATTAGTCTCAGGAGGAGAAGCTAGAGCAGGGAGGCAGATCCACAAAGCACTCACGCGGAGGGAGAAGCATGCAAAAGGATGGTGGAAGAGACCAATGCCCTGAGATGCCAGAGCTGAGGGAAGCTGAAAGGAAATGCAAAGGAAGATTTAACTCAGACATATCAGTTCTAGACAGGGCAGGTAAGCAGTCTTCTACAAGCAAATTCATGTCATTGAGCAGGGCACAGTGGAGCACGCCTCTAATCCCAGCACTTTGGGAGGCTGAGGTAGGAGGATCACTTGAGTCCAGGAGTTTGAGACCAGCTGGCAAAACCTAGCAAGATCCCATCTCTACAAAAAATACAACAGTTGCTGCCTTGTGGTTCGGTGCCAACATACATAGCTGTACTCACACAGCTCCTTGATCCCTCATGTGACTCCCAGTCTGTGACCTGAGAGTTGCCTTTCCAGAAGAATCCAGCCCTGTCGAAAGCTGCCCTTTTGTTTCCCAGCTGCCCCATCCCTGGTGCCTACGCAAGAGCTCCCACTAGCCAGGTGCGCAGTCTGGAGCCCCTGTGCCCTCTCTTGGGGGAGAGACTCCTATAGTATGTGCTGATGTGGCAGCCCCCTCCTCTCTGGCTCTCCTCTTGCCTCCTTGTCAGCTGTATGCATTCTTCAAAGCTGCCACCTCTGGGTTGACCTTGGCTGACTTTGCATGTTATGGGATCCTTTCATGCTTTCACCTTTCTCCAGAGAGCTACCTGGATACAGAGATGTCCATTTTCCATGTTAGCATCTTCCAGCTTCCATTCCTGTTGACTGTGTCCAAGTCCAGTCCCCCTCCCAGGCTGGGCTGAGATAACACAGGCACCCACTCAGAATGCTGTACAGATACATAGATGGATTGATTGATTCATTGACAGGGTCTCACTCTGTGGCCCAGGCTGGAGTGCAGTGGTGCAGTCATGGCTCTCTGCAGCCTTGACCTCCAAGCTCAGTCAATCTTTCCAGTAGCTGAGATCACAGGAGGACCCCAGCATGCCAGCAATTTTAAAAAAAGTTTTTGTAGACAGTGTCTTGCTATACTGTGCAGGCAGGCCTCAAACTCTTGGCCTCAAGCAATCCTTTCCCCTTAGTCTCCCAGAGTGCTGGGATTACAAGGGTGAGCCACCACACCACACCCACCCAATTAAAGTTTGACTTAAGAGTCCCATAGATTCAGTGTCTTATGTGGCTTTTAGGTCCTTGTAATTAGTCTCAGAAATCAAGTTAGCTCATCCGTTTTCTGAAGGCCCACACATTTGAAGTAAGAAAGGAAATAGTTCTGAGTCACATCCTTCTCAATATAAATAGAAAATGCATTCAAATATTTCCACAAATTTTGTGTCTTTTAAATCTGCACAAACCCAGAGAATTCCTAGAGAGGCTGCCAGAACTAATAGCACATGTCAGGTCTGCATTCCACCAGGCCAGCTGAGCAAACCACATCAGGCCCCTTCATACCACACAGCTCACCACCACCTCACAGATGTATTTCTGCCTCAGGCTTTCTCACATGTGGCATTTGAAGCATGTCCTTGGGAACATGTTTGTCCTCTCGGAAAGTTTAAATTTTTGTGTGTTCATTTCTGTGCTAGCTCTTAGAGTCTAAATCAAGATGTGGTGAATGGTGTGAATGACCATGGCTGTGTGTCAGAGAGTCTCATTGACCACAGTGCTGACACAGTTTTCCTGGGTGGGAGAAAAGAGTGAGTTCAGGACTCCCCTGTGAACAGTATGCTCCACGTGGATGAGGGACAGGACATCAGGGTGCCGTGCCAGCAGAGCTCTGTGTCTTGTTAGTCTAAACAAAAGTGATGGCTGAGATGAGTCCTTCTGTGATACCCCAGAAATTGTGATAGCCGGGCCCAGAAGCAGCACCATTGCAGTGCCCAGGGCCACGAACATTGTGATTCATGTTCAGCAAAGCCACACCACCTGTCATTAAACCTGAAGTTGGCTTTACAGTTTTGCTTGCATATAACATTGTTTTGCATTTTAAAGGAAACAGATTTTATACATAGGCATATTTAACAGTCTAATAAAAAATAATTGAATTCATATATTGTATGATACCATTTCCAGAATAGGTACATCTATAGATAGAAAGTAGATTAGTGGCTGCCAGGGGTTGAGTGGGACCAAGTGAGGCAGAGACTGCTCATGGACAGAGGGTTTCTTTCTAGAGTAATGGAAATCCTCTGGAATCAGATAGTGGTGACTGCTGTGAATATACTAAAAACTACCGACCTGTGCTGTTTCAAAGGGCAAGTTTTATGATATACTAATTTTATCTTGGTTATAAAAAAAATCTCAACACTGGGAATCCACAAGAAAACTTTTTAATTTAAAATGGGTCTGTGCATTAAGTGGCTGTAGCTCAAAGGTCAACAGTGTTTGCAGAATATGAGATGATAAATATTTGTGGCTTAGAGGGACATAGCATCCCTGCTGCAGCCACTCAGCTCTGCTGTGATACCATGAAACCAGACATGTGGTGACCAGGTTGCCCTCCCTACAGGCCTGCTTAGAGAACCCTGGCTAGATTCCAGCCCTTGATGGTCACCCCGGCAGGGAGCAGCATCCCTGCTACCCCACCAGACCCAACAGCCATGGGGGCCTTTCCCTTCTCCACATTTCTTCCTGCCCTTCCCTAAAGCAGGAAGTGAGACAAGGAAACATGTGAGTCAGATATGTGGATGTCTTCTGCAGAACTCATCTGGCCCCTTCCTTCAAGTCATTTGTTTCTTTCTGTGAGTTAGTCCTGCCCCCTGCTTACCAGAGACAGGTAGTTTTACTTGTAGGCTCCCTGAGCAGAATTGGAGTCAGTGTGACACAGATTGTGTCTTTGAATAGAAAGTCTCCACAATGCCATGCCCCTCTTAACTCTGTGTGTGTCCACTGTATGCACTAGATCTCCCTCCCAGCTCTCCTCCTCCCAAGCATATCCCACACACTTCTCAAACTGCATCTCATCCTTCCTTAGATCACTTCCAGAATTGTCTGCAGAGTTGAGGTCTCATGGTTTGTGAGACAGTCTCAAGCAGCTCACCCATATCAAGTGGTGTCAGATGTGTCAGATTGGGGGGTTTAGGTCAGGGTCACCTGGAAACAAGTTTACTGGGGAGCAGAGCAGCTTTCTTCTCAGCTTGGAAGAATATGATAAACCATCCCTAGATTCACTGGTTTCAAGTCTAGGGAAGCAGATGGACTCAACAGAGGAAAGGATTGCATAACCATTGTTTTAGTCAGGGGTTAGCAAACTATGGTCCACAGCCCCCTGTCTGTTTTTGTAAATAAAATTTTATTGGCGTGCAGCCACATTCGTTTGCCCATGGACTGCCTGTGGCTGCTTCCTCTCTATAATGGCAGAGTTGAGTCGTCATTGCGGCAGATCAGATGGCTTTTACAGCTGAAACTATCTGCCATCTGATCCTTTACAAAAAGGTTTGCTTGCCGACCAGGCTTAGTGGAGGGATGTAAGGGATGGTCTTAACCTGAGTGTGCTTCCAGCACAGGGAGCATGGAACCCAGTGGCAGTCTGTCTAGATGTTTTCAGAGAGGCTTCTTTGTGGTATTTCATGATTATCTTGCAACATAATGTCCATCTCCCCATGTTTTTTTACTTTCCTAGTCTCTGGTTTGGTTAACTTGGTAAAGTTTGCTTTGTCCAAGTAGAGGGGGCTGTGGCTTGTTCACAGCCCAAGAATGCAGGAGCACGCAGGATGCTGTAACATCAGCTTCTCTTACTTATTAGTGATAATCTGGGTTAGGGAAGGTTGCCCTTGGACCACATGGGCATGCCTCCCAATTCATGGAAAGTGACTCATAAAAGTTTCACATTTCACCAAGACTGTCCAGGAGATGAGGAGGAAGTTCTTTCAGAACATAAGGGTACTAGGGTGGTGATTTCATTCTGTTCTTTTTTTATTTGTGGAATTTTTCAAGAACAAAAATGTTTTGTGTCAAATAAAAGCAGACTTGTATTCATTTTATTACAATGATTTTGATTTTAAAGTCTATACTGCACAATCTATGAAAAGATTTGAGCATCTTGTAAGCCCTGATAATTATGCCTCACTCTAAGAAACATGGATATGTGGAACCAACATTGTAAACCTTAATATTATAATACTGTGTTTTCTGTTTAGAAGTAATTCAGGGAGAGTCTCCTTTAAGAATGGATTCCTAGGCCAGGTGCAATGCGTCATACCTGTAATCCAGTACTTTAGGAGGCTGAGAGGATTGCTTGAGCCCAGGAGTTCGATACCAGCCTGGGCAACATAGTGAGACCCCATTTCTAAAAAAAAAAAATTAGCTGGGCAGTTACTTGGGAGGCTGGGTTGGGAGGATCAATTGAGCCCAGGAGGTCAAGGCTGTAGTGAACTGTGATGGTGCCATTGCACTCCAGCCTGGGTGACAGTGAGACCTTCTCTCAAAAAAAAAAAAAAAAAAAAAAAACAAATTTTAGCTCTAAGTTGACTGCAAGAACAAACCAGGAATCCTGAGAGGACCCACAGACCCTCTGAAGAAAACAGACTGCTTCTGCAGGAACTGGGAGACCCCCTGCAAAACTGTGAGCCCCACCTGCGGAAGTGGGAAATGGAGACCCTCGTCTCCCGGACATACACCCCCACTGAAGAAGCTGAAGGTGTGTTTGTGGGAAAAGTTTCCAAATTTACCTGGAGCTGGATCAATTTGGAGAGCCCAGTGAAACACACGGGTAGAGGAAGCAGCAGAAAGTCACTGGGAGCTCACTGGGTCCCCAAGTAGCCCATTCCTGCCTGGCACCACAGGGCTCTCACAGGTGAAGAGCAGGGGGTAAAACTCCACAGAGAGAAATAAATCTCTAGCTGAACTTTGTAACAATTTGAAGTGGGGTGAGAAGTCTCCTGGCCAGAACTCTGAGGAGGGTGCACATCTGGTGTGCAGACTCCACAGACAGGGGAAGAACCAAGCTTTTTCTTTCACAGCTGGGAGGAGGGTAGCCTGGGACAAGTTTTCAGGCTGGCCCATGTTGCTGTCCGCCTGGAAACATACTGGGGGATGTTGGTGTGGGCACAGTGGGGTTGAGTAGCTGAGTGAGACCTGTGACTGCTGCCTTTCCCCCACTTCCCTGATGACCTGCATGACTCAGCAGAGGCAACCATAATCCAGCTAGGTACACAACTCCAGTGACCTGGGAATCCCACCCCCATCTCCCACAGCAGCCACAGCAAGATCCACCGAAGGAGAGTCTGAGCTCAGACATGGCTAGTCCTGCCCCCACCTCATGGTCCTTCCCTATCCACTCTAGTAGTGGAAGACAAAGGACATATAATCTTGGCAACTCTAGGGCCCCACCCACTGCCAGTCCCTCTCCACACAATTACAGCAGATGCTTTCTAGAAAGTGCCACCTCCTGGCACCAGCACAAAAATAGAACATTAAACCACTGAAGCTAAGGACCCTCACAAAGTCCACTGCATCCCCCAGTGCTTCACTGGAGCAGGCACTGATATCCATGGCTGGGAGACCCATAGATGGTTCTGGTTCACATCACAGGACTCTGTGCAGACAACCCCCAGTACCAGCCCAGAGCCAGGTAGACTTGCTGGGTGGCTAGACCCAGAAGAGAGAACAATCACTGCAGTTCAGCTCACAGGAAGCAGGAACAGGAGGAAAGTACTACATCAAGGGAACTCCCTGTGGGACAAAAAAATTTGAACAACAGCCTTCAGCAGACCTTCCCTCTAACAGAGCCTACCCAAATGAGAAATAACCAGAAAACCAGCCCTAATAATATGACAAAACAAGGCTCTTTAACACCCACCAAAATCACACTAGTTCACCAGCAATGGATCCAAACCAAGAAGAAATCCCTGATTTACCTTAAAAAGAGTTTGGAGGTAAGTTATTAAGCTGATCAGGGAGAGACAAGAGAAAGTTTGAAATCAGGTAGTATGATGCCTCCAGATTTGTTCCAAATTGTTGCTTATCTTCCTTTGGCTATGCAGCCTGTTTTTTGGTTCCATATGAATTTTAGAATTGTTTTTTCTAATTCTATGAAGAATGATATTTTGATTGGGGTTGCATTGGATTTGTGGACATCTTTTGGCAGTATAGTCATTTTTACAGTATTGATTCTACCCATCCATGAGCATGGGATGTGTTTCCATTTGTTCATTTCAGCTATGATTCTTTTAGCAGTGTTTTATAGCTTTTATCTTAGAGGTCTTTTGACTCCTTGGTAAGGTATACTCCTAAGTATTTTATTTTTTTGCAGCTGTTGTGAAAGTGGTTGAGTTCTGGATTTGATTCTTAGCTTGGTCACTGTTGTTATGTAGAAGAGCTACTGATTTGTGTATATTAGTCTTGTATCTGGAAACTTTGCTGAATTCTCTTATCAGTTCTTGGAGCTTTCTGGACGAGTCCTTAGGATTGTCAAGGCTAACAGTCATATCATCAGCAAACTGCGACAGTTTTACTTCTTCTTTACTAATCTGGATGCTGTTTATTTCTTTCTCCTGTCAGATTGCTCTGGCTTAGATTACCAGTGCCATGTTGAAGAGAAGTAGTGAGAGTGGACGTCCTTGTCTTGTTCCAGTTCTCGAGGAAATGCTTTCAGCTTTTCCCCATCTGGTATTCTGTTGGCTGTGGGTTTGTCATAGATGGGTTTTATTACACTGAGGTATGTCCTTTGTATGCCGATGTTTTTAATCATAAAGTGATGCTGATTTTGTCAAATGCTTTTTCTGCATCTATTGAAATGATCATGTGATTTTGTTTTTAATTCTGTTTATGTGGTGTATCGCATTTTTTGATGTGCATATGTCAAAACATCCCTGCATCCCTGGTATGAAACCCACTGATCATGATTATAGTGGATTATCTTTTTGATATGTTTTGGATTTGGTTACCTAGTATTTTGTTCAGGATTTTAGCATCTATCTTCCTTGAGGATATTGGTCTGTAGTTTTCTTTCCTGGTTATGTCTTTTCCTGGTTTTGGGAAGCTGGCTTCACAGAATGAATCAGGGAGGGTTCCTTCTTTCTCTATCTTGTGGAGTAGTGTCAAAAGGATTGGTACCAATTCTTCTTTGAATGTCTGGTAGAAATCTGCTGTGACTCTCTCTGGTCCTGGACATTTTTGTTGGTAATTTTTAAATTACCAATTCAATCTTGCTGCTTGTTACTGGTCTGTTCAGGGTATCTAATTCTTGATTTAAGCTAGGTGAGTTGTATTCTTCTAGGAATGTATCCATCTCTTCTAGGTTTCCTAGTTTATGTGCATAAAGGTGTTCATAGTAGCTTTGAATGATCTTTTGTATTTCAATGGTATGAGTTGCAATATCTCCAGTTTTATTTCTTATTGAGGTTATTTGGATTTTCTCTCGTCTTTTCTTGGTTAATCTTGTCAATGGTCTATCAATTTAGTTTATCTTTTCAAGAAACTAGCTTTTTGTTTCACTTGTAATTTTTTTTTTGTTTCAATTTCATTTAGTTCTGCTCTGATCTTGGGTTATTTCATTTCTTCTGCTAGGTTTGGGTTTGGTTGTTCTTGTTTCTCTAGTTATTTGATGTATAACCTTTGAGTGTCAGTTTATGCTCTTTCAGTCTTTTTGATGTAGGTATTTAGGGCTAAGAACTTTCCTCTTAGCGCTGCCTTAACTGTATTCCAGAGGTTTTGATAGGTGTCGTCACTGTTGTCATTCAGTTCGAAGAATGTTTTTAATTTCCATCTTGATTTTGTTTTTTACCCAGTGCTTATTCAGGGGCAGGTTACTGTCATGCAAGTCTGTGTGAAGAAACCACCAAACAGGCATTGTGTGAGCAATAAAGCTTTTTAATCACCTGGGTGTAGGCAGGCTGAATCTGAAAAGAGAGTCAGCGAAGGGAGATGGGTAGGGGCTGTTTTATAGGATTTGGGTAGGCAGTGGAAAATTACAGTCAAAGGGGGTTGTTCTCTGGCAGGCAGGGGTGGAGGTCACAAGGTGCTCAGTGGGGGAGCTTCTGAGCCAGGAGAAGGAATTTCACAAGATAATGTCATCAGTTAGGGCAGGAACCAGCCATTTTCACTTCTTATGTGATTCTTCACTTGCTTCAGGCCATCTGGATGTATATGTGCAGGTCACAGGGGATATGATGGCTTAGCTTGGGCTCAGAGGCCTGACCTTCCTGTCTTCTTACATTAATAAGAAAAATAAAACAAAATAGTGGTAAAGTGTTGGGGCGGCAAAAATTTTGGGAGGAGGTATGGAGAGATAATGGGTGATGTTTCTCAGGGCTACTTCAAGGGGGATTAGGGGTGGTGTGGGAACCTAGAGTGGGAGAGATTAAGCTGAAGGAAGATTTTGTGGTAAGGGGTGATATTGTGGGGTTTTGTAAGAAGGAGCATTTCCTGTATAGAATGATTGGTGATGACCCGGATACAGTTTTGTATGAATTGAGAAACCAAACAGAAGACACAAGTTCCGAATAAGAGGAGAAAAACAGGTATTAAAGGACTAAGAATTGGGAGGACCCAGGACATCCAATTAGAGAATGCCCAAGGGTGTTCAGCATAATTATTTGCTTGGTTGGTGAGTTTTGGGGCTCTATCCGTGAGTTTTTTTGTGTTGTCATACAGCAGGACAGATTGATTTAGGTTAAAACAACAATTTTCATTTAAAAATACACAGAGTCCCCTTTTTTTAGCAGTGAGTAAGTCGAGGCCTCAGTGATTTTGGAGGAAAGAGAAATGCAAAGCCAGAAATTGTTTGCAAAAAGGATTAGAAATGGCTAGGAGAGAGTGAGTGAAATTGATAGTGTGGTGGAGATAGCTGGGGAGAGGTAGAGGGTGACATAAGAATGGGAACAAGAATAAAAGTAAGTATAAAAGTAAAGAATAGAACTTCATCAGGGTGAAAGTATTGGAGTGTACCCTGTCAGCAAACATTATTTATCCACTTTAAGAGTGACTTCAGGATGGCGGTTTGAGGTAAAACCAGGAGATACCAGTTATGATGGTTTGAAGGAAAAGTGCAAACTGGCAGTGTAAACAAGGACAGGGTATTTATGAGTAGTCGAGAATGGTGAATAGGAGTATGACTAGACAGAAGATGGTAGGGATGACGACTTTTTGGGGTGCGGTTCAAGTTGGGCTGGTGTCTGGAATGAGACTGGGGCCTATGAAAAAGGAGCATCCATACAGGAGCTCAAATGGGCTGTACCTTGTAGCATTCTGAGGACAGGCCCAAATTCTGAGAAGGGCAAGTGGTAAAAGTATTGTCCAGTCCTTTTTAAGTTGGAGGCTGAGCTTGGTGAGTTGTGTTTTTAAAAGACCATTAGTCTGTTTTACCTTTCCTGAAGATTGAGGATGATAAGGGGTATGAAGGTTCCACTGAATACCAAGAGCCTGAGAAACTGCTTGGGTGATTTGACTAATAAAGGCCAGTCCATTATCAGACTGTTTAGAGGTGGGAAGGCCAAACCAAGGAATTATATATGACAGAAGGGAAGAAATGACTGTGGTGGGCTTCTCAGACCCTGTGGGGAAAGGCGTCTGCTCATCCAGTGAAAGTGTCTACCCAGATCCAGAGGTATTTTAGTTTCCTGACTCTGGGCATATGAGTAAAGTTAATTTCAGTGGGGCCATGAGGGACAGAAGTTGGAACACTAGCTGCTTCTTTAGCTACCTTATCAGCATATGTGTTGCCCTGAGCAATGGGATCTGATGCCTTTTGACAGCCCTTGCAGTGAATGACTCTAGCTTCCTTTGGAGTAAAGTGGCCTTGAGAAGAGTTTTCATTAGAAGAATAAATGATGGAGGACCCTTGCATAGTGAGGAAACCTCTTTCAGCCCATATAACAGCATGGTGGTGCAGGATATGGAAGCATATTTAGAGTCAGCATAAATATTGATGCATAGTCCCTTTGCAAGAATGAGGGCCTGAGTTAAGGCAATGAATTCAGCTTGCTGAGAGGTAGTGGAGGAGGGCAGAGTTGTAGCCTCAATGATAGATGTGGAAGATACTATAGCATAGCCTGCCTTTGCTGGTGAGTGGCGATTAGGCCTGGTGGAACTGCCATTGATGAACCAAGTGTGATCAGGATGAGGAACAGGAAAGAAGGAAATATGGGGAAATTGAATGAATGTCAGGTGGATCAGAGAGATACAGTCATGGGGGTCAGGTGTGGTATCTGCAATAATGTGG
Organism: Homo sapiens; assembly: GCF_000001405.40. NCBI lineage: Eukaryota > Metazoa > Chordata > Mammalia > Primates > Hominidae > Homo > Homo sapiens. The sequence goes on from NC_000024.10 coordinate 12,561,620, forward strand.
GAAGCCGGATTGAAGTCCAGGCCAGGAACAATGGTAACTGTGGGAGACTCAGCAAAGGGTGAGTATAGCTGAAGGAGCCAGGGAGCAGAAAGTATATGCATCAGGTGTGAGGAAGAAAATTGAGTTTGGAAGTTATGAGAACTGTAGAGAGTGAGTGAGCATAGTTTGCGATTTTGAGGGCCTCTAAAAGTACTAGGGCAGTGGCAGCCACTGCACAGAGACATGATGGCCAGGCTAAAACAGTAAGGTCAAGTTTTTTGGACAAAAAGTCTACAGGGTGCGGTCCCAGCTCTTGTGTAAGAATTCTAACCACACAGCCCTGCACTTTGGCTGTGTGTTATGAAAAAGGGTTGGAATGAGTTAGGGAGATCTAGTGTGGGAGCAGCTTCTAGGGCTTTTTATGGAATGGAAAGGAGTAGGGAAAGCATTTAAGATTTACGGGGTCAGCTAGGTTTCCTTTTGTGAGTTTATATAATGGTTTAGACAGGATGGCAAAACTAGGTATCCAAAGGTGAAAGTACCTAACTATGCCTAGGAAGGAAAGGAGTTGCTGTTTTTTAGAAGGGGTTGGGGTTTTGGAGATTAACCAGACACAATCAGCAGGGAGAGCATGTATGCTTTCCTGAAGAATTATGCCAAGGTAGGTAATGGATGAGGAAGAACTTTGGGCTTGACTGAAGTAATAGGGGCTGTCCGTGAAGCCTTGCAGCAGTACAGCCCAGGTAATTTGCTGAGCTTGATGGTGTCAGGATCAGTCCAAGTGAAAGCGAAGAGAGGCTGGGATGAAGGGTGCAAAGGAATATTAAAGAAAGCATGTTTGAGATCCAGAACCGAACAATGGGTTGTGGAGGGAGGTATTGAGGATAGGAGAGTATATGGGTTTGGCACCATTGGGTGGATAGGCAAAACAATTTTGTTGATAAGGCACAGATCCTGAACTAACCTGTAAGACTTGTCTGGTTTTTGGACAGGTAAAATGGGCAAATTTTCAGGAGAGTTTTTAGGCTTTAAAAGGCCATGCTGTAACAGGCAAGTGATAAAAGGCTTTAATCCTTTTAAAATATGCTGTGGGATGGGATATTGGCATTGAGCGGAATAAGGGTAATTAGATTTTAATGGAATGGTAAGGGGTGCATGATTAGTTGCCAAGAAGGAAGTAGAGGTGCCCTATACTTGTGGATTAAGGTAGGGAGAGACAAGAGGAGGATATGAAGGGCAGCAATGAGGTATGGCTGTAGCCTAGGAATAGTCAGGGAAGCAGATAATTTAGTTAAAATGTCTCGACCTAATAAGGGAGCTGGGCAGGTGGGGATAACTAAGGAGTGTATGAAAGAATATTGTCCAAGTTGGCACCAGAGTTGGGGAGTTTTAAGAGGTGTAAAAGCCTGGCCATCAATACCCACAACAGTTATGGAGGCAAGGGAAACAGGTCATTGAAAAGAAGGCAATGTGAAGTGGGTAGCCTCCATGTTGATTAAGAAGGGGATGGACTTACTCTCCCTTGTAAGAGTTACCAGAAGTGTCTGTGATGGTCCAGGAAGCTTCTGAGGTGATTGGGCAGTGTTAGTCTTCAGCCGCTGAGTCAAGAAGATCTGGGAAGGAATCAGTCAGAGAGCCTTGGGCCAGAGTTTCAGGGGCTCTGGGAGTGGCTGCTGGGCGTGTTGGACAGTCCAGTTTCCAGTGGGGTCCTGCACAGATGGGACGTGGCTTAGGAGGAATCCTGGGCTGCAGGCATTCCTTGGCCCAGTGGCCAGATTTCTGGCACTTGAAGCAAGATCCTGGGGGAGGAGTTCCTGAAGGAATGCCTGACTGCTGTGGCTTAGGTGTTTTGAAGTTCTTGTGTGCTGGAGATGTGGCTGGGGTTTCTCTCACAGTGGAGGCAAGGAATTGCAAGTCAGAAATATGTTGCTACTTCGCTGCCCCTACTCTTCTGGTACACCTTGGAGGTGAGGTTAATTAGGTCCTGTTATGGGGTCTTGGAGCTTTATTTAATGTCAGGAGCAGATTGGGCAATAAAATGTATATTGAGAATAAGAAAGCCTTCTGACCTTTCAGGGTCTAGGGCTGTAAAGCATCTCAGGGTTGCTGCCAAACGAGTCATGAACTGGGCTGGGTTTTTATATTTGATGAAAAAAAGCCTAAATGCTAACTGATTTGGGAGAGGCCGGATAAAGAAAAAGGAACATTAACCTTGACTGTGCCTTTAGCTCCAGCCACCTCTTTAAGGGAAATTGTTGGACAGGTAGCGGAGGGCTAGTCACAGAAAGAAGCTGGGCCAGGTGTGAGGAGGGAAGTTGATAGAAGGATTATAGGGTGTGGGAGTGGAGGCTGAGGAAGAATTGGAGCCTGATTCAGCCTGGTGGGGAGCGACGTGGGGAGCAGTCTGGGGAGAGAAGAGAGGTCAGATGGGTTGGTAGAAAAGAAAGATCAAAAAGACTAAGCGACACTTGGGGTTGGGAATGAGGGGATGGTGGGAGGGAAAGAAGAAAGATTTGGCACAAGTCACATTGGGAGCAGAGATTAGGAAGGGACCGATGTGTAAAAGAATGCCTGGACATGAGGCATCTCAGACCGTTTGCCCATTTTACAACAAAAATTATTGAGATCTTGTAGGATGGAAAAATTGAAATTGTCATTTTCTGGCTATTTGGAACCATTGTCGAGTTTATATTGGGGTTACGCGGCATTGCAGAAGAAAATAAGTCACGTAGGTTTTAGGTCAGGTGTGAGTTGAAGAGGTTTTAAGTTCTTCAGAACACAGGCTAAGGGAGAAAAGGGAGGAATGGAGGTTGGAAGGTTGCCCATAGTGAAGGAGGTAAGCCCAGAGAAAAGAGAGGGTAGAAACATGGAAAGAAGAGGTAGGGGGTGCTTGCCCCACAGGAAAGTGGTGCTTGCCCCTAAGGGTGAAGGATAAAGGCATTCATCCCCACGATGATCAGACACCTCTGAAATGTGGGTGAATAATCAGGCAGGCTTCCCTGCAGTGATTAAACACCAAGGGAAGACTGTCTTCCTGAGTCTGTGACTGGTGCTGGAGTTTTGGGTTCATGGATAAAATGCATCTCCTCTGTCTCTACTAGAAAAGGAAAGGAATTGAAATTAAGAGAAAAGAGATATTGAAGGATGGCACCAAGATTGAAAGGAGTAAGAGGTTGAGAGATGGTAAGAGACGTTGGTGAAGAGAGTGAAAAGAGGCTGCTTACCCAATTTAAAATTGGGGAGATGTTCCTTGGGCTGGTCGGTCTGAGGACCAGAGGTCGTAGGTGGATCTTTCTCATGGAGCAAAGAGCAAGAGGACAGGGGATTGATCTCCCAAGGGAGGTCCCCTGATCTGAGTCATGGCACCAAATTTCATGCACGTCCATGTGAAGAGACCACCAAACAGGCTTTGTGTGAGCAATAAAGCTGTTTAATCACCTGGGTGCAGGTGGGCTGAGTCTGAAAAGAGAGTCAGCAAAGGGAGATAGAGGTGGGGCCATTTTATAGGATTTGGGTAGTTCGTGGAAAGTTACAGTCAAAGGGGGTTGTTCTCTGGCAGGCAGGGGTGGGGGTCACAAGGTGCTCAGTTGGGGAGCTTCTGAGTCAGAAGGAATTTCACAAGGTAATGTCATCAGTTAAGGCAGGAACCAGCAATTTTCACTTCTTTTGTGATTCTTCACTTGCTTTAGGCCATCTGGATGTATATGTGCATGTCACAGGGGATATGATGGCTTAGCTTGGGCTCAGAGGCCTGACAGTTACTTAATTTCTGTATATTTGTATGGTTTTGAAGGTTCTTTTTGTAGTTCATTTCCAGTTTTATTCCACTGTGGTTTGAGAGAGTGCTTCATGTAATTTCAATTTTCTTAAATTTATTGAGGCTTGTTTTATGGCCCATCATATGCTCTATCTTGGAGAAAGTTCCATGTGCTGTTGAATAGAATTGTATTCTGTGATTGTTGGATGAAATGTTCTGTATATATCTGTTGAGTCCATTTGTTCCAATCTTTGTTGACTTTCTGTCCTGATGACCTATCAAGTGCTGTCAGTGGAGTTTTGAAGTCCCTCACTATTACTGTGTTGTTGTCTATCTCATTTCTTAAGTCTGTTAGCAACTGTTCTATAAATTTGACAGCTCCAGTGTTAGGTGCATATATGTTTAGGATTGTGATATTTTCCTGTTGCACAAGGTCTTTACCATTATATAATGTCCCTTTTTGTCTCTTTTAACTGTTGTTGCTTTAAAGCTTGTTTTGTCTGCTACAAGAATAGCTGCTCCTGCTCACTTTTGGTGTCCATTTGCATGAAATTCCTTTTTCCACCTCTTTACTTTAAGTTTATGAGAGTCCTTTTGTGCCAGGCGAGTCTCCTGAAGGCAGCAGATGGTTGGTGAGTTCTTATCCATTGTGAGGTTCTGTATCTTTTAAGTGGGCCATTTAGGCCACTTACATTCAATGTTAGTATTGAAATGTGAGGTACTGCTGAATTCATCGTGCTCTTTTGTTGCCTGTGTACTTTTTTCTTTTCTTTTCTTTTTTTCTTTTTAATTTGTTCCTTTGTTGTTGTTGTTTCAGAGGTCCTGTGTGATTTATGCTTTAAAGATCTGTTTTGATGTGTTTCCAGGATTTGTTTCAAGATTTAGAGCTCCTTTTAGCAGTTCTTGTACTGGTGGTTTGGTAGTGGCAAATTCTCTCAGTATTTGTTTGTCTGAAAAAGACTATCTTTCCTTCATACATGATGCTTAGTTTCACTGCATACCAAATTCTTGACTGATAATTGTTTTGCTTGAGGAGGCTAAAGATAGGGCCCCAAACCCTTCTAGCTTGTAGGGTTTCTGCTGAGAAATCTGCTGTTAATCTGATAGGTTTTTCTTTATAGTTCACCTGGTGCTTCTGTCTCACAGCTCTTAAGATTCTTTCCTTTGTCTTAACTTTGGATAATCTGATGACAATGTACCTAGGCAAAGATCTTTCTGTGATGAATTTCTGGGGTGTTCTTTGTGCTTCTTGTATTTGGATGTCTAGGTCTGTAGCAAGGCTGGGGAAGTTTTCCTCAATTATTTCCCCAAGTATGTTTTCACAACTTTTAGAATTCTCTTCTTCCTCAGGAACACCAATTATCCTTAGATTTGGTCGTTTAACATAATCCCAGACTTTGTTCGTACTTCTTATTCTTTTTTTCTTTGTCTATGTTGGATTGGGTTAATTTGAAGACCTTGTCTTCAAGGTCTGAGTTTGTTTCTTCTACTTGTTCAATTCTATTGTTGAGACTTTTCAGAGCATTTTGCATTTCCAAAAGTGTATCCAGAGTTTCCTGAATATTTATTTTTTCTTTAAGCTATATATTTCCTTGAATATTTCTCCCTTCACTTCTTTTTTTTTTGAGCCTCTGTCACCCAGGCTGGAGTGCAGTGATGCAACCTTGGTTCACCACAACCTTCTAAGGGAGGAGACCACCCCTCATATTGTCTTATGTCCAATTTCTGCTTCCAAAGAAAGAAAAAGTAAAAACTAAAAGGCAGAAATGAAATCCACAGGCAGACAGCCTGGCGCAACGCCTTGGGTCTGGTTAAGGATCGACCCCCAACCTAACCAATTATGTTATCTATAGATTTCAGACATTGTATGGAAAAGCATTGTGAAAATCCCTGTCCTGTTTTGTTCCATGCTGATTACCAGTGCATGCAGCCCCTAGTCACGTACCCACTGCTTGCTCAATCACAACCCTCTCATATGGACCCCATTAGAGTTGCAAGCCCTTAAAAGGGACAGGAATTGCTCATTCAGGGAGCTCTGTTTTTGGAGGCGTAAGTCTTTCTGAAGCTCCCAGATGAATTCAGCCCTTCCTTCTTTAACTTGGTGTCTAAGGGGGTTTTGTCTGTGGCTTGTCCTGCTACATTTCTTGGTTCCCTGACTGGGAAGCAAGGTGATTAATGGATGGTCAAGGCAGCCATTTAGGTGGCTTAGGACTGCCCTGTGGAGCATCCCTGCATGGGACTCTGGCCAGCTTGAGTGACACACATCCTGAGAGCGCTCCCATGTAGACAGTTGCCCTGGTACAACGCCTCACCAGAGCAGCACGTGGCAGGCCACCATGGAGAATCAATGCAGTGGCTGAACACCAGGAAGGAACTGGCTCTTGGAGTCTGGACATCTGAAACTTGGTAAATCACCCACTCCATTTGAATGGAAGCATGGCCTGATCACCCACAGTGTGCCTGTACTGGCACTTTGGTTTTTGTTTTTGACTTGACTTGGATTGCTTGATACTTTGGTTTTGGGTTTGACCTGGCTTAGATTTCTTCATACTCCAATTTTGGTTTGAGTCTTATTTGGTGTAAATTGTAAATATGTGTGTGTGCCCTTTTTACCTGTTCTTTGTTTTGTGGTGTGTGTGGTGTGTGAGCATGTTGTTTTATCTTGAGGAAGCATGGGTCAGGCACAAAGTAAGCCTATCCCACCAGGAACTATGTTCAAAATTTTCAAGAAAGGATTTAAGGGAAATTATGGTGTTACTATGACACCAGGAAACTTAGAACTTTGTGTGAAATAGACTGGCGAGCATTAGAGGTGGGTTGGTTGTCAGAAAGAAGCCTGGATAGGTCCCTTTTTTCAAAAGTATGGCACAAAGTAACCTGTAAGCCAGGGCGCCCAAACCAGTTCCCGGACATAGACACTTGGTTACAGCTCATTTTAGACACCCCTCCACCCCACCACACACCCCACAGTGGTTGAAAGAACAGCAGCATAAGCAGCTGGCAGAGGCAAGGAAGGACCAGCAGAGAGAGAGAGAGGAAACAGAGAGGAAAAGAGCCAAATAGAGAGAGGAAGAGACAGAGAGACAAAGAGGGAGTCAAGGAGAGAGAGAGAGAGGCAGAGAGAGAGGAAGAAACAGAGACAAAAGGAAAGTCAAAGAGACAGAAAGTCAAAGAGAAAAAGAGATATACAAGTAGTTAAGAAAAAAACCAGTGTACCCTATTCCTTTAAACACCAAGGTAAATGTAAAATCTATAATTAATAATTAAAGGTATTCTTCATAACCCTATAACACTCCAGTACCACTTTGTTGTCAATGTAAACAAGGGTGTATCTCAAAAGCACTGAGGCCTTCCTATCAAAAATCCTCAACCCAGTAACCCACAGACAGCCCAAATGCATTCAGTCTGTAGCGGCAACTGCTTTGCTAACAGCAGAAAGTAAAAAAATAACTTTCAGAGGAAACCTTATTGTGAGCACACCTCACCAGTTCAGAAGTATCCTAAGAAAAAAAAAAAAAAAGAGGATTTAACATTAACCCCTGAAAATTCCCTTAACCCAGTAGATTTCCTAAGAGGTGATCTAAATCTTTATTACCATAAAAGGGTCCAAACAGACCTAGGAGGAACTCCCTTCAGGACAGGAGGATAGATGTTTCCTCCCCAGTAATTACAAAAAAAAAAACCATCTATACCAATTCTAATTTAATTTGGAATAAACAAAGTCTTATTAACAGCAGAGGATAATTGAAATCCCAAACTTACAAGGTTTTCAACAAAAGTAAAATTTGCTAAAAGTTAACAGTATAACATGTATTATAGTAACTTCTAATCTTGTGGCCCTAGACAGTCTAGTCCACAGACAACAAAGAAGTTCACTTTGGAAAAGAATGATTGTCTTCAAAAAAAAAAAAAGGGGGAAAAAAAGAGGAGTGCAGAATTTATGTAAAAGGATTGCTGTATGGTAAATTCTTCTCCTGAAATAAATGAACTGGTTCTTTAAAGAAAGAAATGTTTATAGTAAGTCTGAAAGTTGACGCAGGTTGAATAATTGTTGGTGAAAGTTGTGAAAGAGAAAAAAAGTTATATAAAAAACGAATTTATGCAAGAGATGTTGCATAATTTAAAAGTAATTAGGCCTCCTGAGTACTATTAAACAGTGTATCTGCGAGGTGTATATGGAAAGTAAAATATATCTTTGTTAAAAAGATTATAAGGAGAAGGTGGAGCCAAGATGGCAGAATAGGAACAGCTCCAGTCTACAGCTCCTAGCGTGAGCGACACAGAAGATGGGTGATTTCTGCATTTCCAACTGAGGTACCAGGTTCATCTCACTGGGGAGTATCAGACAGTGGGTACAGGACAGTGGGTGCAGCACACCAAGCATGAGCCGAAGCAGGGCAAGGCATCACCTCACCTGGAAAGTGCAAAGGGTCAGGGAATTCCCTTTCCTAGTCAAAGAAAGGGGTGACAGATGGCACTTGGAAAATCAGGCCACTCCCACCCTAATACTGTGCTTTTCCAATGGTCTTACCAAACGGCACACCAGGAGATTATATCCTGCACATGGCTCAGAGGGTCCTATGCCCATGGAGCTACGCTCATTGCTAGCACAGCAGTCTGAGATCAAACTGCAAGGCGGCAGCGAGGCTGGGGGAAGGGCGCCCGCCATTGCCGAAGCTTGAGCAGGTAAACAAAGTGGCCAGGAAGCTGGAACTGGGTGGAGCCCACTGCAGCTCAAGGAGGCCTGCCTGCCTCTGTAGACTCCACCTCTAGGGGCAGGGCATAGCCAAACAAAAGGCAGCAGAAAACTCTGTGCAGACTTAAATGTCCCTGTGTGAGAGCTTTGAAGAGAGTAGTGGTTCTCCCAGCATGCAGCTTGAGATCTGAGAACAGACAGACTGCCTCCTCAAGTGGGTCCCCAACCCCCGAGTAGCCTAACTGGGAGACACCCCCAAGTAGGGGCAGACTGACACCTCACACGGCTGGGTACTCCTCTAAGACAAAACTTCCAGAGGAACAATCAGGCAGCAGCATTTGCAGTTCACCAATGTACACTGTTCTGCAGCCTCCATTGCTGATACCCAGGCAAACAGGGTCTGGAGTGGACCTCCAGCAAACCCCAACAGACCTGCAGCTGAGGGTCCTGACTGTTAGAAGGAAAACTAACAAACAGAAAGGACATCTGCACCAAAATCCCATCTGTACGTCACCATCATCAAAGACCAAAGACAGATAAAACCACAAAGATGGGGAAAAAACAAAGCAGAAAAACTGGAAACTCTAAAAATTGGAGCACCTCTCCTCCTTGAAGGGAACACAGCTCCTCATCAGCAATGGAACAAAGCTGGGCAGAGAATGACTTTGACAATTTGAGAGAAGAAGGCTTCAGATCAAACTACTCCAAGCTAAAGGAGGAAGTTCGAACCCATGGCAAAGAAGTTAAAAACCTTGAAAAAAAATTAGGCAAACAGCTACCTAGAATAACCAATTCAGAGAAGTCCTTAAAGGACCTGATGGAGCTGAAAACCACAGCATGAGAACTATGTGACGAATGCACAAGCCTCAGTAGCTGATTCAATCAACTGGAAGAAAGGATATCAGTGATGGAAGATCAAATGAATGAAATGAAGTGAGAAGAGAAGTTTAGAGAAAAAAGAATAAAAAGAAACAAAGCCTCCAAGAAATACGGGACTATGTGAAAAGACCAAATCTACATCTGACTGGTGTATCTGAAAGTGACAGGGAGAATGGAAACAAGTTGGAAAACACTCTGCAGGATATGATCCAGGAGAACTTCCCCAACCTAGCAAGGCAGGCCAATATTCAAATTCAGGAAATACAGAGAATGCCACAAAGATACTTCTTGAAAAGAGCAACTCCAAGACACATAATTGTCAGATTCACCAAAGCTGAAATGAAGGAAAAAATGTTAAGGGCAGCCAGAGAGGAAGGTCGGGTTACCCACAAAGGGAAGCCCATCAGACTAACAGCAGATGTCTTGGCAGAAACTCTTCAAGCCAGAAGAGAGTGGGGGCCAATATGCAACATTCTTAAAGAAAAGAATTTTCAACCCAGAATTTCATATCCAGCCAAACTAAGCTTCATTAGTGAAGGAAACATAAAATCCTTTACAGACAAGCAAATGCTGAGAGATTTTCTCACCACCAGACCTGCCCTAAAAGAGCTCCTGAAGGAAGCACTAAACATGGAAAGGAACAATCGGTATCAGCCACTGCAAAAACATGCCAAATTGTAAAGATCATCGATGCTAGGAAGAAACTGCATCAAATAATGAGCAAAACAACCAGCTAATATCATGATGGCAGGATCAAATTCACACATAACAATATTAACCTTAAATGTAAATGGGCTAAATGCTCCAATTGAAAGACACAGACTGGCAAATTGGACAGAGAGGCAAGACGCATCAGTGTGCTGTATTCAGTAGACCCATCTCACATGCAGACGCACACATAGACTCAAAATAAAGGGATGGAGGAAGATCTACCAAGCAAATGGAAAACAAAAAAAGGCAGGAGTTGCAATCCTAGTCTCTGATAAAACAGACTTTAAACCAACAAAGAGACGAAGAATGCCATTACATAATGGTAAAGGGATCAATTCAACAAGAAGAGCTAACTGTCCTAAATATATATGCACCGAATACAGGAGCACCCAGATTCATAAAGCAAGTCCTTAGAGACCTGCAAGGAGACTTAGACTCCCACACAATAATAATGGGAGATTTTCACACCCCACTGTCAACATTAGACACATCAACGAGACAGAAATTTAACAAGGATATCCAGGAATTGAACTCAGCTCTGCACCAAGCAGACCTAATAGACATGTACAGAACTCTCCACCCCAAATCAACAGAATATACATTCTTTTCAGAACCACACCACACCTATTCCAAAATTGACCACATAGTTGGAAGTAAAGCACTCCTCAGCAAATGTAAAAGAAATAATAACAAACTGTCTCTCAGACCACAGTGCAATCAAACTAGAACTCAGGATTAAGAAACTCACTCAGAACCACTCAACTACATGGAAACTGAACAACCTGTTCCTGAATGACTACTGGGTACATAATGAAATGAAGGCAGAAATAAAGATGTTCTTTGAAACCAACAAGAACAAAGACACAACATACCAGAATCTCTGGGACACGTTCAAAGCAGTGTGTAGAGGGAAATTTATAGCACTAAATGCCCACAAGAGAAAGCAGGAAAGATCTAAAATTGACACCCTAACATCACAATTAAAAACTAGAGAAGCAAGAGCAAACACATTCAAAAGCTAGCAGAAGGCAAGAAATAACTAAGATCAGAGCAGAACTGAACAAAATAGAGACACAAAAAACCCTTAAAAAAAATCGATGAATCCAGGGGCTGGTTTTTTGAAAAAATCAACAAAATTGATAGACCACTAGCAAGACTCATAAACAAGAAATGAGAAGAATCAAATAGACGCAATAAAAAAGATACAGGGGATATCACCACCGATCCCACAGAAATTCAAACTACCTTCAGAGAATACTATAAACACGTCTAGGCAAATAAACTAGAAAATCTAGAAGAAATGGATACATTCCTGGACACATACACCCTCCCAAGACTAAACCAGGAAGAAGTTGAATCTTTTAATAGACCAATAACAGACTCTGAAATTGAGGCAATAATTAATAGCTTACCAACCAGAAAAACTCCAGGACCAGATGGATTCACAGCCGAATTCTACCAGAGTGCAAGGAGAAGCTGTTACCATTCCTTCTGAAACTATTCCAATGAATAGAAAAAGAGGGAATCCTCTCTAACTCATTTTATGAGGCCAGCATCTTGTTGGTACCAAAGCCTGGCAGACACACAACAACAAAAAAAGAGAATTTTAGACCAACATCCTTGATGAACATCGATGTGAAAATCCTCAAGAAAATACTGGCAAACCAAATCCAGCAGCACATCAAAAAGCTTATCCACCATGACCAAGTGGGCTTCATCCCTGGGATGCAAGGCAGATTCAACATATGCAAATCAATAAATGTAATCCAGCAAATAAACAGAACCAATGACAAAAACCATGATTATCTCAATAGATGCAGAAAAGGCCTTTGACAAAATATACCAATGCTTCATGCTAAAAACTTTCAATAAATGAGGCATTAATGGGACGTATCTCAAAATAATAAGAGCTATCTATGATAAACCCACAGCCAATATCATAGTGAATGGGCAAAAACGGGAAGCATTCCTTTTGAAAACTGGCACAAGACAGGGATGCCCTCTCTCACCACTCCTATTCAACATAGTGTCAGATGTTCTGGCCAGGGCAATCAGGCAGGAGAAGGAAATAAAGGGTATTCAATTAGGAAAAGAGGAAGTCAAATTGTCCCTGTTTGCAGATGACATGACTGTATATTTAGAAAACCCCATTGTCTCAGCCTAAAGTCTCCTTAAGGTGATAGGCAACTTCAGCAAAGTCTCAGGGTACAAAATCAATGTTCAAAAATCACAAGCATTGTTACACACCAATAACAGACAGAGAGCGAAATCATGAGTGAACTCCCATTCGCAGTTGCTTCAAAGAGAATAAAATACCTAGGAATCCAACTTACAAGGGACGTGAAGGACCTCTTCAAGGAGAATTACAAACCACTGCTCAACGAAATAAAAGAGAACAAAAACAAGTGGAAGAACATTCCATGCTGATGGGTAGGAAGAATCAATATATCATGAATATGGCCATCCTGCCCAAGGTAATTTATACATTCTATGCTATCCCCATCAAGCTAGCAAAGAATTTCTTTAGAGAATTGGAAAAAACTACTTTAAAGTTCATATGGAACCAAAAAAGAGCCCACATTGCCTAGTCAATCATAAGCCAAAAGAACAAAGGTGGAGGCATCATGCTACCTGACTTCAAACTATACTACAAGGCTAAAGTAACCAAAACAGCATGGTAATGGTACAAAAACAGAGATATAGACCAATGAAACAGAACAGAGTCCTCAGAAATAATGCCACTTATCTACAACTATCTGATCTTTTACAAATCTGACAAAAACAAGAAATAGGAAAGCATTCCCTATTTAATAAATGGTGCTGGGAAAACTGACTAGCCATATGTAGAAAGCTGAAACTGGATCCCTTCCTTACACCTCATACAAAAATTAATTCAAGATGGATTAAAGACTTAAATGTTAGACCTAAAACCATAAAAACCCTAGAAGAAAAGCTAGGCAATACCATTCAGGACATAGGCATGGGCAAGGACTTCTTGTCTAAAATACCAAAAGCAATGGCAACGAAAGCCAAAATTGACAGATGGGATCTAATTAAACTAAAGAGCTTCTGCACAGCAAGAGAAACTATCATCAGAGTGAATAGGCAACCTAAAGAATGGGAGAAAATTTTTGCAATCTACTCATCTGACAAAGGGCCAATATTCAGAATCTACAATGAACTCAAACAAATTTACAAGAAAAAAAGAAACAACCCCATCAAAAAGTGGGCAAAGGATATGAACAGACACTTCTCTAAAGAAGACATTTATGCAGCCCAAAGACACATGAAAAAATGCTCATCATCACTGGCCATCAGAGAAATGCAAATCAAAACCACAATGAGATACCATCTCACACCAGTTAGAATGGAGATCATTAAAAAGTCAGGAAACAACAGGTGCTGGAGAGGATGTGGAGAAATAGGAACACTTTTACACTGTTGGGGGGACTGTAAACTAGTTCAACCATTGTGGAACACAGTGTGGCGATTCCTCAGGGATCTAGAACTAGAAATACCATTTGACCCAGCCATCCCATTACTGGGTATATACCCAAAGGATTATAAATCTTGCTGCTATAAAAACACATGCACACGTATGTTTATTGCAGCACTATTCACAATAGGAAAGACTTGGAACCAACCCAAATGTCCAACAATGATAGACTGGATTAAGAAAATGTGGCACATATACACCATGGAATACTATGCAGCCATAAAAAATGATGAGTTCATGGCCTTTTTAGGGGCATCAATGAAGCTGGAAACCATCATTCTCAGCAAACTATAGCAAGGACAAAAAAACCAAACACCACATGTTCTCACTCATAGGTGGGAATTGAACAATGAGAACACGTGGACACAGGAAGGGGAACATTAAACACTGGGGCCTGTTGCGGGGTGGGGGAAAGGAGGGATAGCATTAGGAAATATACCTAATGTTAAATGACAAGTTAATGGGTGCAGCACACCAACATGAAACATGTATACATATGTAACAAACCTGGACATTGTGCACATAACCCTAAAACTTAAAGTATAATTTAAAAAAAAGATTATAAGGAGATGTAGGAATGTAAATTTTTGCCTACATTAAAAGTTTAAAAAATTTGTTTTGAAGGTTTAAGCAAGTTTTAACACAATTGTAAAGAAAATTCTGTGTCTAAACATATTGGCTAAAGTCAAAGGGGTATCATCCAGCTTTTCTGTCAACTGAACATTAAAATAAAAACACAATGGGTTTTTCTTAAAGCAGTAATCTGCTCTTTAACAAAGATTATAAAAGGTTAAAAAAAGGCCTATAAAAATCTTACCTTATGGTCCGACATTAAAAATTGAATAAATATGTCTATAAAGTTTTATTAAAACTAAGTTTAACATTAATAACACACTAATATAAAGGTGAAATTTAGCTTATCTGGTATAAAAATCATACAGGAAGCACTGTCAAATATAAAATGGTTTGGCTTCTTTGGTCTAAAAATCTAATAAAAATGGGTGCTAAAGCAAATTTCTCAGTAGAAAGGCACCAAGAACTATAAAGCCCACTGCTGATGTCCTCACATTTAAAATAAAAGTTCAATTTCTTAAAAATTATATACTTGGTTTATCTTCCCCTTTCCTTTCCCTCAAAACTAAAAGTCTTTTAGCACATGTAAAACCCCTAGGATTTCCCATAAACCAGCACCAGCCTGAAGATCACGTTCTCATCAAAAGGTGAAAAAACAAAAAGGAAACTCGAGCCAGCCTAGGAAGGACCCTACCTTGTGCTGCTAACCACCGAGACTGTTCATACAGTGAAAAAGGGATGGACTCATCACACATGAGTCAAGAAAGTGCCACACCCTCCAGAATCGTGAGCTGTAGTCCCAGGAGAAAACCTCACCAAACCGAAGCTAAGAAAAATTTGACTCTTTCTTCTACTCTATTACTCTTTCTTCTTTCCTTGCTCTATTGATGACCATCTAATTATTAACATAACAAAGTCAATTTAACCTCAAACTATTGTATTTAATGCTTGCCTTGTTATACCCTGTGGGGACTTGCCAAGTCAAGGACAGCTCTCTACTTCAGAAAAGTACCGCTCTCCCTCCTGACTCTCCTCAGACTGGGCTTTAGTAAATTAGCACCATTTAATCCAGGGAAATTTCAGTAAAGACTCCAGTGTCAACCAGGAGTCTTGCCCCCAAATTTAGAGCTTTTTTGCCATAGCTGGTCCCACATTCTGTGGACCACCAAAGAGCAATGATAGACTGCCCCAACCAATTTTTGTAATTTCCTAAAATCATACATTCATTTTACTAGAGGATCATAGAAGTTAAAGACTTAAAACAAACTTTGGCAATTAAGACAGGATACCAAGATGCAAATGCCTGGTTGAAATAGATCAAATATTCCATACACACATTAAAGAAAAGCACTTGTTACGCTTGTGTACATGGCAGGCCAGAGGCCCAGATTGTCCTCTTTCCACTAAGGTGGTCCTCCAGTCGACCAGGCATGGGCCAAATGGTAGCTCTTTTCCAGGATTCTACAGCCTGGAGTAATAAGTTGTGCCAAGCTCTCTCTGCTATAGCCCAAAGTCTGGCACCCTGCGGGTCAGCCCCCGGGGGCCATCCAGCTTCCATCTCCCAACACTAAGTTCACTTCGTGTCCCTCAGGACAGGGAGGAAACATAGCATTCCTTTGAGACCTGAAGGGATCCTGTGAGCTTAAGAATTTTCAAGAGCTTATCAGTCAGCCCTTGTTCATCCCCGAGCAGATGTGTAGTGGTATTGTTGTGGACCTTTACTGGACACTCTGCCAAATAACTGGAGTGGGACTTGTACTTTAGTCCAATTGGCTATCCCTTTCACCATGGCATTTCCTCAACCAGAGGGAGGAAAAGTAAGACATCGTAAAGTGAGAGAAGGCTCTTATGGGTCTTTCAACTCTCACATCTCTTTAGACACAATTGGAGTCCCATGGGTAATACCAGATCAATTTAAAGCTTGAAACCAAATAGCTGCAAGATTTGAGTCAATATTTTGGTGGGTGACCATTAATAAAATTGTAGATTGGATAAACTACATCTATTAAAACCAACAGCAATAAGTTTTTCATGAGTTAAAAGAAAAACTCATATTGGCCCCAGCTCTGGGGCTACCTGACCTGACAAAACCCTTTACACTCTATATGTCAGAAAGAGAAAAAATGGCGGTTGGAGTTTTGATCCAGACTGTGGGGCCCTAGCCGAGGCTGGTAGCCTGCCTCTCCAAACAGCTAGATGGAGTTTCTAAGGGTTGGCCCCCATGCTTAAGAGCCTTTATCCAGTCTCTTATCGATGGACGTTTGGGTTGATTCCAAGTCTTTACTATTGTGAATAGTGCCACGATGAACATACGTGTACATGTGTCTTTATACTAGCATGATTTATAATCCTGTGGTTATATACCCAGTAATGGGATTGCTGGATCAAATAGTATTTCTAGTTCTAGATACTTGAGGAATCGCCACACTGTTTTCCACAATGAACTAATTTACACTCCCATCAACAGTGTAAAAGCACTTCTATTTCTCCATATGCTCTCCAGCATCTGTTCTTTCCTGACTTTTTAGTAATTGCCATTCTAACTGGCGTGAGATTGTATCTCATTGTGGTTTTGATTTGCATTTTTGTGATGACCAGTGATGATGAGCATTTTTTAATATGTCTGTTGGCTGCATGAATGTCTTCATTTGAGAAGTGTCTATTCATCTCCTTTGCTAACTTTTTGATGGTGTTGTTTGTTTCTTGTAAATTTGTTTAAGTTCTTTGTAGATTGTGGATATTAGTCTTTTGTCAGATGTATAGATTGCAAAAATTTTCTCCCATTCTGTAGGTTGCCTATTCACTCTGATGATAGCTTCTCTTGCTGTGCAGAAGCTCTTTAGTTTAATTAGATCTCATTTATGTATTTTGGCTTTTGTTGCCATTGCTTTTGGTGTTTTAGTCATGATGTCCTTGCCAATGCCTACCTATGTCCTGAATGGCATTGCCTAGCTTTTCTTCTAGGGTTTTTATGGTTTTAGGGCTTACGTTTAAGTCTTTAATCCATCTTGAGTTAGTTTTCTACAAGGGTAAGGAAGGGATGCAGTTTCAGCTTTCTACGTATGGCTAGGCTGTTTTCCAACACCATTTATTAAGTAGGGAATCATTTCCCCATTTCTTCTTTTTGTCAAATTTGTCAAAGATCAGATGGTTGTAGATGTGCGATGTTATTTCTGAGCCCTGTATTCTATTCCATTGGTCTATGTGTCTGTTTTGGTATGAGTACCATGCTGTTTTGGTAGGAGTACCGTGCTGCTTTGGTTAGTATAGTGTTGTAGTGTAGTTTGAAGTCAGATAGCATGATGCCTCCAGCTTTATTCTTTTTGCTTAGGATTGTCTTGGCTATGCAGGCTCTATTTTGGCTCCATATGAAATTTAAAGTAGTTTTCTCCAATTCTGTGAAGACAGTCAGTGGTATCTTGATGGGGAAAATGTTGATTCTGTAAATTACTTTGGGCAGTATGGCCATTTTCATGATATTGATTCTTCCTATCCATGAACATGGAATTTCTTCCGTTTGTTTGCGTACTCTTTTATTTCATTGAGCAGTGGTTGTAGTTCTCCTTGAAGAGGTCTTTCACATCCTTGTAAGTTGGATTCCCATGTATTTTTAACTTTGTAGAAATTGTAAATGGTAATTTACTCATGATTTGGCTCTCTGTTTGTTCTTGGTGTATAGTAATGCTTGTGATTTTTGCACATTAATTTTGTATCCTGAGACTTTGCTTTAGTTGCTTATCAGGTTAAGGAGATTTTGGACTGAGACAATGGGGTTTTCTAAATATACAATCATGTCATCTGCAAACAGGGACAATTTGACTTCCTCTTTTCCTAATTGAATACCCTTTGTTTCTTTCTCTTGCCTGATTACCCTGGCCAGAACTTCCAATACTATATTGAATAGGAGTGGTGAGAGAGGGCATCCTTGTCTTGTGCCAGTTTTCAAAGGGAATGCTTCCCATTTTTGCCCATTCAGTATGATATTGGCTGTGGGTTTGTCATAAATAGCTTTTATTATTTTGAACTACATTCCATCAATACTGAGTTTATTGAGGGTTTTTAGCATGAAAGGCTGTTGAATTTTGTCAAAGGCCCTTTCTGCATCTATTGAGATAATGATATGGTTTTTGTCATTGGTTCTGTTTATGTGATGGATTACGTTTATTGATTTGTATATGTTGAACGAGCCTTGCATCCCAGGGATGAAGCCCACTTGATTGTGGTGGATAAGATTTTGGATGTGCTGCTGGATTAGCCTCCAGCCTTCCCGACCAGGGCCACTCCCCTGGTTGGGGAGGCCCTGGTCCAGGAGGTCTCCTGTGTCATTGAACTACATTTTCTTTCTTTGGAATTAAGCATAATACCTATAATTGCTTCATATGTTTTTAAAGCAACTCTATTAATTATTTACAAACTATGTACTGGAAAATTTCTTAAGATAATGGGATTTTTTTAAATATCAAAATAAAGTTCTGCCTTATGCTAATGTGCTCAGATATTTGGATATGTTTGATCACAGCACTAGAATTTGTCAAAGATATAACCAAAAATGGCACGATTAAATATTTTGATTGTTGGTATTTGCAAGCCTGATGGCAACCTTAATCCAAAAATCATAACATAGATACACAAAAAATAAAAAGAAAGAAATTTAAGTCATGTCACCAGAGAAAATCAACTTCGCTAGAGGCAGACAGGAAGGACAGAAAGAAAAGCAGGAAGACCATGAAACAACCAGAAAAAAATATAACAAAATAGCAGGAGGAAATCCTTACTTATCAATAACATTGAGTATAAATGAACTAAACTCTCTAATCAAAAGCCATAGTCTAGCTGAATGAATGAAAAACAAGACCCATTTATCTGTTTCCCACAGGTAACACACTTCACCTATATAAAAACACATGTATACTAAAAATAAAGAAATGAATAAAAGATATACCAAGTCAATGGAAACAAAAAAGAAGCAGGACTCACTCTCAATATAGATTTCAAGACAGGAACCATAAGAAGAGACATAGAATATCACTATAAAAAGATAATAGGGTCAATTCAGCAAGATTTTAAATTTTTTAACTTAATTGTTGTTTAATTGTTAAAAATTTTAAATTGTTCAAATTTATTTAACAATTTTAAATAAACATGCACGCAACACTGGAGTACCCAGGTATATAAAGAAACTACTATTCATGATAAAGAGAGAGACTGGCCCCAGTACAGTAATAGCTAGAGATTTCAACACTTCATTTTCAGGTCTAGACAGATCTTCCAGACAGAAAATCAACAACGAATCATCAGATTTAATCTGCAGTATTGACCAAATAAATTGAATTAATATTTGCAGAATATTTCACCCAAGAACTTCAAAATTTCTACTCTTTTTCTCAGCACATGGGTTATTCTCAAGGATAGACCACATGTTATATGTGGTAACACATTCGTAACACATTCAAAAACTTGGAAATACTTTTTTTTGCAGTTAATATCAAGCATTCTCTCTGACCACAGTGGAATAAAATTAGAAATTAAAAACAAAAGGAATTTTGGAAATTATACAACTAAGTAGACATTAAACAATTGGCTCCTTAAAAGGTACTTTCATTTACAATAGCCACACATAAAATTAGATATCTAAAAATTAACCAAATAAGTGAAAGAGCTCCATAATAAAACTTATAAAACACTGATGAAACAAATTGAAGAGAACACCAAAAATGAAAGAATATTTCATGTTCATAGATTGAAAGAATCAACATTGTTGAAAGTGCCTATACTACCCAAAGCAATCTATAGATTCAATGCAATCCATATAAAAATATCAATAATGGCCAGGGGCAGTGGCTCACACCTGTAATCCCAGCACTTTGGGAAGTCAAGACAGTCAGATCACCTGAGGTCAGGAGTTTGAGACCAGCCCGACCAAAATGGAGAAACCCCCTCTCTACTAAAAATATACAAAGTTAGCCAGGTGTGGTGGCATATGCCCGTAATCCTAGCTCCTTAGGAGGCTGAGGCAGGAGAATTGCTTGAACCCAGAAGGCGGATGTTGCAGTGAGCCAAAATCGAGATTGCACCATTACTTTCCAGCCTGGGCAACAAAAGCAAAACTCAATCTTTAAAAAAAAAAAAAAAATCAGTAATATTCTTCACAGAAATAGAAAAAAAATCCTAAAATCCTAAAATTTATTTATTTTTGAGATAGAGTCTCACTTTGTTGCCCAGGCTGGAGTGCAATGATATGATTGCAGCTCACTGCAACCACTGCCTCCTGGGTTCAAGTGATTTTCCTGCCTCAGTCTCCTGAGTAGTTGGGACTCCAGGCACATGCTACCACACTCAACTAATTTTTGTATTTTTAATTAGAGATGGGCTTTCACCATGTTGGCCAGGCTGGTCTCAAACTCCTGACCTCAGGTGACCACCAACCTCAGCCTCCCAACATCCTGGGGTTACAGGCATAAGCCACTGCACCTAGTTATAAAACTTATGTGAAAACACAAAAGACTTAATAGTCAAAAATAGCCAAAGCAAAAAGAATAAAGCAGGAGGCATTGCCTTACCTGACTTCAAATTATACTACTTAGCCATAGTAACCAAAATACCATGTTACTGGCATCAAAACAGACACATAGACCAATGGAACAGGATACGGAACCCAAAAACAAATCTACACACCTACAGTGAACTAGTTTTTGACAAAGATGCCAAGAACATACATTGGAGAAATGACAATCTCTTCAATAAATGGTGCTCGAAAAACTGGATATGCACATGCAGAAGAAAGAGACTAGACCCCCATCTATTGCCATATATAAAAATCAAATCAAAATGAATTAAAGATTTAAATCTAAGGTCTCAAATCATTAGACTACTACAAAAAAAATTGGTAAAAATCTCCAGGACATGAGCCTAGGCAAAAATTTCTTTTGCAATACCCCACAAGCATAGGCAACCAAAGCAAAAATGAATAAATGGAATCACATCCAGTTAAAAAGCAATGATAGACTGAATAAAGAAAATGTGGTACATATGTACCATGGAATACTAGGCAGCCATAGAAAAGAATGAGATCAAATCCTTTTCAGGAACATGGATGGAGTTGGAGGCCATTATCCTTAGCAAACTAAAACGGGAACAGAAAACCAAATACAGCATGTACTCACTTATGAGTGGGAGCTAAATGATGAGAACACCTGGGCACATAGAGGGGATTGACACACACTAGGGCCTTTTGGATCATGGAGGGTGGGAGGAGGGTGAGAAGCAGGAAAAATAACTAATGGGTACTGGGCTTAATACCTGTGTGATGAAATAATCTCTACAACAAACCCCATGAGAGAAATTTACCTGTGTAACAAACTTGTACTTGTAACCCTGAACATAAAATTTAAAGAAATAAAATAATTAAAAATAAAAACCTTCTGCACAGAAAAGGAAACAGTCAACAAAGTGAAGAGACAACCCACAGAATAGAAGAAAATATTTGCAAACTACCCATCTGACAAAGCATTAATTACCAGCATATATAAATAGCTCAAACAACTCTATAGGGAAAAAAAAATCTAACAATCTGATAAAAAAAATGCATAAAAGATTTAAATAGACGTTTCTCAGAGGAAGACATACAAAGGGCAAACAGGCATGTGAAGATGTGCTCAATATCATTGATCACCCAAGAAATGTAAATCAAAACCACAATGAGATATCATCCTACCTTAGTTAAAATGGTTTATATACAAAAGACAGGCAGTAATAAATGCTGGTGAGGATGTGGAGAAAGGGAACCCTCATATAAGTTGGAGCTAATGTAAAATGCAAATTAGTACAACCACTATGGAGAACAGTTGGAGGGTCCTCAAAAAAAAAATAAAAATAAAAATAAAAACTGAAACTTGAGATACCATATGACTCAGAGTCCTACTGCTGAGTATATACCCAAAAGAATGGAAATTCATATATTGAAGAGATATCTACACTCCTGTTTGTTTTAGCATTGTTTACAATAGATAAGATTTGCAAGCAACCTAAGTGTCCATCAGCAGATGAATGGATAAAGAAAATGTAGTGGCTGGCCATGGTGGCTCACACCTGTAATCCCAGCACTTTGGGAGGCCGAGGCAGGGGGATCACGAGGTCAGGAGTTCGAGACCAGGCTGGCCAATATGGTGTCACCCCGTATCTACTAAAAAATACAAAAATTAGCCAGGTGTGGTGGTGAGCACCTGTAGTCCCAGCTACTGGGGAGGCTGAGGCAAGAGAATCGCTTGAACCAGGGAGGCAGACTGTTGCAGTGAGCTGAGATCATGCCACTGCACTCCAGCCTGGGCAACAGAGTGAGACTTTGTCTCAAAAAAAAAAAAAAAAAAAAAAAAAAAAAACAGAAAGAAAAGAAAATGTGGTACATATACACAATGAAGTACTATTCAGCCATAAAAAAAAATAAGATCCAGTCATTTGCAACAAGATAAATAGAACGGGACATCATGTTAAGTGAAATGAACCAGGCACAGAATAACAAACATCACATGTTCTCACTAATTACTGGGATCTGAAAAATCATAACAATTGAGCACATGAACATAGAGAATAGAAGGATTGGGCCAGTCATGGTGGCTCACACCTGTAATCCCAGTACTTTGGGAGGCCAAGGAAGTCAGATTGCTCAAGTCCAGGACTTTGAGACCAGCCTGAGCAACATAGTGAAATGCCATCTCTACTAAACATACAAAAATGAGCCAAGCATGGTGGTGCACACCTGCAGTCCCAGCTACTTTGCAGGCTGAGGTGAAAGAATCATCTGAGCCTCCAGAGGTCGTAGCTGCAGTGAGCCAAGATCACACCATTTCACTCCACCCTTGGCGACATAATGAGACCCTGATTCAAAAAGGAAACGGAGAGAGAGGAGAGAGAGAGAGTAGGCAGATGGTTGCCAGAGGCTGGGAAAGGTAGTGGGAGTCTCAGCAGGGAGATGGAGGTGATTAATCAGTACCAAAAAAAATAGTTAAAAAAAATTAATAACATCTAGTATTTGATAGCAGAACCAGATGACTATAATCAATAATAACATAATTATATATTTTTAAATAACTTAAAGAGTATAATTGGGGCTGGGAATGGTGGTTCATGCCTATAATCCCAGGACTTTGGGAGTCCAAGGTGGCCAGATCACCTGAGGTCAGGAGTTCAGGACCAGCCTGGCCAACATGGTGAAACCCTGTCTCTACTAAAAAATACAAAATTAGCCAGGCATGGTGGTGGGCACCTGTAATCCCAGCTACTCAGGAGGCTGAGACAGGAGAATTGCTTGAACCTGGGAGGTGGAGGTTGCGGTGAGCCAGGATAGCACCATTGTAATCCAGCCTGGGCGACAAGAGTGAAACTCCATCTCTAAAAAAGAAGAGTAAAATTTGATTGTTTGTAACACCAAAGATAAATGCTTAGGGAATGGACACCTCCTACTCCATGATGTGCTTATTTAACATTGCATGCCCCTATCAAAACATCTTATATACCCCATAAATAGATACCTCTACTATACACCCACAAAAACTAAATAAAAATAAATAAATATATTGATTTCTGTATTTGGGTAATACATACTGTATGATAAATAGACAATAAATATAATGATAAAATGAGACAATTTCATTAATTCACATCAATTATAAAGACTCTAAGATATTTGCACACAGAACCTTAAAAAATTAATTGTCAAATACCTTGATAGAAATCACCACATAACAGGTGTGAAAGAGCATTAGGTGCTATGGTTATTGTGTCTCAAAATAGTGTCTTTATTTTATACTTTCAAAAAATTTGCAAAAACTTGGTCTTTGGAATACAACTTTTAATTGTTAAAGCTATAGAGGTTTCACATGTGTATAATTTGCTTCATACAATGCTTATTTCAAAGTGTTATATATAGGAGCTGAATATGTTTTTAGTAACAGTGGTACTCAGGATACATAAACTAGTTTCAGTTATTCTGAGTATGCTATGATTGTCAGCTATCTGGATATTAGACAGCGTAGGTAACAATTTCAAATTATTGTTCAGTGAGCAATATAAATGGACACAAAGTCTGACATAGGAAAAAAATGGAAATACTATTTTGACAGTTACCTGTCAACCTACTTCTTTAATTGCAAATAAAATATGAGATTACATCAAAAGAAAACACATGTTAATTTACTTCACATATGATGCTTTTTAAAGTTCACTGGAGTCTTAAAAGTATGTAGTAATATATACATATGCTCCATTTACCTGCAGTAAACCAAGAAGTAAGGGGGGGGCCATGACACTTTTCTACTTACACCCTGATTGTTTTGTTTCATTGTGATAAACCAGAATTTCATAAATCCAGGGTACCTTTGTCTACTACAGTAAGCTGTGAATCTTTTATAATAAACTACAACATACTTTTTTTTTTAGGAAACTGTACCTGGCTGTTACACATTTAAAGAAATAAAAGCATGAATAGGTGAAGTTGGAAACATTTTATAAATCCTTGCACTTTTAAAACAAGCATTTGGCCAGGCATGGTGGCTCACGCCTGTAATCCCAGCGCTTTGGGAGGCCAAGGCGGGTGGATCACCTGAGGTTGGGAGTTTGAGACCAGCCTGACCAATATGGAGAAACCCTGTCTCTACTAAAAATACAAAATTAGCCAGGCATGGTGGTGCATGCCTGTAACCCCAGCTACTCGGGAGGCTGAGGCTTGAGAAGTGCTTGAACCCACGAGGCGGAGGTTGCGGTGAGCCAAGATTGTGCCATTGCACTCCAGCCTGGGCAAAAAGAGTAAACTCCGTCTCAAAAAAAAAAAAAAAAAAACAAACAACAACAACAAAAAAACACACAAACAAAAAAACACGCATTTCAACTAAAAGACTTCATTTATTAATTATGTTAGAATAGATTTTGTAGATTTTTGAATTAATCATTTGTGTTTAAATTGAAATTAAGTTGATATATTTAAATAATAAAAAATTCCATTAGATTTGTAACTAGTAGTCCAATAATTCAGAATAATTAAGAGTAACAAATTTTATTCTTTTTCAGTGATCCATCAGGACTAAAATGTATAGGGGGAAAAAGGTATTTTTGTTATTTGCAAACACTATCATTTAACACCTAGTTCACAGTCATAGATTATCCCCCTGTTTCTGAATAGGTTATTTGGCAATGTATGGAGGCATTTTTAGCTGTCACAACTGTAGGGAAGGAATGGATAGTAGTGGTAACAGCTCCTGGTGAGCAGAGGTCAGAGGTGCTGCTAAGCCTCCTACAATGTACAGGACAGTTAACCAAAGCAGCAGAACAAAATGTATCCAGCCCCAAATAACAAAAATGCCTAGTTTTGGAAGACTTGTGTTAACCTAACAGTGGCACTTTGCATTAGAGGCTTTTGCATAGAGGCTTTTGGGTAGTGGATCGCGTATTTCTTCCCAGTTTCCAAATATTAGAAATCATAGCTTAGTGTACTAATAACTTAGATTAATAAAAATAAAGTTTATTGATAAACTTTAGCTCAATTAACCTAGTTTATATAAATAATACTTGGTATTGATACTGATAGAAATGTGAGGCAGCCAAGGGCCCCCCACAGCCTTCTCCCTGGTGAAACCCTGCCTTCAAACCTAAAACAGCCTGAAAACTGAAAAATCGGACTGCTGATCTGGGAGAATCTCCAACTAGCCTGTGCACTGGGAGAATGGAGTGGAGCCACCGAAGTTCCCTTCATTTGCAGAAGGGAGGAGCCCAGCCTTTGGAGTTCCTGTGTGATAGGGCAGGAGCCAATTAACAGGCTTCCCTCTCACACTGCTGACAATTTTTCTCCTTTTCCTTTTTTTGC
The DNA here is from genome assembly GCF_000001405.40 of Homo sapiens. NCBI lineage: Eukaryota > Metazoa > Chordata > Mammalia > Primates > Hominidae > Homo > Homo sapiens. The sequence continues at coordinate 12,587,565 of NC_000024.10, forward strand.
CCAATAAATTCTGTTTTTCTCTCCATTCTGTGTGTCCACAAGCCTAATTTTTCTTGGATGTGTGACAAGAACCTGGATTTTAGCTGAACTGAGGAGAAAGTCCTACAACAATATCTTTCAAGGCAAATTCTTATTGTTAACATATATAACTAAGTAAGAAATATTTGTTGTTGTGAGAGAAACCACATAGGTATATGTGCGGTGTGAACCTGCAAAATTTGAGACAGGTCTCAGTTAATTTAGAAGGTTTATGTTGCCAAGGTTGAGAATGTGTGCCTGTGACACAGCCTAGGAAGTCCTGATGACATATGTGCAAGGTGGTTGGGGCACAGCTTGGTTTTATGCATTTTAGGGAGACATAAGACATCAATATATGTAAAAGTATGTAGGTTCTGATCAGAACGGCAGGGCAACTCGAACCAGAGAGGGGGCTTCCAGGTCTTAAATAAGTAAGAGACAAATGTTTGCATTATTTTGAGTTTCTGATTGGCCTTTCCAAAGAAGGCAATCAGAATATGCATCTATTGGCCAGGCACAGGCTCCGGCTTGTAATCCCAGCAGTTTGGGAGGCCGAGGTAGGAGGATCACCTGAGGTCAGGAGTTCCAGACCAGCCTGGCTAATGTGGGAAAACCTGATCTCTATTAAAAATACAAAAATTAGCTGGGTGTGGTGGTGGCATGCCTGTAGTCCCAGCTACTTGGGAGGCTGAGGCAGAAAAATCACTTGAACCCGGGAGGCAGAGGTTGCAGTGAGCCGAGATAACACCACTGCACTCCAGCCTGGGTGGCAGAGCGAGATTCCATCTCGAAAAATAAAAATAAAGGAGAATATACATCTATCTCAGTGAGCAGAGGAATAACTTTAAATAGAATGGGAAGCAGGTTGCCCCCAAGCAGTTCCCAGAGTTACTATTTTCTTAGCTTAGTAATTTGGGGCCCCAAGATTTTTATTTCACATTTACTTCTTTTTTTTATTTTTATTTTTTGAGACAGAGTCTGGCTCTGTCACCAAGGCTGGAGTGCAGTGGTGCTATCTCGGCTCACTGCAAGCTCCACCTCGTGGATTCACACCATTCTCCCACCTCAGCCTCCCCAGTAGCTGGGACTACAGGTGCCAGCCACCATGCCCAGGTAATTTTTTCTAATTTTTTGTACTTTTAATAGAAACAGGGTTTCACCTTGTTAGCCATGATGATCTCGATCTCCTGACCTCGTGATCTGCCCACCTTGGACTCCCAAAGGCTGGGATTACAGGCGTGAGCCACTGCGTGGCCTTTTTTTATTTTTTAAGATGAAGTGTCGCTCTGTCACCCAGGCTGGAGTACAATGGCACGATCTTGGCTTACTGCAACCTCTGCCTCCGAGGTTCAAGCGATTCTCGTGCCTCAGCCTCCCAAGTAGCTGGGATTACAGGCAGCCGCCACCACGCCCAGCTAATGTTTATATTTATAATAGAGGCAGAGTTTCACCATGTTGGCCAGGCTAGTCTTGAACTCCTGACCTCAGGTGATCCACCCGCCTCGGCTTCCTAAGGTGCTGGGATTACAGGCGTGAGCAACTGCCCCCAGCCCTTCCTTTTCTTTTTAAAAATATTTTGGAGAAAACATTTCAGAAAAAAATGAGTCTCCGTCTCAGTTTTCATATGATCTGTCATGGATAGGATGGTTTATTACTAGACAGATCCTGAAAGCTAATTTTTAGCAGGTTGTCAAGTCTCCTTTCCTATGAAGAGAAAATAGGTGGAAGAAGAGAGAAAAACAACAACAAACAAAAGAACAATACTGGAAAATTGTTACAGTCTATATTCTTCTGAAATTCATACATCAGTAGGCAGGTATGAACGTGGCTTATGTATGTAAATAGGTTGTTGTTATTTTCATGTGAAGTTTAAGTTGTGTGGCTTCAGTTTGCAGGGCTTTAAGAAAGCACAGCTTAGTTTTCCATGACCCCAAATTAGGAAAAATGGGGGAGGGTAATGAGAAAAAACCTTGGAAAAATTATTTTGAAGACTTGTAGCCAAGAAAAAAATAGAATTCAGCCCAAACTGTAGAAAATAATAAAAGTTGAATAAAACATTAGGCAAGACTAGAATCTAATAACGGGTTTACTCTAGTTTTTGAAACATATTTTTTTCTCTATCCAGTTTCCAATTTTTACTAGAGACAAATCATGGTAGGATCAATTTGCTTTATTTTACTTGGCCAGATTATTTGTATAAACTACAGCAAAAGTAAGTATTTTTCACATAGGCTTTTTTAAAAATTGGCTATAATGTGACTTTCTCCATAGAAGGAATCTCAGATGAGACTTTTATAAAGCCCAGCCCATCCCTGGCTTTGTACAATCAAATACCTATGAGCTCGGTGAATTTCCTCTCCTCTTTTGGGTCCAAAATTAACTTGGAGCTTCTGTCCCTGTCAGAAAGTGACATTCTTTACTTACCACAGGTCAGGAAGCCTGTATGGGGACTCTGTACACAAAATATGTAACCACTTTTTCCAAGGACTTTATTGGCTCTGTAAATCAAGTTTGATTCCTTAAAAGAAGAATATCATTCCAGTCAATGCTGTGGTAAAATAACCAGTTTCTCCAATAGATTGTTACTGTGCTTATGCAAATAGCTATATTGCTATAAGTTAAGAATACTCACAAATACTTTCCAAATTCTGGAGAAATCAGGTCAAGAGAAACAAATATGCTCCACATTTTATTCATATGTATTTATTAAATTATTAAAAGCTGACAATAGCACAAAAGAAAAATTTCAAGACTGAAAAACAAGGGATCAGCAATGTTTTAAGCAAAAAGTCAAGAAGTTCATATTCATATTCAGTTCATGCAGTTATTCCTATTCTGCTTGATATTCCGGAACATTTAAATTCTCCATGAGTCCTGAAAGTTTTTCCTCTATTCTGATGTCACAATCTCCAAAGTTATCAGAAACCTGAATTCAAGAGCATCTGTTAGAGTTTATAGCTGATTATAAAACCACCTTCTAAAGAGGATCAAAATAAAACAACAGTTGTTTGTAAATCACAAAAAGTTTTAGGCAATCAGATATGCATCTATCTCAGTGAGCAGAGGGGTGACTTTGAATAGAATGAGAGGCAAGTTTTTCCTGAGCAGTTCCCAGCTTGACTTTTCACTTTAGCTTAGTAATTTTGGGGTCCTATGATTTTCCTTTTATACTATTAAGGTTTCTGTTTATCTACCTCGGTCACAATAAGCAGATTCAGTATTGACTACTGTGTAGAAGCTTCTTGTCTTAGGAATGTAGTCTACCTTGTAGAGTTGTCAGTTTAGACACTTCATTGCTTATATTGAAAAGAAAAATGCAAAGAATTTCCTTTTACTGTTTATACCACTTCCACAAAAAAGAGTTACTTCTGTTAATCTTCCTAGAATGAGAAAGCAAGTAGAAGTTCAATACCTAGATAATGTTGTTGTTGTCATTGAAATAAAGTCTCACTCTGTCACCTAAGGCTGGAGTGTAGTGTCACAGTTTCAACTCACAGCAGCCTTGACTTCCCAGGCACAACTTATCCCACCTCAGCCTCTCAAGTAGCTGGGATTGCAGGTGTGCACCCCTACACCTGGCTAACTTTTGTATTTTTTGTAGACAGGGTCTCTATGTTTCCCAGGCTTATCTCAAACCCCTGGGCTCAGGTAATCCCCATGACTTGGTCTCCCACAGAGCTGGAATTACAGGCAGGAGCCACTGTGCCCAGCCAAAAGCCTAAAAAAATTTCCTGAAGAAGTTTGTCACTTAATCAACCCAAAGGATGCTAGATACTGTTTCTATTTGTATCTAATATCCTATTTATAATTGTTTCTAGTATCCTATAGCTTAAGTGACAAACTTCAGGAAAATTCTATTATATATAATGTATACCTGGTATATTATATAATATAAAACATAATTATATAATATTATATAATTATACAATATATAATATAATTATAATATATAAATATATAACATAGCTGGTATATCATATATAATGGGTAATATATAAGATAACATGTATTATATATCACTTATGTATATAATATATGTTATATGTAATGTCATATATAACAATTGTTATACTATATTATGTAATATATAAAATATACAACATATATAATTATATAACATAATACATGTTACATATGTTATATATAATATAATTATATATAATATATATGTATATATAACATTTAAATACAATAATATATTATATAATTATATAATATTTTATATATTTATATAAAATACATAAAATATATAAAATAAAATATATAAAATATAATAATATATCATATATTATAATATATATTTATATATTACTTATATATTATATATTATAATATATATTTATATATTATAATATATATTTATTACTTATATAATATATTATATATTATAATATATATTACTTATATAATATATTATATATATTATATAAATATATAAATATATATATAATATATTGTGTAAATATATAAATATATATAATATATTGTATATTATATAAATATAAATATATAAGAATATATTATATATTATATATATTACATTATATATAATATATTACATATTATATAATATATTATATTATTATAATTATATATAATAATTATATATAATTATATATTATATATTTTATTATTATAATTATATATATAATATATTATATTATATATAATATAATATGTAACATATAACATATATTATATTATATTGTATACATTATATGTATACAATATACCTGGTATATTATATAAATATATGTTTATATATTGTTATATATTATATTATATTATATATTACATATAAATATATAATATGTATTTATACATTATGTTATATATCATACTATATAACAAATAACATATGAATATATATTTATATGCCAGGTATATATTACATGCCTATTATAAGTTTATAATTTATGATTTTTTGTATATAATTATATATAATATATAATTATTTTATATAACATATATAATAATTATATATTATATATAATTATATATATCATATATATTATATATATTATTTATTATATATAATTATTATATATAACATATATAATTATGTATAATATAATATAATATATGTTATATATAATATGCTATATATAATATAATATGTTATATATAATATGCTATATATAATATAATATATGTTATATAATATGCCATATAAAATATAATTACATATGTTATATATGATATATAACATATTTTATAATGTATAATATATACCTGGTATATTATATAAACCAGGTATATAATATATTACCAAGTGTATGTTATATATTATAGAATAATAACAGGTTTATGTAACAGATTTATATAATATACCAGGTATATATTGCATACCTATTATAAGCTTATAATTTATGATTTTTTGTATATTAAAATTTACTACTAAAATAGGCTATTTATATTAAGATGACAATTAAAAAATTATCACACCTTATTTACAATCAAGTTTCAATTAATGTCATCATTACTATAACTGATTTTTCTTCTTTCCTCATTACATTCTCAGGCTTGCCTAATACAAATCTCTTTTATTTCTATCTTGTTTCTCTTTTGATGATAATTTACACTCAGATTTTATCCCCTTCATAGAAACTAGTTTTTGATTGTGATAAAACACAACACAACATAAAATTTACAGTTCTAACTACTTTAGGTGTAAATTCAGTGGCATTAAGTACATTCACATTGGCAACCATCATCACCATCGGTCTCCAGAACATTTTCACCTTTCCAAACTAGAAATTTAAACCAATTAGGCAATGCTTTCCTATCCCTTCTTATGCCCCTATCTGGCAACAAATATTCCACTTCCTGTCTGTGTGAATTTGATTACTTACATGAGTGGAATCACACAATATTTTTTATTTGGTGACTGGCTTGTTTCATTTAATGTATTGACTTTGACACTCATTCATTTTGTAGCATGTGTCATAATTTTCTTATAAGACTATTCCATTGTGTGCATAAGCCATGTATTACTTTTATTTGTTGATAGATATGAAAGGTTAGCCGGGAGAAAGAATGAACGGACCCAAAGTCAGGCAAGCAAGTTTTATTAACCTGCCGGTCTGCTCCACAGTAAACAGAGGAGGCAGCCCTGAGTTGACACACTAGGGGGGGCTTTATGGGGTTTGACTGTGGGGGCTGGCATGGCATACATTCTGAGTAAAACCACATCCTGGAGTTGTTTTGCTAAATTCTAACAGTGCTGCATTATTTGTAGCTCAGGTTACATAACACCTAAAGGAAATCGGGAGTGGGGATCCTTGCAGAAACAGGTGGCTAAGTTTCACCTAACATTCCTTTTATTAATTTTAGGAAAAAGGAGCTTTGTGGTCATCAGGCTACCTCTTACTGAATGGGGATGAAGGTTGGGTATGGCTACTTATACAGTTTCTATCATTTTTGGAGGAGCATTATGTCCTGTAAGGTGCTGTGTATGAAGGCTTTGATCCAGTCCTGCAAGAGCTGGATTAGGAGGCATAAAAGACAGGGTCCGAAAGCTAGCAGGAGAAACAGCCCTATTGTGGGGCCAAGAAGAGGCAATAGCCAGGGTGCCCAGGAGTATTGTAGCCATTGAAGCCAGTTAGAATGGTTATTTTGGAGTTTTTGAGCTTGGTCTTTGAGTTTTTTGACAGCATTTTGAACTACCCCAGACTTACTGAGGTAGAAACAACACTGTTCATCGAGAAAGAGACATACCTCTTTTTTCAGGTGTGAGGAGATCTAGCCTCTGGGGTTCTATAGGGTTACTGCAGCCAGGGAATCTAAATAGTTTTGTAAATGAGTGATGGAATTAGCAATTTTTTTCTAGAGTGGATTGGAGATCTTAAGAAAGTGTCCGAAAGTATGACAATGATGTTCCTAGGATTCCTGCTCTTAACCTGACCGTAGCTGTAGCTCCAAGTGCAGCTAATAAGGGAATGGACTGTATTGCTTTTTTGGGGCCGGCATGAAGCATGGCAGGGACAGGGAGGTCTTGGTCTGGGGGAACAATGTTAATGGTGGGGGTAAATTAGGGTGCAAGTACCTGTCCAATTGGTAGGGAGACAAAAGTAGGTTGTAGATCCAAAGAAGAAGAAGACGCCTGAGATGTTAATATAAACAGATGAGTGGATTGAGAATAGGTGTTGGAGTGTGTAAGTTCCTTATTTGGAGGGGCTTGGTTCAGCTTTGGCAATGGACTTGGAAGAGGAGTCGTTAATAGGAGAGATATTAGGGAAATGAAGTTGCAGGTGATTAAGGATATTGGTACAGGAGTTGGTGGGAGGCGAGGAAGATACTGGGAGTAGATGCAGGGTTGAGGGGAGTGCTTTTGGAAAGGTAGAACTCAGGGTTTTTAAGAAACAGAGCATGGAGTAGTTGGATATAGGATGGAGAAAGGACACTGAGCACTTTGCAAGAGAGTATGTCTTGTAGGTTATGTGGGCTGTGGATGGTGGTGTGTTGACCAAATGTTACGTTGTTTTGCTTTTTAATGCCAGGGTGGTGGCTGCCGCTAGGGCTCTGAGGCAAGTTGGCCATCTTTTGGTGGTACACTCTAGTTGTTTAGAAAGATAGGCTACAGGAGCAAAGGAAGGAAGATTTCCCTTTTGTTGGCCAAGAACACTGAGGGCTATTTCTTGGCGTTTGGCTGTAATAGATAATGAAGGGCTGATGGAATTGCTAATTCCATCACTCATTTACAAAACCATTTAGATTCCCTGGCTGCAGTAACCCTACAGAACCCCAGAGGCTAGACCTCATCACACCTGAGAAATGTTTGGCAGAGATAGAGTAGGGGTGGTTACAAGAGTAGCTTTATGTTTGTGGAAGCTAGGGATTATGTTGTGGGAAGGATTTGGAGGCTCATTTAAAGGGCCTTTGGCTGCTTGATAAAGGGGTGGGCTAACAGGGCAAAGTTGGGAATTTATATTTTGAAGAAGCCTGCTAACCCCCAAAAGGAAAGGATTTTATTTTTAGAGGCGGATAGAGGCAGGCTATCTATTAAGGCTGCCCACGCTGGGGTCATGGCTTGGGCCCTGGGTGAAAGTTGGATTCCTAAATATGTTACTGTTGGGGAGGAGAGTTGTGCTTTGGAAGGAGAAACCTTATATCCTTTATTAGCAAGAAAACTTAGTAGAATGAGATAGTGTGATTCTGAGTTTTCTTTGGGGAAGGACTACAGAGAAGGAGGTCATTTACATAGTGAAGGAGCTGACTAGGGGAGAGGTTTAGGGAGGTGAGGTTTTGAGCTACAGCTTATCTAAAGAAAGGAGGATTGTCTCTAAAGCCTTGAGGAAGGACTGTCTAAGTAAGTTGTTGTGACGAGGGTTTTAGGGTCAGGCCAGGTGAAGGCAAAGAGATCTTGGGAGTCAAGGTGAAGGGGAATGGTAAAGAAGGCATTTTTTAGATCAATTGTAATGTAGTGGGTTGTGTTGGGAGCAACAAGGGAAAGAAGTGTGTAGAGATTAGGAACTACTGGATGGATGGTTAGGACTGCCTGATTAATAGATTGGAGGTCTTGGACTAGTTGATAACAGCCATCTGTCTTTTTGACAGGGAGTATGAGAGTATTACATGGAAAATGGGTTGGTTTGAGGAGGCTGCACAAGAGGAGTTTGCTTATGATGGGTTGTAGGCCCCTCTGATGAATCAGTGAGATAGGATATTGAGGGACATTGAGAAAGTTAGAAGGGTCATTTAAGTGGATTTTAATGGGGTCATGGTAAGCAGCTAGGGCAGTGTGCTACACTACTGGGATAATGAGAGAGGTGGAAAGTGGGTGCTGGGGAGAGGGGTCAGGGGCCGGACTAATGGAGAGGAGCAGGAGGGACTCTGGTTGAGGGAGCCAGGAAAATGAGATAGAAGCCTTGAATTTGGCTAAAAGGTCTCAGTCTAGAATGGGGGTAGGACAATGAGGCATGATAAGGAAAGAGTGAGAAAAAACAATATTAAATAAGGAAAAAGCAAGAAGTCTAGTGGCACGTGTACATGAGAGGAGTCCATTAACTCCCACAACTGAGACCTGAGAGGGATGAGTTGGTCCCGAAAATTCAGGCAAAGCCAGGTAGGTGGCCTCGGTATTGATTTAAAAAAAAGATTGGCTTACCTGCTACTAGTAGAGTTACCCTGGGCTCCAATGCAGTGATAGCAGATGGGGCTGAAGGCCCTGGGCCTCATCAACCATCAGCAGCTAGGCCAAGGAGCTGTGGGAGTGCAAGCAATTCATTGTCATTTTTCTTGCCGAAGGCAGGGTATCTTGGGGTGCCGGCTTTTTTTCTTTCTGTAGGGAGGACAGTCAGACTTCCAGTAGCCTGTCTCCTGGCGGACTGGGCAAGGGCCTTTTGGCACCCTCGGGTTAGGACATGCCCGCACCCAGTGGCCTTTTTTACTGCACTTAAAACAAGGCCCAGGAGGGTTAATGCTATCAGGTCTTTTGTGCCCTTGGGTGGTATGGATGGGTTGGTGGATAACAGCTACTAGAAGGTGGTATGTAGCACTATCTCTTTAGGCTTTATCTAATTTATTTTGCTCATCCCTGTTATTGAAGACTTTAAATGCCAGGTTAAGGAGGTCTTGTTCTGGGGTTTGAGAGGCCATCTTCAACTTTTTTAAGTTTGCGCCAGATGTTGGGGGCAATTGGGAGATAAAATGGGTATTAAGAACAATAGTTTTTTCCCAAAAGGCAGGATCAATGCGGGTATATTTTTGGAGAGCCTCTGTAAGGTGGGAAAGGAATTCAGCAGGGTTTTTATCTGCTTTTGGGGAAAGTTTTTGGAGATTTTTTTTTGTTTTGTTTTTGTTTTTTAATTTACAGCCTTATGGGCAGCTTTGTTAAGGCCTGCAATGAGGCAAGTAGTCAGATGAGTACGGGACACCCAGCTGGGTTCTGTGGGTTGCTACTCTTAGGAAGGCACTTTCTGGGGAACTGCAGTGGCTCCTATGGGCTTAGTAGGATCTTGCCAGTGGATGTCATTGGCATGTGCCTGGGTGGCAAGCCACACTCTTTCACTTCCAGAAGAAGGGTAGAAGAGAGGATAATATAGAGATTGTGCTAAGTAGGTTCATAAGACTGGGAGAGATATTTAAATTCTTTGATATAAGTATTGGGATTGGAGGAGAAAGACAAGAGACTTTTTTATGTGGGAGAGATTAGAGAGAGAGAAGGGAACATGAACATGGATGATCCCTTTGGCTTCTTCCACCTCTTGAAGGGGTAGCAAGGGGGCTGGAGGAGGGATATATTAGGCTTGGGAGCAGGTGAGGTTTGGAGATGGAGATGTTTTAGAGTCAGAGGCAGGGTGGCTGGAAAGAGGAGGGGAAAGAGATAGGGGCATATGGAGGGGGGTCATGATGTTTTAGTGGAGGGACATGAGGTTGCTGGGGAGGAGGGAAATCGGCAGGATCAAAGGATGAGGAATCATTGGCTGGGGCAGTAAAGTGAGTGACTGCGGATAAATCATATTTGGAGCAGGCAAGAAGGATTTGAAAAGTAGAGCAGGACTGGCAAAGGGAAGGGCGGCTACAGACAGTGAAGAAGGCCTGAACATAACGAATCTTAGACCATTTCCCATTGCGATGGCAAAAATTGTCTAGGTCCCTGAGTATATTGAAATTGAAAGTACCATTTTCAGATCATTGAGAGCCATTATCTAATTTATATTGTGGCCAAGCCGTATTAGAGGAGAAAATAAACCTCTTGGGACAAACCTCTGAACAGAGGCCAAGCATGTTAAAGTTGTACAGGAGGCACCCCGGGGGGTAGTTTTAGATGGAGTAGACTAAGAGGCTCCTATAGCAAATAGAGGAGGGCATAGAGGAAGAAGAGGCTGCTGGTGGCAAGGACAGTGGGAGAGGATGCCCCCAGTCCCGTGGGACTTGTTCAGTATAAGGAAGGCAACCACTGAGTTAGGTGTCCCTGAAATGGGAGAGCTGGAGGCCTAGAGGCCAGAGGGAGCCCTTGGCCCACTGCTGGGTCTTTCAGGAAGACACAGATGGCAAGTGTCCAGGGTAAATGGCAAGAGTCTCTCTTACTCACACCCGTGTAGACTCTAATAATGAATGAAGTCACCAGCAATGGGGGGGTCCGAGAAATCCTTCAGGTATTCAGCTGGTTCAGGAAGGGGAGGGTGGCCAGGAGAAGAGGAAAGGCACTGAGGCTATAGCATGCTGCAATGGACCAGCCCAGGAGGAGAGAAAGGGTGCAAGAGACGGTAAAGGAAAGAGCCCTTTTAGGATTCCCAGCCAGAGCCTACCCCTTCCCGGGTTTCAGCACCAAAATTTAAGGTTAACCGAGAGAAAGAATGAGTAGACCCAAAGTCAGGCAAGCAAGTTTTAATAACCTTCTGGGCTGCTCCACAGTAAACAGAGGAGGCAGCCCCAAGCTCACATGCTAGGGTGGGTTTTATGGGGGTTGACTGTGGAGGCTGGAATGGCATACATTCTGAGTAAAACCACATCCTGGAATTGTTTTGCTAAATTGTAACAGTGCTACATTATTTCTAGCTCCCGTTACATAACATCTAAACGAAATGGATCCCTTTGCAGGATCCATTTCTTCCCTTTGCAGGAACAGGGGGCTAAGTTTCACCTAACAAGATATTTCAGTCTCTTCCACCTTTTTTGTTACTGTGAATAATGCTGCTATAAACATTACTGTGCGTGCGTACACTGTAAGTCCTTGCTTTCAGCTCTTTTGTGTATATGCCTAAGAGAAAAATTGTAAACCATATTTTTTTTGAGACAGAGTCTCACTCTGTCACCCAGGCTGGAGTACAGTAGTGCAATCACAGCTCACTGCAACCGCCGCTTCCTGGGTTCAAGTGATTCTCCTTCCTCAGCCTCCCAAGTAGCTAGGATTATAGGCACCCACCTCTATGCCCAACTAACTTTTTGGTACTTTTAGTAGAGACAAGATTTCACCATGTTGGCTAGGCTGGTCTTGAACTCCTGACCTCAGGTGATCCACCTGCCTTGGCCTCCCCAAGTCCAGGGATTGCAGACGTGAGCCACTGTGCCTGGCCAACAGTATAGTATGTCTATGCTTAACATTTTGAGGAGCTCTCAAAATGTTTCCTATAGGGCTGTATCATTTTACCTTCTGGCAAGCAATGAAGAAGCATTCTGATTTCTCCATATCCTAACTAGCAATTGTTTTTTCTGTTTGTTTGGTGCTATTGTGTGCTAGTGTGTCCAGAGTTTGTTCCTGCTGGTGGGTTTGTGGTCTCACTGACTTCAAGAATGAAGCCACAGACCTTCATGGTGAGTGTTATAGCTCTTAAAGGTAGCACAGACCCAAAGAGTGAGCAGCAGCAAGATTTACTGTGAAGAGCAAAAGAACAAATCTTCCACAGTGTGGAAGGGAACCTGAGCAGATTGCTGCTGCTGGCTGGGGTGGCCAGCTTTAATTCCCTTATTTGTCCCCCCCCATGTTCTGTTTCTGTCCTATCAGAGTGCACTTTTTTCAATCCATCCCATGACTGGCTACATTTAGACTCCTGCTGATTGGTGCATTTTACAGAGTGCTGATTGGTGCATTTTACAATCCTCTTGCTAGCTACAGAGCACTGATTGGTGCATTTTTACAGAGCACTGATTGGTGCATTTTACAATCTTCTTGCTAGCTACAGAGCACTGATTGGTGCATTTTACAATCCTCTTGTAAGACAGAAAAGTTCTCCAAGTCCCCATTCGACCCAGGGAGTCCAGCTGGCTTCACCTCTCAATGTCCCCTCTAGACAGGACACCCCAACTGCTGTTGGGAATTGAGCGATGACCACTCTAGCTACTTCCTGCTGGATAGAGCTGAAGAAGGGGCCCTGCAGTTGTAGTGACCTCCAGAGGAGAAAGCTCTAGGCCAGTCAAAGGGCCAGTGGGTTGGTCCAGGGTTCTTTGGTAGAAGTTGTGAGTTGAGCTCATTTGGGGTTCCATTTGTAAGACCATCTGTAGCCAGATGGTCTCAATCCTGGAGGAAACAAATTTGACAAGCTTAAAAATACTGGGCCAGAAGGCGAGTAATAGCAAGATGACTGTCACGGGACCTAGAAAGAGGAGAAGCCATGTCACACAACTCCAGAGGTTGGTATAAGAGTTTGAAAGGCATTGTCTTATTTCAGAAGCCTTTCCTGTGAATGCTGGGACGTGTCTCTTACTATCCCTGACTGGTTAGTGTAAAAACAACACTCTTCCCCTATGAAGGTGCAGAGTCCTCCTCTCTCAGCAGTGAGGAGCTCTAGGCCTCAGTGGTTTTAGAGAGTCACTGTTGCCGAAGAGTCTATTTGGGATTGTAGAGTAAGGATAGATTGTTATTTCTTGCAAACTGTCTGAGAAATCCTTTGAAAGTGTGTGGTAGTAGGATAGTGAAGTGGAAAAACCTGCTATTCGGGTTCCTGTAGCAGTGGTCACTCCTAACCCTGTAAGTAGGGATATTAGTTGTATGGCCCTGCACTGACAGACTTGAGCTTTGATAGGGTCTGATTTCCTGTTGTCAATGTTGGGACTTAGGAAGACTAAGGTGTAGGTGCCTGTCCAGTTGGTTTGAAGGAAGATATAAGTTGAAGTTCCACATAAGAAGAATATGCCTTTGTTGGGTAGACAGAACTGGTTGTGTATATTAAAAACGTATGTGAGTTTGTTGTTTTCATTTTCCCATACTCCTAGAGTCCTTGCCAAGGTAGCTCTGGTGAGTGGCTGGGAAGGGGTGTTGGGAGCAAATTGAGTGGCTCCTTGGGTTCTATTTTCCAGTTGGAGAAAAAACTATTTTGTGTCTACTAGGAACCATTCAAGGGAGTAATTGAAAGAGGGGATGGAGTGGTGGAGGCGCTCCTGCAGGGGGTCCAGGGGTGAATGGTCATGCAGGGAATATGTTTGCCATGATAAAACCCAAAAAGTTTGTTAAGTAGGGAGGAAGTAATGATTTTTGGAGGCCCTGAGAAGCAGACAACCTATCTGAATGGAGCTGTTTGGGTGACTCAGAAGTTACTATGATCAGTTGGGGCTTGAAGTTATAGGGTGTAATTACACTGATGGGATATTAGGTGCCCCAGGGGCAGGCCTGATAACAGGTTGTGTTGGATGCATAAAGGGTCTTGGAAAGTTAAGACAGCATTCATGGTTACAGGACTGTGACTGAGCTTTTCATTGCTCGTGTAATAGGTGAGGTTGGAAATGTAAGAGCAAAGAAGTTGAACTGCACGTCCTGTTAGCGTTTTCTTGGTCCTATCAGAGATGGGGAAATTGGCTAATGATTGTGTATTTGGAAGCTGGAAAGGGTCTTTTCGGTCATAACAGGGGTGGTAGGTTAAGTTAGTAAAGACCCAGTTTTTTGCGAGAACGAGAGTGACAACGTAAGCAGTGGCTGATAGAGAGGTATAAAGCCAACAGTCATTTGCCAGGGAAGGATTGGACTAGCTTAACAGAGAATGGGTTAAGTTGAGAGTCTTGTAGAGGTAATTAGGAGCTAGTGAAAGCAGAGGGGTGACTATATGGGGTATCCAAGGAAGCAGGAGCAATAGATAGGCAAAGAGTAAGTAGGAAGGTAAAGAGGGTGCCCTGGAAGATGAGTTCATTTTATCCAGTCTGAGTTAAAGGTAGGAGTAAATTGCTGTCAGAAAGAAGGATGCTAGAATAAAGGTTGATGTGATTATGATTTTCATCCTGACAGGAGCCACAGTGTATAGTCCTACTGCAAAGAGTATGATTAGTATATTGCTTAATAATGTGGTGAAACAGTAAAAGGATTCCATTGAAGGGGCAAGCAGAGATGTTAAAGATTATGTAGGTTTTCACTTATCTTTTTTCATTTGTTTTTTTAAGTAGGAAGGGGTTTTTCCTCAGGATCAGTTGTAGGAGCCTTTTTAGTCTGGGATGTGTCCTTCTGAAATAGGAGATGCAAGTCCTCCAATGGCTCACAGGTATATCGAGGATGGTCTGGATGATCTTGGGACTCCAGAGAGTAGGCTATGGAGATGAGTTTCTTGTGTTAGTTTCCTTCAGTGCCTCTTGAGTGTTTCATTTGCCTTCTCAACCTTCCCTGAAGAATGCGGCCTCCAGGTGCAGTGAAGGTGATATTGTATCCCTAGTGCCCTGGAAATTCCCTGAGTTATCATGGCTTTGAAAGCCAGACTATTGTCATTTTGTAAGCTTTGTGGAAGCCCAAATCTAGTAGTTATTTCATGAATTAGGACTTTAACCACTTCCTGAGCCTTCTCTGTCTTGCAGGGGACAGCTTCTATCCAATTTGTCAAGGTATCAACACAGACCAACAAGTATTGAAATCCTTTTGACTTAGGCATATGGGTGAAGTCTAACTGCCACTCCTCTCTGGGATAGTGCCCTGTTCTTTGTTCCCCTATAGGGGCCTTATGATGGACCAAGGGATTATTCATTTGGCACACCTCACAGGCTTTGACTTCTTGTTGGACGGCCCAGAGGAGATTTG
Source organism: Homo sapiens (assembly GCF_000001405.40). Classification (NCBI taxonomy): domain Eukaryota; kingdom Metazoa; phylum Chordata; class Mammalia; order Primates; family Hominidae; genus Homo; species Homo sapiens. The sequence goes on from NC_000024.10 coordinate 12,603,019, forward strand.
GCCCTGTAAATAGAGATTTGGGCATTTGATGAGTGTTCTCAATACTCACATGAAAAGTTTGGTGGAGGTACTTCAGTATTTTCCACTGGCTGGCTTCTGGTATAAGTACCTTTCCCTCTTCTGTTGTTAACCACCCTGAGGGGAGAAAACTATGCCCCCATGAAAGTCCCCATTCTGTTTCAATTGGGGAATACTGGGGCTTAATCTCTTGGAGAGGGTTGTCCCATATCAAGGGAAATTCCATAGGTATTTCTAATGGGAGCTTCTGCCTGGCAGCAATTTTGGCCTCAGCATCTGCCTGACAGTTTCCTTCTGCCTTTTCTCTTTCACCTTTTTGATGGCTTCAGCAGTGTAAGACTGCCACCTCTTTGGGTTTTTGCACCGTATGCCATAACTCCATGATTTCCTTGTGGTATTTAATGGGGTTTCCCCCAGAGACTAGGAACTCCCTTTCTTTCCACATTGCAGCATGGGCATGTAGGATTAGATAACCATACTTGCTATCTGTACACACATTTATTCTTTTTTCCTTTCCCAGCTCTAAGGCTCATGTAAGTGCCACTAGTTCTGCTAACTGGGTGCTGGTCCCTGGTGAAAAAGTCTTACTTTCAAGTACTGTTACATCACTAACTATGGCATAACCTGCCTTTCATATCTCATTCTCCACAAATGAACTTCCACCAGTATATAGGTTAAGGTCAGGATTAGCTAAGGGGACTTCTAAGGATCCTTTCAGGCAGTATAAGTCTGGGTTACAATTTGTTGGCAGTCATGCTCAATTGGTTCCCTATCGTCTGGGAGAAAAGAGTTAGGGTTGAGGACTGTACACGTGTGTATTTGGAGCACAGGTCCCTGAAGGAGTAGCACCTGGTATCTAAGCAGGTGGTTGTCTGATAGCCATAAACTTCCTTTGGCACCTAGTATGCCATTTACATCATGAGTAGTCCAGACAGTGAGATCCTTTCCTTATATTATTTTGATAGCCTCTAATACTAAGATGGCCACCACCGCAACTACCCATAAATAGGCTGGCCTTTTGCTACTATATCAGTTACCTTACTTAGGTATGCCACTGGTTGTGGGATTGTCCCATGAGTCTGAGTAAGGACTCCAAGAGCTATTCCCACTCTCTTTGTGATGTATAAAGAGAAGTTTTGTTCTGTGGGAAGGCTTAAGGCTGGAGCTTGTCCTAGGGCCTGCTTCAAGGTTTTGAAGGCTGTTTCTGCCTCTGGTTCCCATTCTAGTAGATGAGTATTGGCCCTCTGGGTCATGTTGATTATTAGAGTATTGAGTGGCCTGGCCATCTCTCTGTATCTGGGGATTCATACTTGGCAAAAGCTGGTGATTCCAAGGAACCACCACAATCGTTTTAATGTCTTACAGCAAGGATAAGCCAGTATAGGCTGTATTTGTTCCTTGCTGAGGGCCCTGGTTCCTCTGGCTAAGAATAGGCCTATATATGTGACTTGTTGTAGGCAGAGCTGGGCCTTCAATTTAGATGCCTTGTACACTGGATTAACTAGAAAGTTCAAGAGATCTAGAGTAGCCTGCTGGCATGAGGCTTTCGAACTGGTAGCAAAAAGAAAATCATCCACATACTGAAGGACCAGAGCACCTGGACTTGAGAAGTGGCCTAGATCTTGGGCCAGTGCCTGATCAAACAGATGAGGGCTATCCCTAAACCCTGGAGGCAAGACCATCCATGTAATTTGGGATGTGTTGTCTGTGGGATCCTCAAAGGCAAAAAGAAACTGGGAGTCAGAGTGCAGGGGAATGCAGAAGAAGGCATCCTTGAAGTCCAGAACAGTGAGCCATTCTGCTTCCTCTGGTATTTGAGAGAGCAAGGTATAGCACTTGGGTACAACTGGATATAGAGGAGTTACTGCCTCACTGATGAGTCTAAGATCTTGCATTAGTCTCCACAGACCGTTTGTTTTTTGTACTCCTAGAATTGGGGTGTTGCAGGGACTGCTGCATTTCCTTACTAAGCCTTGAGCTTTTAAATGTGTAACACTATCCTGTAATCCTTTATAAGCTTCATGTCTTAAGAGATATTGCCTTTGATAAGGAAGTGTTGGAGTCTTTTAGCCTGATTTGGACTGGGTGGGCAATTTTGCCCTTCCAAATTGTCCTTCCATTGCCCAGACTTCAGGATTGATTCCCCCCTCAATTAGAGGACAACAAATGGGTAACTTCTTCCCCATATTCATGTAGATAATAGCTCCAGCTTTGGCTAATATATCCCTCCCTAATAAGGGTGTGGGACTTTCAGGCATAACAAGAAAGACATGTGAAAAGAGCAGAGTCTCCCAATTACAACTGCGGATGTGGGAGAAATACATGGTTAGAGGATCTCCCAGGATTCCTTGGATGGTAACGGACCTTTAGGACAGCCGTCCAGGGTGGAGATTAACACTGAGAAAGCTGCACCCAGTGTCCAGGAGGAAATCAATTTCCTGGCTCTCAATGGTTAAACTTGCCCAGAGTTCAGTGATGGTGATGACATTAGCTGGCGCTTGCCCTGGGCACCCTCAGTCTTGTTGTTGGATCATCTGGTTGGGGGCTTCTAGCCCAGAGAACCTTTGACCTCTGGGGCAGTGCGCCTTCCAGTGATTGCCTCAGCATTGTGGACATGGACAAGGGGGTGGCTTGTTTCTCATTGAGTAATCTTTTTTAAAGTGTCCTTGCAAACCACAGTGATAAAAATCCCTACCAGGTGACTGGCCTGCTCCATTTTCTGTCCTCTCTGAACCACCAAGGTTTGTTTGTCTGAGGGACATGACTAAGGCTGTGGCCTTTCTCTTATCTCACTTTTCCTTTTGGGCCTGTTCCTTTTGGTCCCTATTATAGAACACCAAGGTTGCCAGGTTTAATAATGCCTCCAGATTTTGTTCAGGGCCCAGGTCTTGCTTTTGGAGCTTTCTCCTGATATCTGCAACTGATTTGGTAATACACTTATCTTTTCATATCAATTGACCCTCGAAGGAGTCTGGTGACAGGGGAGTATATTTTCTTAAGGCCTCCCATAGCTGCTCGAGGAAGGCAGAAGGATTTGCTTCCTTTCTCTGAGTTATGGTGTACATCATTGAATAATTCATGGGCTTTTCCTAATTCTCCTTAGTCCTTCTAGAATATAGGTCAGCAGATGTTTACGATGCCAGTCCCCATGATCTGAGTCACAGCCCTGGTGGGGATCCATACTGGGGATGGCTTGCTCACCAGTAGGGAATTGGTCCTTTTCTTTGATTGTCATTCTATCATTTACTTGACTAAGATACCAGGTATCTCCAAATGCTCAGGCTGCAGCTAAAGCCACATTCTTTTCATTAAAGGCCAGGATTTTATCTAACAATAGCATGACATCTCTCCAAGTGAGGTCAAAAGTTTGCCCTAGACCCTGTAAGACAACTATGTACCTATCGGGATCATCTGAAAACTTCCCCAGATCTACCTTGATTTGCTTTAAATCAGAGATGGAGAAGGGGATATGTACCTGGGTTGGGCCAAATTCCCCTCCCCTAGAGCTTGAAGGGGACATAACTGATAGCCCAGGGGTTTTTGTGGTACCTTTGGAGATTTCTTTGTTTTCTTCTGAGAGGGGGAGATTAGAGGAGGCTTATTATTAATAGGAAGGGGAGCTATAGGTAGGCTAGGATATGGAGGTAAGCTGAGAGGTCCTCCTGTAGGATGTAAATTGCAAACTTTGCATAGGTGTTGATTCTCCTTCAATGAAAAGAAAGCTTGGACATAAGGTATTTCACTCCATTTGCCTTCCCTCTTACAGAAAAGGTCAATTGACAGGATCGTATTGTAATGGATACTTCCCTCAGGTGGTCATTTTTCCCCAACAGAGAGAGAATATTGGGGCCAGGCTGTGGTACAGAAAAAAATGAGCCACCTCTTTTTCAGGGTTTGGTCCCAATGGCTTAGGATGCATTTCAAGGGTGAGCCTGTTGATGCCTGAGTGTTTTGCATCTGAAAGAAAAAACTGCCTGCAGTTTTGGTTTGTTTTCCCCCAACCCCGCTGAAGAACTCTCAATGGTACCTGGACCCTGCTGATCAGAATAGTTGTGCTCACTGATGCAGCAGCTGATCCCCCTCTTGCCCAAGAACCCACAACAGTTTCTGGACCCTGCTGATTGGAATAATTGCACTCACCAATGCAGCAGCAAAAACGCTAGTTTTCCTCCTAGACCACAAAGAGGACTGAGGAACGTTGGATTTAGTGGCCCTTATTGATGCATTCTCAAAAACCTGCACCTTTGCCTTTCCTCTTAGACCACAAAGAGGACTGAGAGAAATCAGATTTAGTGGCCCTTACCTATGCATTCTCAAAAATCTGTTAGAGTCCTAAGTGTTTTCTCCTGTTAGTATTGGGACCTTACCCTTGTCCTATAAAGATGATATGCCTCAAAATGGAGTGGAGGGCCATACCCTGAGGGAGGGAAGGGATCTCCAGGGTTGGAAGAGTGATGTCTTTTGTCATCAGTTTTCACCATATGGATAGGAAGGATATAATTTCTGAGGCTCCCCATATCCTAGCTTTGGGAATAGCCTTTGTTAGGCCTGCTAGTCTGAGGAGGGATCCTAAAATTCCAGATAGTCTCCCCCTCGATGGGACTTTGGGTAAAAAAAAAAAAAAAAAAAGTCTTTCTGATTGGTGAGCCTGGGTGCCTAAAGAAAGGAACACAGTCCCAAAATTTGTGTGAGAAATCATTCTTATAGGAGAAACTAGAAAAGCACCAGAGACAGGGAGTGGAGGCAGGACTAGCCTCAGAGAAGAGAAACAGGAGGAAGTCTGTCTGATAGGCATTAGGACCCAGGAGGCAAGGGTCAGGATAGATAGGATAGATGGGCGAGTCTCACTTGGGCATTGTGGCTCTGAGAGTTCTGCTCATGGCTACAGGGTCAACCAAATTTTTGTTGGGACCCTGCAGATGGGCTTTCCTCTCTGTCGACCGTTGGCTTAGCTCGGAAGTACAGGAAAAGTGGAAGCTGGTTCCAGGAAAACCAACAATGTCAATTCCAAAGAGTCGGGGGTTGTTAGCCCTTTCCCAGAAAGCCTGACATCTGTGTCTTTAGTCCAGTGGCCATGCTAGTCACTTTTAACTAGCCAACACATGCCTGGTGTTTAGCCCCTGAATTCTAAGGAAAAACAGAACAAGTGAAAGGGGTCCCATGGTACTCACCGCTTGGTGATAGTCCCTTCTTAGTTGCCAAGATGTGACCAGAGTTTGTTCCTTCCGGTGGATTTGTGGTCTTGCTGACTTCAAGAATGAAGCTGCAGACCCTCACGGTGAGTGTTACAGCTCTTAAAGTTGATGCAGACCCAAAGAATGAGGAGCAGCAAGATTCATTGTGAAGAGCAAAAGAACAAAGCTTCCACAGTGTGAAAGGGAACCCAAGTGGGTTGTTGCTGCTGGCTGGAGTAGCCAGCTTTTATTCTCTTATTTGCCCCTGCCCATATTTTGCTGATTGGCCCCTTTTACAGAGTGCTGATTGGTCCATTTTATAAACCTGTAGCTAGCTACAGAGTGCTGAGTGGTGCGTTTTTACAGAGCACTGATTGGTGCATTTTACAAACCTCTAGCTAGCTACAGAGCACCAATTGGTGCATTTTTACAGAGCACCGATTGGTGCATTTTACAAACCTCTAGCTAGCTACAGAAAAGTTCTCCAAGTCCCCACTTGACCTAGGAAGTCCAGCTGGCTTTACCTCTCACTTTTTCTCAACACTTTGCTACAACCATATGATGTAGAAAGTTAAGTGTTTGTTATGAGACTTATGTGCTGAATGAAAAATCATTAGGCTTTCTAAGGAAGGCAACAATAAAAGTGGTGAAAAGTGAAAAAGAGGGAACAGTAATTTTGTTTGTTCGTTTGTTTGTTTTTGAGACAGAGTCTCACTCTGTCACTCAGGTTGGAGGGTGAAGGCAGGATCTTGGCTCACTGCAATCTCTGCCTCCAGAGTTCAAGTGGTTCTCCTGACTCTGCCTCCTGAGTAGCTGGGATTACAGGCATATGCCACAATGTCAGGCTAATTTTTTGTGTTTTTAGCAGAGGGGGTTTCTCCATGTTGGCCAGACTGATCTTGAACTACTGACCTCATCTGATCCAACCGCCTCAAGAACAGTAATTTTAAAGGTAAATCCAGCAGTTATTATACAGAAATTAAAACAAGCTAATTTTGACATAAGAAAAATAACTCATAAGAATATTTTATCTAAGTTAAAGCATAGAAACCAGCAAGAACATATAATGATAAACAGTAAAAAGTGAACAGATATAGTAAAAGAGCCACTGAAAGCAAGAAAACTCATTTTTTACACAACCAGAAACTTCTGAAAAACATCCACCTAAAAACATATGATTAGGTGCAGTGGCTCATGTCTGTAATCCCAGGCTTTGGGAGGCCAAGGTTGCAAGATCGCTTGAGCCCAGAATTTCAAGACCAGCCTGGGCAACACAGTGAGACCTCATCTCCAGAAAAAATAAAATAGGCCAGTGCGGTGGTTCATGCCTGTAATCCTAGCACTTTGGAAGGCCAAGGTGGGGCAGATGACGAGGTCAAGAGATTGAGACCATCCTGGCCAACATGGTGAAACCCCATCTCTACTAAAAATACAAAAATTAGCTGGACATGGTGGTGGGAACCTGTAATCCCAGCTGCTACTAAGGAGGCTGAGGCAGAAGAATTGATTGAACCCAAGAGGTGGAGGTTGCAGTGAGTGAAGATTGCACCACTGCACTCCAGCCTGGGTAACAAGAGTGAGACTCTGTCTTAAAAATAAATAAATAAATAAATAAATAGGCTGGGTGAGATGATGCACCCCTATAATCTCAGCACTTTGGGAGGCTGAGGTGGATGGATCATGAGGTCAAGAGACCAAGACCATCCTGGCCAACATGGTGAAACCCCATCAGTACTAAATACACACAGAAAAATTAGCTGGGTGTAGTGGCACGCACATGTAGTTCCAGCTACTTAGGAGGCTAAGGCAGCAGAATTGCTTGAACCAGGAAGGCAGAGGTTGCAGTGAGCTGATACCACACAATTCACTCCAGCCTGGTGATAGAGTGAGACTTTGTCTCAAAAAAAATTTAAATTAAAAAATAGAAAATTAGCCAGGGATGGTGGCATGGAACTGTAGTGCTGCCTGCTTGGGAGGCTGAGGTGGGAGGATCGCTTCACCCAACGAGGTCAAAATTGTAGTGATCTGTGATCTCACCACTGCACTCCAGCCTGCATGACAGAGCAAGACCCTGTCTCTAAAAAACAAAATTAAATAATATTAGTAGTAATTAAAATCAGGTATGGCTTTGGAAACAGGTAAAACATCTAATATGAGAAAATATGGAGAAGAAAACTTGTCTAAAATGCCATTACATTATACATTTAGCAACCGGACAAGCATCATATAGAAATAGGTCAGAGTCGGCCAGGCACGGAGGCTCATGCCTGTAATCCCAGCACTTTGGGAGGCCGAGGAGGGCAGATCACAAGGTCAGGAAATCGAGACCATCCTGGCTAACATGGTGAAACCCTGTCTCTACTAAAAATACAAAAAATTAGGTGAGCATTGTGGCAGGTGCCCATAGTCCCAGCGACTTGGGAGGCTGAGGCAGGAGAATGTTGTGAACCTGGGAGGCAGAGCTTGCAGTCAGCCGAGATCGCAACACTGCACTCCAGACTGTATGACAGAGTGAGAATCTGTCTCAAAAAAAAAGAAGGAAAGAAAGAAATAGGTCAGAGTCACTGGTCTTATTGTCTAAGATATTTGCACTTTTTGCCTAATGACCAAGAGAATTAAAGAGCATGGATACAAAGGGTGAGGTTGGAGCAAAAATTTAATAAGCGAAAGAAGAAAGGTCTCCACAGTGGAGAGGGGGAGGCTCCCTGGCTTGCCATTTTTACAGTTCAATTATAAAGCTTTTATATGAACCCGCTCTCATCTCTTTAGCAGTTTGAGTAACTTCTCTTATCAGTAAAACTGTCTGTGCAACTCCCCTTATCTTATGCAGCTGCAGATATGTCTCTAGACAAGCACAAAGTGCTGCTTCTCTTGTATGTATAACTGTGGGTTTGTTTTATGTAAGGCCCCCTCCTCCCTGTGAAATTTCCCTTGATGTATAAGCCTGAAAAGGGGACAAAAGTTTTTCCTGGGAGGCTGCTAATCACAAAAGAACAAAAGACTTCTATGGTGAACCCTGCCTGCTTATCTGTGCAGGTACAGTCTTAAGTTTTCCCCAGGCTTCTCTATTTTGCCTGTAGCTGTGTTTTTTCAGGCAGGCTGCTTCTCCAAGGACCATTCTTAACTGTTTGCCTAACTGATTTTTCCTTTACTTCTGCCTCAATATTAGCACTAGTTTCCCCACTTTGTGTTGACTTTCAGTAGATCACAGCCAGGGAGATGGGCCATTAAGCAGATCATCTACAAACGGGTTTAGGATAAGACACATGGAGCAGTATGAAAAAACCAAAACTGATTTACTCAAACACCAACAACTAAATGTGTTTGTAAAAGCTTGAGCAAAAGGGCACAGATGTTTTGGTCACTGCATTTGTTTGAAATTTGCTGTGTCAATGATGTATCTTGCAATTTTTATCCAAAGTAGTATAGTATTTCTGTGACATATTTAACTAATGTCAAAATTTTTAATATGTGAGTAAAATTATGATATTATTTAAGAATCTTATGCCTGGCTCAAGATGGCTGAATAGGAACAGCTCCATCTGTAGCTCCTGGTGATGCCAAAAGAGAAGGTGGGTAATTTCTGCATTTCAAACTGAAGTACCCAGTTCATCTCACTGGGACTAGTTAGACAGTGGGTACTGCCCACAGAGGACGAGCAGAAAGAGGGTGGGGAGTTGCCTCACTCGGGAAGTGCAAGGGGCCCAGGTCCTGCCTCCCCTAGCCAAGGGAAGACAAGAGGGACTGTGCTATCTGGCCTAGATACTACACTTTTCCCATGGTTTTTGCAGCCCACAGACCAGGAGATTCCCACGTGTGCTTACACCATCAGGGCTCTGGGTTTCAAGCACAAAAGTGGGACATTGTTTGGGCAGACACTGAACTAGCTGCAGGAGTTTTTTTTGTTTTGTTTTGTTTGTTTTTTTTCATATCCCAGTGGCACCTGAAACCCCAGGAAGACAGAACTCTTCACTCCCTGGGAAAGGGGATGAAAGCCAGGGAGCCAAGTGGTCTCTCTCAGCAGGTCTTACTCCCATGGAGCCCAGCAACCTAAGAACATCTGGCTTGAAATTTTTGCTCCCAGAACAGCAGTCCAAAGTTGACCTGAGATGCCCAAGCTTGGTGCAGGGAGGGGCACCTGCCACTACTGAGGCTTGAGTAGTTGGCTTTCCCCTCACAGTGTTAAGGAAGCTGCCAGGAAGTTCGGACTGGGCAGAACTGACCACATGGCAACAAAGCGACTATAGCCAGACTGCCTCTCTAGATTGGTCCTCACTGGGCATGACATCTCTGAAAGAAAGGCAGCAGTCCCAGTCAGGGGCTTATAGACAAAACCCCTGTCTCCTGGGGACAGAACACCTGGGGAAAGGGGTGGCTGTGGGCACAGCTTCAGCAGACTTAAACATTCCTGCCTGCCAGCTCTGAAGAGAACAGCAGATATCCCAGCACAGCACTCGAGCTCTGCTAAGGGACAGACTGCCTGCCTGCTCAAGTGAGTCCCTAACCCCCTTGCCTTGACTGGGAGACACCTCCCAGCAGGGGTCAAGAGACACCTCATACAGGAGAGCTCCAGCTGGCATCAGGCAGGTGCCCCTCTAGGATGAATCTTCCAGAAGAAGAAGCAGGCAGCAATCTTTGCTGTTGTACAGCCTCTGCTGGTGATACCCAGGCAAACAGAGTCTGGAGTGAACCTCCAGAAAACTCCAACAGACGTGCGGAAGGGGAGCCTCACTGTTAGAAGGAAAACTAACAGACAGAAAGCAATAACATCAACATCAACAAAAAGGACGCCCATACCAAAACCCCAACCAAATGTCATCAGCATCAAAGATCAAAGGTAGATAAATCCACGAAGATAAGGAAAAACCAGCACAAAAATGCTGAAAACTCCAAAACTCAGAATGCCTCTTCGCCTCCAAATGATTGCAACTCCTCTGCAGCAAGGGCTCAAAACTGGGTGGAGAATGACTTTGATGAATTGACAGAAGTAGGCTTCAGAAGGTGGGTAATAGCAAACTCCTATGAGCTAAAGGAGCACACAAGGAAGCTTAGAACCTTGATAAAAGGTTACAGGAACTGCTAACTAAAATAACCAGTTTAGAGAAGAACATAAATGACCTGATGGAACTGAAAAACACACCATGAGAGCTTCATGAAGCATATGCAAGTATCAATAGCTGAAACAAGCAGAAGAAAGGATATCAGAGATTGAAGATCAACTTAATGACATAAAGCGTGAAGACAAGGTTAGAAAAAAAAGTATGAAAAGGAATGAACAAAGCCCCCAAGAAATATGAGACTATGTGAAAAGACCAAACCTACAATTCTTTAGTGTATCTGAAAGTGATGGGGAGAACAGAACCAAGTTAGAAAACACACTTCAGGATATTATCCAGAAGTTTCCCAACCTAGCAAGACAAGCCAACATTCAAATTCAGGAAATACTAAGATACTCCTCAAGAACAGCAACCCCAAGACAAAACAAAATCATCAGATTCTCCAAGGTTGAAATGAAGGAAAAATGTTAAAGGCAGCCAGAGAGCAAGGTCATGTTACCTATAAAGGGAAGCCCATCAGACTAACAGGTGATCCCTTGGCAGAAACCCCTACAAGCCAGAAGAGAGTGGGTGCCAATATTCAACAATCTTAAAGAAAAATATTTTCAACTCAGAATTTCAAATCCAGCCAAACTAAACTGCGTAAGCAATGGAGAAATAAAATCCTTTACAGACAAGCAAATGTTGAGGGATTTTGTCACCACCAGGCTTGCCTTACAAGAGCTCCTGAAGGAAGCACTAAATATGGAAAGGAAAAACCCGTACCAGCCACTGCAAAACATACCAAAATATAAAGACCAATGACACTATGAAGAAACTACAACTAATTGTGCAAAATAACCAGCTACCATCATGATGACAGGATCAAATTCACACATAACAATATTACCCTTAAAGTAAATGGGCTAAATGCCCCAGTTAAAAGACACAGACTGGCAAATTGGATAAAGAGTCAAGACCCATAGGTGTGCTGTATTCAGGAGACTGATCTCATATGCAAGACACACATCAGCTCAAAATAAAGGGATGCAGGAATATTTACCAAGCAAATGGACAGCAAAAACAAAACAAAACAAAACAAAAAAGCAGGCATTGCAAACTTAGTCTCTGATAAAACAGACTTTAAACCAACAACCATCAAAAAAGACAAAGGCATTACATAATGGTAAAGGGACAAATGCAACAAGAAGAGATAACTCTCCTAAATATATATGTATGCAATACAAGAGCACTCAGATTCATAAAGCAAGTTCTCAGAGACCTACAAAGAGACTTAGACACCCACACAATAATAATGGGAGATTTTAACACCACACTGTAAATATTAGACAGTTCAACAAGACAGAAAATTAACAAAGATATTCAGGACTTGAACTCAGCTCTGGATCAAGCTGACCTAATAGATACCTATAGAACTCTCCCCACCGAATCAACAGTATATACATTCTTCTCAGCACCACATAGCACTTATTCTAAAATCGACCACATAATTTGAAGTAAAACACTCCCTAGCAAGTGCAAAACAATGGAAATCATAACAAACTGTCTCTCAGACCACAACGCAATCAAATTAGAACTCAGGATTCAGAAACTCACTCAAAACCACACAACTAAATGGAAATTGAACAACCTGCTCCTGCATGACTACTAGGCAAACAATGAAATTAAGGGAGAAATAAATAAGTTCTTTGAAACCAATGAGAACAAAGACACAATAAAATCTCTGGGACACAGCTAAAGCAGTGTTCAGAGGGAAATTTATAGCACTAAATGCCCACATGTGAAAGTGAGAAAGATAAAATCAACACCCTAACATCACAATTAAAAGAACTAGAGATGCAAGAGCAAACAAATTCAAAAGCTAGCAGAAGACAAGAAATAACTAAGATCAGAGCAGAACTGAAGGAGATAGAGACAGAAAAACCCCTTCAAAAATCAATGAATCCAGGAGCTGGTTTTTTTAAAAGGTTAACAAAATAGATAGACTGCTAGCCAGACAATAAAGAAGAAAAGAGAGAAGAATCAAATAGATTCTCTTTCTCTCAGGCCTCTCAGGGGGTCAGAGGCCTCAGCCTCCCGAGTAGCTGGGACTACAGGTGACCGCCACCACACCTGGCTAATTTTTTTTTTTTTTTTTTTTTTTAGGAGAGATGGGGTTTCACCATGTTAGCCAGGATGGTCTCGATCTCCTGACATCGTGATCGCCCACCTCCGCCTCCCAAAGTGCTGAGATTACAGGCGTGAGCCCCCACGCCCAGCCACTTCAGTTTTCTTAAACAACTATTATATTCTAATTACAAATTTATATTTCTGACTTCCTCTTTTTCTTCTACTACATCAAAACTGTTTGATTAGGTTCACTTAGCATACTTAAGAAATGGTTTTTAAGTATAATAGCTTGAGCTGAATTTTGTGATGAAGGTAGAAAGAAACATTACAGCAGTTGCAAGATTTCGTACTAATAAGACTCTCCACTGATTACCAGGAAGTGGTAGAATCCTCAGTTTTTGTCTAATTTGGAAGAAATAAATCAGCCAAGAGATGCATAGCAAGGTTTAAGTAGCACAGTTTATTCAAGGAAAATAAAGGGCATCCCTAGACAGAAGTGGAAAATAGCTCTAGGCTGCTCCAGCTGGAAAAATCTGGAGTAGTGTTTATTTAAAGACACAGTACACTCTGAAAGACAAGGCCAAGCAGCCTGCTCAAGAGAATGAGCCAGCAGCAGATAGTGCTGCCAAGACTCCATGACAGTCTTATATGATTATTCATGGAGGAGCAAAAGGGGGTGACACTTGTAAGCATGTTTTAGGTTTCTTTGGGTGTGCATGCTATGTGGTTGTACATGCTAGTACACACATTGCATGTTTCATTAGCATCTAAAATCTCCACTCAAGGGTGTGCTTTTGATTATTATTATTATTGAGTAAAAGGCTACTCTAGGGCAAGTTATTGGAGGCATGCACATACTCATCAGTAGGGGAAGTCCCTGGCATGATTATCTCCAGCTGGCCCTCAGTAAGTCCCCTTCAGGGCCAGAGGAGCTCAATCACAAGGCCAAAAGTATCCCTTGTAGCCACTCTCTTTTTTGCTGTCAGTAAGCAGCATCTCCAGGTCTTATTTCCCCAGCAGCATCCTTGGCTGTTCATTTCTGGCTATCTGCCTACTCTAACACACCTATGTAATCTATTATTTAGTTAAAAATTATATTCATCTTGGGTATGACAAAAATAAACCAAAAAAAATTAGGGTGAAGATAGTAAATATGCTCATTATGACTGTGAGAGATTATATTCCTAGAATAAAAGTGTTTATATTCTAAAGAATCTAAAGAATTTATTTCCAAAAGATCTGTGCCTACTAAGTAATTCAACATTGGAAAAAAGTAATTAATTATTCAGCTGAAAATTATCAGCAGGGTATGGTGGCTCACACCTGTAATCCCAGCATTTTGGGAGGCCAAGGCAGGTGGATCACAAGGTTAGGAGTTCAAGACCAGCCTGGCCAAGATGGTGAAACCCCTGTCTCTACTAAAAATATGAAAAGTAGCTGGGCATGGTGACACACACCTGTAGTCCCAGCTACTTGGGAGGCTGAGGCAGAGAATTGCTTGAATCCGGGAGATGGAGCTTACAGTGAGCCGAGATTGTGCTACTGCACTCCAGCCTGGTGACACAGCGAGACTCCTTCTCAAAAAGAAGAAAAGAAAATTCTCTAGCACATTCTAAAATTTGTAAGTATACACAGAAGAAAACAAATTAAAGGGAAGAAGGACAACCTTTAACCTCTTTATTCAGTAATTCTATAGTAATATTTTACAATGTATATCATCCCAAATAAAAGGGGCAGAAACATAGTTTAAATTTACTTACTTTTTAAATCCTCTAAAGTTACTTAAGCAAAAGAAAGTAATATGGATAGCAAGATTGAATGGGCAAAAAAGGGATATAAACATTCCTCACTGAGTGTTGGTGACTATGTACCTTATATAAAAAATATATTGCCAATCAAAAAATTAAAAACAGATGATGAACGATTCTTTACTCAGTTATATTTTTTAAATACAGTATAAATATTTCAAAGCTGCTGTATGTCAAAAAGAGAAAACTCATACATTCATATCAAAATGTCAAAATATTTTCTATTTCAATAGAAAAAAAGTTTAAAGAAAGCCAAAAATGAAGTCGAACTACACATATAAGAAAATAAGAATGAAAGAAGTCAGTAAGAACAGAGTTTAATAAATCACAGGTTAAAATTCAGAGAGGTAAAATCTTTTAAATAAAAACTTATAATTCTTGGAGCTCTGATGAGTTTTTCCAGAGACATGGTAAATGAAAAGTTTTCTGCTGAAAGCTGATCAATCTGCATAAAGAATAAAGAATTCTATTTGCAACTTAAACATTATTACATTAAAATTCTGAGACTAGAGTAAAAATCTGAGTACTACCAAAATTTATTTTCAGAATCATACTGATTAAGCAATATGAGTTAAAAAAAAAAAAGGCAAGCCAATATGAAGTTAAAAATTTACACACGTTTGTTTGTGTGTGTGTTTTAAGAGACTGGCTATCCCTATGTTGCCCAGGCTGTCCTTAAAATCACGGGTTTAGGCAGTCCTTCTGCCTTTGCCTCCTGAATAGCTAAGACTATAGGTATGTGCCATCATGCCAGCTAATTTTATTATTTTTATTTTCTGTAGAAATGGTGTCTCATTATGTTGTTCAGGTTAGTCTCAGTGATCTTTGCAGTTTGGCCTTCTAAAGGGCTGGGGTTGTAGGTGTGAGCCATTGCACGTAGCCTCTCAAAACTTTTAATAGTAATAGTTGCTACGAAGAGATACAGGTTACTTGAGTACTCAAAATATGCAATGTTCTGGGGGCCAGACGCGGTGGCTCAGGCCTGTGATCCTAGCAGTTTAGGAGGCCGAGGTGGGTGGATCACGAGGTCAGGAGATTGAGACCATCCTGGCTAACACAGTGAAACCCCGTCTCTACTAAAAATACTAATACTAATACTAATACTAATACTAATACTAATACTAATACTAATTAGCCAGGCGCGGTGGCAGTCGCCTGTAGTCCCAGCTACTCAGGAGGCTTAGGCAGGAGAATGGCATGAACCCAGGAGGCTGAGCTTGCAGTGAGCCGAGATCGCACCACTGCACTACGGCCTGGGCAACAAAGCGAGACTTCATGTCAAAAAAAAAAAAAAAAAACAATGTTCTAAAAGTTAATAAAAATGTACTACACTGCCCATACAACACCATGGAAAGGTACACGATAGCTCTTTTATTCTACATAGAACATCGCCAGGCTTCTATCCACACCTGGGCTGTCCAGTATATAGCCACTAGCCAGATGTGACTAATGGAGCACTTGAAATATGACTAGTTGAAACTAACAGGGGTAAAATACACAGAAGATTGAAGAAAAAAAGAATGTATAATTTACATATTGAAATAATATATTTAATATATTTACTTAAATAAAATATATCATTAAAATTGATTCTATCTGGGTTTTTTAAACTTTTCTATATGGCTAGCAGAAAATTTAAAATTACAGACGCAGCTCACATTTGTGGCTCACATAATATATCTAATAGTGCCAATCTAAGATATATGCTGTGGACATGTTAAATATATGAAGACAAAAAATAAGCAAAAAGGGAATATTTACATCAGATCACCAATCCACAAGATCCAGTTTTGCTTACTTTCAAACTGAAAGGAAAAGACATTTTTCAACATGATACCACTCTATTTGCATAAGCTCTCCCAACTCTCCTAAACTAACATTAAAGTTTGGGAATGTGGCACTTCTAACTGAAGTGCTAAGCAGAAAGAATTCAATGGATCTGGTTAAGCAAATTGAACATAAGATTAATTACAAGACCCAGTCAAGTAAAGGCAAACTTCATTTAATATAGACTTCATTCAGAAAGGTAATTCTAAGGAAATTCTACAGACTCAAATTTCTCTATTGACTTATATCAACAAATTGAATACATGTAATAACTTGGGGCATAATTATTTTAAATTGTTTTACTTTTAAGTTTGAGGCAATGTAAACTAAAGCATAAGGTCCCCTTAGTTTACTAGTTTAGAATATATGGATAGACCAAATATTACTATTTTTCACTAATCACTTTTGGTTTTCATCTTACAAACTCAACTATGTAATTTAAAACTTGGTTTGTTATAAATGAATTCATGTTGTTCAGATTTGCCAGTTACTCCAGGCTTATAACAACCAAAACAGAAAGCAAAAAGAAAGTCTGGTGGGCTGCCACTATTTAAGATTACAGACAAATAAAAATTTGGATAAACACAAAGTCTATATAACCACATGCCTCAAACTGCAGTTATACATGTCCTGAAGTGGTTTATCATCAGCAAGGAGCATGGATTGAACAGGTGACCAATAAAGTGGATTTACATCCCGTGAATCAAAGCTCAATCATCTTCCATTGGCATGAGAAGAGGAGGTGGCCAATCAGAGGTGTACAAATGGTAGCATAATACCAGATATCTAAAAGTATACTAGGTAATGATAAATTTGGGAGAAGGAGAAGTACAAATGAAATTAACCACGTGGATCATTATACTAGAAAGAATACTGACACTTCACAAAGGTAGGTGTAATTGGAAAATTTGTTTCAAATTACAGAATAAATTCTTATATATTTTTTATTCTGTAAGCATATTTTAATAATTTACAAATAACAAAATCCTTAACTTAAAACAGCATATTATGATTAATTTGCTTCCTTATCTTCAATAAGAATTTCTAGTTTGAGAAGATGCCATGGAACATCAGGATCATTTTCCATCACTGTCAAAAAGGGCCTCAGATTCTTCACTTCACTATCTGTGTTTAGGAGAACCAGAAGCACTGCACTTATAAAAGAGATTTACTGGTACATTTTAGTTTAGACTATAAGAAATAATAAACAGATCAACACTCTTCTTGCACAGACATTTCCAAGATCCTGCATAAAGATCTAGCAGTTTTTGCTTCCACAAGAAACCAAAGACAACTTTTCTAACATCAGCAAACTATTTCCTTGAGGTTGAATTCTAGAATATTTTCTCTCCTCTGGCTCTAGGTGAGTTCATCCATATCCGAGATTGTTATAAATATTCTTTGTCCAGAAAAGAGAAATGATACAGCTGACAAATACAGATTCTAATGCCACCAAAACTAGATCAAAATTTCAAAAAAGTTTCTGACTGTAATCCCAAAAGCTATTGATGTTTTTATTCCTCAAAGATGGTGGATTTACAATTGTTAGCATGCCTCAGCTACTTGGCAATAGGAAGATGGTGCATTAAGATTAACTCTGTGCACTTTAATTCAAGAAGGAAAGTGGAAATCACTGGAATCATGAAGGACAGTCCACATCCTGGGGAAGAGAACATCAGCAAACAGCCCACGTGAAGATGTCTGCCATAAAAGTTAGTGAAGCCCCAGTATGGGGGAGAGGCAGAGAGTCTCCTTCTGTGACTCAGCTTTCCACTGGGGATCCCAGACTGAGGGAGAACACATTGTTTCTTCCAAGCCCTGGAGCTGACATGGGAAGAGGCTTAGAAATACTGAGAAAACTACAACAGGCAAAGCTGCGGGCATTTTCCCAGACTCTGGACTAGAGAAGGAGGCCATTTTTAATCTGGGAACATACAACGTCAAAGTCAGCCATTATCTGGCCACCTGGCAGGGTATCCATGCAGGAATTTTAGCCTCGGGCGGAAGAACGGAGCACCTGGAGAGGGATAGGGGCTTCCACAGCCAGAACTGTGGAAGAAGCCTCGGCAGTAGAAGCTGGAATTGTGCCCTCCCCAGCCGCAGGCCTGGAAGGGATGAAGGGGCAAGTGTGGAAAGCTTCTACAGCTGCAGTTTCTCTTGGGTAATAAGACTTGCAGCTAGGTCCAGCTTGGTGACCTGGAACTGGTCTGCATGTGCCATTGCTGGATGCCCCACTCTGCTCCCCTGAGATTGCAGTGCAGTGGGGCCTTCTCCGATCCACACCCAAGCAGAAATCTAGGCATTCGGAATACCAGCGTGTCTGAACTAGCAGCCTGAGCTGCCCACCCTTCCGGTGCAGAGATCCATGTGCAAGGGGTGCCCTCTGTTTCACACTCGCAGATCTCCAGGCATTTAAGAGAACCCTCTTGCCTGGTTCAGCGGCCTGAGTCAACTTACCCTTTCTGTGCAGATATCCTGGTGCAGGGGGCCCTCCCTACCCAAACAGATCGTTAACCGTCTGAAACCCCGACTGTCTTGGATTAGGAGTTTAGGCTGTCGTCCATCCCTAGGCAGAGAACGTGAGTCCACGGAAGTTTCCCAGCTCCACCGCTGGGCACACCTCCAGGCGCTTGGTGGCTGCCCAGTGGATTCTCCCTTGGTGCTAGTGTCCGTGCCTGCCTGCCATCACCGGACTCGCAGGCAGATCTAACTGGTCCAGTCCCATTCACCTTGGTCCCTCCGCCCCCAGTGGCACAGCAGGGAGCTCAGACCACTGTGCACTCCACAAACCAACCCACTGCCTGAGGTAACGGAGCTTCTCGCTGGAAACAAGGATCAAGTATATACTCAGCCTATTCGCTGTAGCTGGTTCTTAGCAATGAGCACCATCTCCTGGCTTATCGCTCAAACTACAGGGCTCAATAAAAGCCCAATATAAAAAAAAAAACAAAGTAAAAGCCTCCAGCATAAGCCAACAAGTGCACAGGGCAATAGAAGCAAAGCCAAAACACTCTATGAGTTACACCCCATAGGGAAGGCAGAAAGGGAAGAGGAAATAAAACAGTGACAATAATAACATTATTTGAAAAGAAAAATTAAGTTCTACCCACACCAAAAATAATTACAAAAATTAGAAGTTCCAGCATCTTCAGATGACAAGACACCAGCACAAGAATTCTGCTAGAAAGATTCTAGCATTTATGAAAAATGTGAATGCAGTGACACCACTAAAGGATCGCACTACCTTTCAAGAATGGTCCCCAACTAAAATGGAAACTCAGAAAATGACAGATAAAAAATTCAAAGCATGGATTGCAAGAAAGCTCAATGAGATCCAAGACAAGGTTAAAAGTCAACAGAAAGAAACTTCTAAAGCCATCCAGGAAATGAAGGAAGAGATAAATAACTTCGAAAGAAGTCAATCAGAGTTTGTTGGGTGGAAAACTCATGTAAGGAATTTTAAAATACAATGGAACGGTTTATCAACAGATTGGAATAAGCAGAAGAAAAAATTTCAGATCATGAAGAATCATCCATCAGAATAACCCAATGAAATAAAAGCTTTTAAAAAGCATTCTGAAAAATGAACAAAGTCTTTGAGAAATATGAGACTATGTAAAGTGACCAAACCTACAAATTATTGGGATTCTTGAGAGAGGAGGAAAATAAGTAAACAACCTGAAAAAGATATGTCAGGGAATAAATCAAGAAAATTTCCCTGATATTGCTGGAGAGGTAAACATCCAGATACAAGAAATCTGGGGAACACTTGAGAGATACTACACAAAACAAATGTCACCAACACCTCTAGTCACCAGGATGTCCAATATCAATGCTAAATTTAAAAAAACCTTAAAGGCACCTAGAGATAAAATGTCAGATCATGTACAAAGGGAAATTAAATCACAATAAATGTGGTTCACCCCATAAACACAATTAAAAAACAAACCAGCCGGGCATGTGGCTCATGCCTATACTCCCAGGACTTTGGGAGGCCAAGGCGGGTGGATCACCTGAGGTCGGGAGTTTGACACCAGCCTGACCAACATGGCAAAACCCCATCTCTACTAAAAATACAAAATTAGCCAGGCATGGTGGTGTGTGCCTGTAATCCCAGCTACTAAGGAGGCTGAGGCAGGAGATTCGCTTGAACTCAGGAGGTGGAGGTTGCGGTGAGCTGAGGTCGCACCATTGCACTCCAGCTTGGGCAACAAGAGTGAAACTTTGTCTCAAAAACAAAACAAAACAAAACAAAACAAAAACATCATCTCAATAGACATGGAGAAATCTTTCTATAAAATCCAATATCCCTTCATGATGAAAGCTCTCAACAGACAACAGATGAGTCATCAAAAGAACATACCTCAAAAGAGCCATCTATGAAGAATCCACAGCCAACATCATACTGAACAGGCAAAAACTGGAAGCATTCCTTGGGAACTGGAACGAGACAAGGTTGCCCACTCTTACCACTCCTATTTTCACCACATAGAACAGGAAGTCCTAGCCAAAACAATTAGTCAATAGAAAGAAAGAAAAGGCATCCTAATAGAAGAAATCAAACCATACTTCTTAGCAGAAGATATGATGCTACACCTAGAAAATGCTAAACATCCAGCCAAAACTTTTTAGCAACTGATAAACAAACTTTAGTAAAGTTTCAGGATGGAAAATCAGTGTACAAAAACCAGTAGCAGTTCTGTACACCAATAATGTTCAAGCTGAGCACCAAATAAAGAAGACAATTCCATTTACAATGGCTACAAAAAAGATAAAATAAAATATCTAGAAACAGAGCTAACCAAGGAGTTAAAAGATCTCTACAAGGAGACCTACAAAATATTGCGGTTGAAATCATAGATGACACAAATAGAAAAACATATCATGCTCTTGAATTAAAAGAATCCGTATCGTTAATATCCCTATACTACTGCAAGCAATATACAAATTCTATGCTATTTCTATCAAACTATCAAGGTAATTTTTAAAAGAATGAGAAAAAACTTTTAAAATTCATTTTTGTTTGTACTTTAAGTTCTAGGGTACATGTGCACAACATGCAGGTTTGTTACATAGGTATACATGTGCCATGTTTCTTTGCTGCACCCATTAACTCGTCATTTACATTAGGTATTTCTCCTAATGCTATCCCCTCCCCCTGCCCTCCACCTCATGACAGGCCCCAGGGTGTGATGTTCCTCGCCCTGTGTTCAAGTGTTCTTGTTCAATTCCCATCTATGAGTGAGAACATGAGGTGTTTGTTTTTCTGTCGTTGTGATAGTTTACTCAGAATGATGGTTTCTAGCTGCATCCATGTTCCTGCAAAGGACATGAACTCATCCCTTTTTTTGGTTGCATAGTATTCCATGGTGTATATGTGCCACATTTTCTTAATCCAGTCTATCATTAGTGGACATTTGGGATGGTTCCAAGTCTTTGCTATTGTGAATAGTGCCACAAAAAACATATGTGTGCATGTGTCTTTATAGTAGCATGATTTATAATCCTTTGGATATATATGCAGTAATGGGATCACTGGGTCAAATAGTATTTCTAGTTCTAGATCTTGAGGAATCACCACACTGTCTTCCACAATAGTTGAACTAGTTTACACTCCCACCAACAGTGTAAAAGCATTTCTATTTATCCACATCTTTTCCAGCATCTGTTCTTTCCTGACTTTTTAATGATCACCATGCTAACTGGTGTGAGATGGTATCTCATTGTGGCTTTGATTTGCATTTCTCTGATGACCAGTGATGATGAGCATTTTTTCATGTCTCTTGGCTGCGTAACAGTCTTCTCTTGAGAAGTGTCTGTTCATATTCTTTGCCCACTTCTTGATGGGGCTGTTTGTTTTTTTCTTGTAAATTTGTTTAAGTTCTCTGTAGATTCTGGATATTAGCCCTTTGTCAGATGGGTAAATTGCAAAAATTTTCTCCCATTCTGTAGGTTGCCTGTTCACTCTGATGGTAGTTTCTTCTGCTGTGCAAAAGCTCTTTAGTTTAATTAGATCCCATTTGTCTATTTTGGCTTTTGCTGCCATTGCTTTTGGTGTTTTACTGATGAAGTACTTGCCCATGCCTATCTCCTGAATGGTATTGCCTAGGTTTTCTTCTAGGGTTTTTATGGTTTTAGATCTAACATTTAAGTCTTTAATCCAACTTGAATTAATTTTTGTATAAGGTGTAAGGAAGGGATGCAATTTCAGCTTTCTGCATATGGCTAGCCAGTTTACCCAGCACCATTTATTAAATAAGAAATCCTTTCCCCTTTTCTTGTTTTTGTCAGGTTTGTCATAGATCAGATGGTTGTAGATGTGTGGTATTATTTCTGAGGCCTCTGTTCTGTTCCATTGATCTATATCTCTGTTTTGGTACCAGTACCATGCTGTTTTGGTTACTGTAGCCTTGTAGTATAGTTTGAAGTCAGGTAGTGTGATGCCTCCAGCTTTGTTCTTTTTTGCTTAGGATTGTCTTGGCAATTTGGGCTATTTTTTGGTTCCACATGAACTTTAAAGTAGGTTTTTCCAATTTTGTGAAGGAAGTCATTGGTAGCTTGATGGGGATGGCATTGAATCTACAAATTACCTTGGGCAATATGGCCATTTTCACGATATTGATTCTTCCTATCCATGAGCATGGAATGTTCTTCCATTTGTCTGCGACCTCTTTTATTTCATTGAGCAGTGGTTTGTAGTTCTCCTTGAAGAGGTCCTTCACGTCCCTTGTAAGTTGGATTCCTAGGTATTTCATTCTTTTTGAAGCAATTGTGAATGGGAGTTCACTCATGATTTGGCTCTCTGTTTGTCTGTTATTGATCTGTAGGAATGCCTGTGATTTTTGCATATTGATTTTGTATCCTGAGACTTTGCTGAAGTTGCTTATCAGCTTAAGGAGATTGTGGGCTGAGACAATGGGGTTTTCTAAATATACAATCATGTCACCTGCAAACAGGGACAATTTGACTTCCTCTTTTCCTAGTTGAATACTCTTTATTTCCTTCTCCTGCCTAATTGCCCCAGCCAGAATTTCAAACACTGTGTTGAATAGGAGTCGTGAGAGAGGGCATCCCTGTCTTGTGCCAGTTTTCAAAGGGAATGCTTACAGTTTTTGCCCACTTAGTATGATATTGGCTGTGGGTTTGCATAAACAGCTCTTATTATTTTGAGATATTTTCCATGAAAAAGTAGTTTATTCAGAGTTTTTAGCATGAAGGGCTGTTGAATTTTGTCAAAGGCCTTTTCTGCATCTATTGAGGTAATCATGTGGTTTTTGCCACTGGTTCCGTTTATATGATGGATTATGTTTATTGATTTGCGTATGTTGAATGAGCCTTGCATCCCAGGGATGAAGCCCACTTGATTGTGGTGGATAAGCTTTTTGATGTGCTGCTGGATTCAGTTTGCCACCGTTTTCTTGAGGATTTTCACATCAATGTTCATCAGGGGTATTCATCTAAAATTCTCTCTTTTTTTTTTTTTTTTTGTGTCTCTGCCAGGCTTTGGTATCAGGATGATGCTGGCCTCATAAAATGAGTTAGGGAGGATTCCCTCTTTTTCTATTCATTGGAATAGTTTCAGAAGGAATGGTACCAGCTCCTCTTTGTAACTCTGGTAGAATTTGGCTGTGAATCCGTCTGGCCCTGGACTTGTTTTGGTTGGTAGGCTGTTAATTATTGCCTCAATTTCAGAGCCTGTTATTGGTCTATTCAGAGATTCATCTTTTTCCTGGTTTAGTCTTGGGAGGGTGTATGTGTCCAGGAATTTACCCATTTCTTCTAGATTTTCTAGTTTGTTTGCATAGAGGTGTTTATCGTATTCTCTGATGGTAGTTTGTATTTCTGTGGGATCGGTGTTGATATCCACTTTATCATTTTTTATTGCATCTATTTGATTCTTCTCAGTTTTCTTCTTTATTAGTCTTGCTAGTGGTCTATTTTTGTTGATGTTTTCAAAAAACCAGCTTCTGGATTCATTGATTTTTAAACGGTTTTTGTGTCTCTATCGCCTTCAGTTCTGCTCTGATCTTAGTTATTTCTTGCCTTCTGCTAGCTTTTGAATTTGTTTGCTCTTGTTTCTCTGGTTCTTTTAATTGTGATATTAGGGTGTTGATTTTAGATCTTTTCTGCTTTCTCTTATGGGCATTTAGTGGTATAAATTTCCCTCTACACACTGCTTTAAATGTGTCCCAGAGATTCTGATACATTGTATATTTGTTCTCATTGGTTACGAAGAACATCTTTATTGCTGCCTTCATTTCATTATGTACCCAGTAGTCAGTCAGCAGCAGGTTGTTCAGTTTCCATATAGTTTCAGTTTCCATATAGTGCGGTTTTGAGTGAGTTTCTTAATCCTGAGTTCTAATTTGACTGCACTGCAGTCTGAGAAACAGTTTGTCATGATTTCTGTTCTTTTACATTTGCTGAGGAGTGCTTTACTTCCAACTATGTGGTCAATTTTGGAATAAGTGCAGTGTGGTGCTGAGAAGAATGTATATTCTGTTGATTTGGGGTGGAGAGTTCTGTAGATGTCTATTAGGTCTGCTTGGTGCAGAGTTGAGTACATGTCCTGGATATCCTTCTTAATATTCTGTCTCATTGATGTGTCTAATATTGATAGTGGGGTGTTAAAGTCTCCCATTATTATTGTGTGAGAATCTAAGTGTCTTTGTAGGTCTCTAAGGACTTGCTTTATGAATCTGAGTGCTTCTGTATTGGGTGCATATATATTTAGGATAGTTAGCTCTTCTTGTTGAATTGATCCCTTTACCGTTATGTAATGGCCTTCTTTGTCTCTTTTGATCTTTGTTGGTTTAAAGGCTGTTTTATCAGAGACTATGATTGCAACCCGTTTTTTTTTGTTTTTTTTTTTTTGCTTTCCGTTTTCTTGGTAGATCTTCCTCCATCCCTTTATTTTGAGCCTATGCGTATCTCTGCATGTGAGGTGGATCTCCTGAATACAGCACACTGATGGGTCCTGACTCTTTATGCAATTTGCTAGTCTGTGTCTTTTAATTGGGGCATTTAGCCCATTTACATTTAAGGTTAATATTATTATGTGTGAATTTGATCCTGTCATTATGATGTTAGCTGGTTATTTTGCCCATTAGTTGATGCAGTTTCTTCCTAGCATCAATGGTCTTTACAATTTGGCATGTTTCTGCAGTGGCTGGTACCAGATGTTCCTTTCTATGTTTAGTGCTTTCTTTAGGAGCTCTTGTAAGGCAGGCCTGGTGGTGACAAATTCCCTCAGCATTTGCTTATCTGCAAAGGATTTTATTTCTCCTTCACTTCTGAAACTTAGTTTGGCTGGAAATATAACTCTGGGTGGAAAATTATTTTCTTTAAGAATGTTGAATATGGGCCCCCTCTCTCTTCTAGCTTGTAGGATTTCTGCCAAGAGATCTGCTGTTAGTCTGATGGACTTCCCTTTGTGGGTAACCTGAACTTTCTCTCTGGCTGTCCTTAATATTTTTTCCTTCATTTCAACCTTGGTGAATCTGACAACTATGTGTCTTGGGGTTGCTCTTCTTGAGGAGTATCTTTGTAGTGTTCTCTGTATTTCCTGAATTTGCTAGCAATTCAGGAAATACAAAGTATTTGTATTTCCTTGCTAGGTTGGGGAAGTTCTCCTGCATAATGCCTTGAAGAGTGTTTTCCAACTTGGTTCCATTCTCCCCATCACTTTCAGGTACACCGAGCAAATGTAGATTTGGTCTTTTCACATAGTCCCATATTTGTTGGAGGCTTTGTTCATTTCTTTTTACTCTTTTTTCTCTAAACTTCTCTTTTTCACTTTATTTCATTAATTTGATCTGCAATCAGTGATAACCCTTTCTTCCACTTGATCGAATTGGCTATTGAAGTTTGTGCATGTGTCATGTAGTTCTCGTGCCATGGTTTTCAGCTCCATCAGGTTATTTAAGGTCTTTACACTGTTTATTCTGGTTAGCCATTCATTTAATATTTTTTCAAGGTTTTTAGCTTCCTTGTGTTGGGTTTGAACATATTCCTCTAGCTCAGAGAGTTTTGTTATTACTGACCTTCTGAGGCCTATTTCTGTTAGCCTGTCAAAGTCATTCTCCATCCCACTTTGTTCCATTGCTGGCAAGTAGCTGTGATCCTTTGGAGAAAATGAGGCATTCTGGTTTTTAGAATTTTCAGCTTTTCTGCTCTCGTTTCTCCCCATCTTTGTGGTTTTGATCTAACTTTGGTCTTTGATGTTGGTGACCTACAGATGGGGTTTTGTTATAGATGAACTTTTTGTTGATGTCGATGCTATTCCTTTCTGTTTGTTAGTTTTCCTTCTAACAGTCAGGTCCCTCAGCTGCAGGTCTGTTGGAGTTTGCTGGAAGTCCACTGCAGACCCTGTTTGCCTGGGTATCACCAGTGGAGGCTGCAGGACAGCAAATATTTCAGAACAGCAAATATTGCTACGTGATCCTTCCCCTAGAAGCTTCATCCCAGAGGGGCACCCACCTGTATGAGGTGTCAGTAGGCCCCTACTGGGAGGTATCTCCCAGTTAGGCTACACAGGGGTCAAGGACCCACTTGAGGAGTCAGTCTGTCCATTCTCTGAGCTCAAACACTGTGCTGGGAGAACTACTGCTCTCTTCAGAGCTGTCAGACAAGGGCATTTAAATCTGCAGAAATTTCTGCTGCCTTTTGTTCAGCTACGGCCTGCCCTCAGAAGTGCAGACTACAGAAGCAGCAGGCCTTGCTGAGCTGTGGTTGGCTCCACCCAATTCGAGCTTCCCCCGCCTCTTTTTTAACCTACTCAAGCCTCAGCAATTGCAGACGCCCATCCCCCTGCTAGGTTGCTGCCTCTCAGGCTTATCTCAGACTTCTGCGCTAGCAATAAACAAGGCTCCACGGGCATGGGATCTGCCAAGCCAGGCATGGGATGTAATCTCCTGTTGTGCCATTTGTCAAGACTGTTGGAAAAGCATAGTATTTGGGCGAGAGTGTCCCATTTTTCCAGGTACTGTCTGTCGTGGCTTCCGTTGGCTAGGAAACAGAAATCCCCTGACCTCTTGCACTTCCCAGGTGAGGTGATGCCCCATCCTGCTCCAGCTCACCTTCTGTGGGCTGCACCCACTGTCCAACCAGTCCCAGTGAGATGAACCAGGTACCTTGGTTGGAAATGCAGAAATCACCCATCTTCTGCATCAATCACACTGGGAGCTGCATACCAGAGCTGTTCCTATTCGGCCATCTTGGAACAGGAATAAAATTCATATTTTTTTAAAAGTCCTAATAGCTAAAGCACTCCTATGCAAAAAGAACAAAGTCAGAGGCATTATGTTACCTAACTTTATACTGTAAGTCTACAGTGACCAAAGCAGCATGGTACTGACACAGAAACAGACCAATGGAACAGTATAGAGAACCCAGGCAATAAGACACACCTCTAGAAATCTGATCTTCAACGAAGTTGACAGAAATAAGCAATAGGGAAATGACTCCCTATTCAATAATTATTGCTAGAATAACTGACTAGCTGTATGCAGAAGATTGAAACTGGACCACTGCCTTTCCTTTCACTATATACAAAAATTAACTGAACATCCATTAAAGATTTAAATGTAACACATTAAGCTATCAGAATCTTAGAAGAAAACCTAGGAATCAGCACTCTGGATTTGGCCTTGGGAAATAATTCATGACTGACTCCTCAAAAGCAATCACAACAAAAGCAAAAATCGACAAGTAGGACCTAATTAAAATAAAGAGCTTCTGCACAGTAAAGAAACTATCAACAGAGTAAACAGACAGCCTATAGAATGGGTGAAAGTATTTGCAAATTATGCATCCAACAAAGGTCTAATATCCAGGATCTATAAGGAACTTAATTGAGAAAGCAAAAAATAAATAACCCTATTAAAAATGGACAAAGGACATGAACAGACACTTCTCAAAAGAAAACATAAGGCCAGGTGCGGTGGCTCACGCCTATAATCCCAACACTTCAGGAGGCCGAGATGGGTGGATCACGAAGTCAGCAGATCGAGACCATTCTGGCTAACACAGTGAAACCCCATCTCTACTAAAAATGCAAAAAATTAGGCAGGCGCCGTGGCGGCCACCTGTAGTCCCAGCTACTCGGGAGGCTGAGGCAGGAGAATGGTGTGAACCTGGGAGGCAGAGCTTACAGTGAGCCGAGATCACACCACTGCACTCCAGCCTGGGCAAAAGAGTGAGACTCTGTCTCAAAAAAAAAAAAAAAAAAAGAAAACATAAATATGGCCAACAAACATATGAGAAAAGACTCCACATCCTAATGACCAGAGAAATGCAAATCACAACCACCATGAGACACCATCTCACACCATCAGAATGGCCTTTGTTAAAAAGTAAAAAAATAACAGCCAGAAGGCTGGCAAAGGTGCAAAGAAGAGGCAACAATTATACACACTGTTAGAGGGGATGTAAATTAGTTCAGCCATGGTGGAAAGCAATTTGGAGACTCCTTTTTTTTTTTTTGAAACAGAGTTTTGCTCTTGTTGCCCAGGCTGCAGTGCAATGGCAAGATCTCAGCTCAATGCAAACTCTAACTCCCAGGTACAAGAAATTCTCCTGCCTCAGCCTCCCAAGTAGCTGGGATTACAGGCACCAGTCATCATGCTGGATAATTTTTGTATTTTTAGTAGAGACAGTGTTTCACCATGTTGGCCAGGCTGGTCTCAAACTCTTAACCTCAGGTGATCCATCCACCTCAGCC
This sequence comes from Homo sapiens, assembly GCF_000001405.40. Classification (NCBI taxonomy): domain Eukaryota; kingdom Metazoa; phylum Chordata; class Mammalia; order Primates; family Hominidae; genus Homo; species Homo sapiens. Next base: position 12,631,733 of record NC_000024.10, read on the forward strand.
TCTCAAAGTGCTGGGATTATAGGTATGAGCCGCTGCCCCCCCAGCCAAGACTTCTCAGAGAACTTAGAACTACCCTTTAGCCCAGCATCCCATTACTGGGTGTAAATATATACACATATAGTCAAAAATTAACAGCAAATAATTGTCTTTTGTATACATAACACTGCATGTTCATGGCAGTGATATTCACAATACCAAAGACATGCAACCAACCCTTGTGCCCATCAACTGTGAATTGGATAAAGAAAATGTGGTATATATACACCATGATAATCTATACAGCCATAAAAAAGAATGAAACCATATCCTTTGCAGCAACATGGATGCAGTGAGAACCCATTATCCTAAACAAATTAACACAGGAACAGAAAACAAAATGCTGCATGTTCTCACTTATAAATGGGAGCTAAACACTAGGTATACATGGACATAAAAATTGGGATAATAGACACTGGGGATTCCAAAAGGTAGGAGAGAGAGAAGGAGGCAAAGGCTGAAAAACTAACTATTGAATAATGTGCTCTCTACCTGGATATGGGATCAATCTTGAGTCAAACCTCAGCAACACACAATATATCTAGGTAGCAAACATACACGTGCCCCCGAATCTAAATTAAAAGTTGAAATTAATTTTTAATTGACCAGAAGTACATGCATTTTCCATATGCCCTCTACCCCACAGCTGTATATCCTCTTAGATTAACATTCTCTACCAGATTGGTACATGTATTATAATTTATGAACCTATAGTGACACATAATTATCACCCCAAGTTCATAGTTCACATAAAGAATTAAATTTTGGTGTTGTACAATCTCATGGGTTTGGACAAATCTATAATGACACATACATGCCCATACATGCCATTATAATATTATTCAGGGTTGTTGCACTGCCTAAAAATCCCGTGCTTCATGGAACTTAGTAGGACTATTAATAATAAATGGCTGAATTAGGAAAAAAATATTTAAATATTTCAATATAATCAACTCTTTACAATAAACCTTAGATGCATACAAATGGTAAGATTTGGCAGCTGAGGAGTGCAGTTTATGGTTACATGATATGGTCTAACAATTTGCTAAACCTGATATAGTTTGTTTTTCAATTTTGGTAATTTAATCACGAGAAACACTTTTATCCTATAATGAAATTTGAGTGATTTATATTAGTTAAAACAGGCAGGCTGGGCCCATTGTCTAACACCTGTAATCCAGCACTTTGGGAGGCCGAGGTGGGTGGATCACCTGAGGTCAGGAGTCTGAGACTAGCCTGACCAACATGGTGAAACCCTGTCTCTACTAAAAATACAAAAATTAGCCCAGTGTTGTGGCAGGCACCTGTAATCTCAGCTGCTACTCAAGAGGATGAGGCAGAAGAATCTCTTGAGCCCAGGAGGCAGAGGCTGCAGTGAGCTGAGATGGCACCACTGCACTTCAGCCTGGGCAACCAAGCAAGACTCCGTCTCAAAAATAAAATAAAAAATAAAAAAATAAGGCATAGCTTTTTACCTACTCATTTATATTTCTATAATTCAAAAGTTAGTTACTCAACAGAATCACAAAACTCATTTCTGGCCTTATATCAAATAGTACTCATTACTTCACTCTGCTACAGAGTATCATTAATTTCCATGTTACCTGGTTAATATGACATAATCTTCATCTTCTTCATACATCATTTGTGACACTACTCTGTGGACATCTGTTTCTTGATTTCTCTCCTTATTTCTTTTTCTTTCTTTCTTTTTTCTTTCCTTTTTTTTTTTTGAGATGGAGTTTCTCTCTTGTGGCCCAGTCTGAAGTGCAGTGGCAGACTTTTCAGCTCAATGCAACCTCTGCCTCCTGGGTTCAAGCAATTCTGCCTTACCTCCCAAGGAGCTGAGATTACAAGCTCTCGCTACCACACCCAGCTAATTTTTGTATTTTTAGTAGAGATGGGGTTTTGCCAAGTTGGCCAGGCTGGTCTTGAACTCCTGACTTCAGGTGATCCTCCCACCTTGGCCCAAAGTGCTGGGATTACAGGCATGAGCCACCATGCCCGGCCCCTTATTTCCTAAAAGTATAAAATATATTATAATCACACTGGAGTAATAACCAACCAGAAAAAAGAAATTAATTTTTTACTAACTTGTGTACAGTATATTTACTTATAAAATAGACCTATAGATCTATGAATTCCAACCTAAATTTCCACATTGTCTTTACTGAAGCCCTCATTAAAAACAAAATGGGGCCAGGCTCAGTGGCTCACACCTGTCATCCCAGCACTTTGGGAGGCCGGGTGGATCACAAGGTCAAGAGATCGAGACCATCCTGGCCAACATGGTGAAACCCGTCTCTACTAAAAATACAAAATTAGCTGGGTGTGGTGACACGTGCCTGTAGTCCCAGCTACTCAGGAGGCTGAGGCAGGAGAATCCCTTGAACCCGGGAGGCGGAGGTTGCAGTGAGCCAAGATGGCGCCACTGCACTGAGCACTCCAGCAAGGGCAACAGAGGAAGACTCTGTCTCAAAAAAAAAAAAAAAAAAAGGGAACATAGGGCAAAGCACTTACTCAAATGTAGCTTGGCAGCCATGAATAACAATCATAACAGTCATCAATACCTCAAAGGCATATGGGATGACAAAGCTAGGCAGGCTTAAATGGACCAGAGCATATCTAGCTAACATAAAAACAAAATGACTTGTTCATCTAAAAAGTTTGACATCACTTTTAAAACTGATATATGTATAGTTATACATATATATGTACAGATATTCACACAATGGAATATATTCAGCCTTAAAAAATAAGGAAAGCCTATCATGCACAAAACCATGTATACATATATACACATACATGTATAGCTATCCCTCAGACTATCTACACTTATATTCAAGGAAATGGTTTGTTTTCTATTTAGTGATTAGCTCTACATATCAGGCTTTCTCATTAAGTATTGTTTTCCATCAACTCTGTTATAGAGAAATTATGAAATTATGTTTTGAATTGATTTCTGCTTTTATTTTTATTATTTTCTTTTTTCTTCATCCTAAATATGCGTATTAGACCATTCTTGAATTGCTATAAAGAAATATCTGAGACTGGTATTTAAAAAGAAAGTAGGTTTATTTGGCTAACAGTTCTGCAGGCTGTACAGGAGACATAACCCAGGCATCTGCTTCAGGGGAGGCCTCAGGAACTTAACAGCCTGAGGTGGTGGAAGGTGACAGAGTGGAGGGTTTCATACAGCAAAAGCAGGAGCAAGACAGTGGGTGGGGAGATACTACATATTTTTAAACAACAAGATCTTGGAAGAATTCATGATCATGGGTACAGCACCAAGAAGATAGTGCTAGAAATACAAATTCATGAGAAAAGCATTTCTCAAGAATACCATTCATGAGAAATTCAGCCATGATCCAGTCATCTCCCACCAGGCTCCAACTCCAGCACTGGACATGACAATTAGATAAGAGATTTGGACGGGGAGAAATATTCAATCTATTTTAAAAACTACTTCAAAAACTATTGAATAGAGCCAGAAAATTTAAATTTCAAGAAAACATGTTTTTTTGAAGTTTGATGTTTTCAACTGATAAGTAAAACTTGTATGTATTTATGTTGTAAAACATAATGTTTCTTGGGAGGCCAAGGCGGGTGGATCATAGGGTCAGGAAATCGAGATCATCCTGGCTAACACGGTGAAACCCCGTCGCTACAAAAAATACAAAAAAAAATTAGCCGGGCGTAGTGGCGGGCGCCTGTAGTCCCAGCTACTCAGCAGGCTGACTCAGGAGAATGGCGTGAACCCGGGAGGCGGAGCTTTTAGTGAGCCAGATCGCACCACTGCGCTCCAGCCTGGGCGACAGAGCGAGAGTCCGTCTCAAATAATAATAATAATAATAATAATAATAATAATAATGTTTCATAATATGTATATATCGCTAAACGGCTAACTCACATGAATTCACATATGCATTAGTTCACTTAGTTTTTATGGAGAAAACACTTAAAAATACTCTCATAGTGATTTTCAAGTATACAATATTTTGTAAGTAACAAATCCCTTAAACTCGCTGCCCAGACCCTGGTAACCACCATTCTACTCCCTGCTTCTATTCTTTTAACATTTTTAGATTCCTCATACAAGTGAGGTCACATTGTGTTTGTATTTCTGTGCATATTTTTTTAATTTCTTGAGACAGGAACCTATCACTGATTTAAAACTTTTCTTCAAATGCAAAAATCTAGTGCAATAACATTCCTTTTCAGCACTACTTTAGATACATCTCAAATATTCTGAATTTTCAAACTTTTTTTTTTTTTTTTTTTTTTGAGACGTAGTCTCACTCTTGCCAGGCTGGAGTGCAGTGGTGCGATCTCAGGTCACTGCAACCTCCACCTCGCAGGTTCAAGTGATTCTCCTGCCTCAGCCTCCCAAGTTGCTGAGACTACAGTTGCATGCCACCACACTCAGCTAATGTTTGTATTTTTAGTAGAGAGTGGGTTTCACCATGTTGGCCAGGATGGTCTTGATCTCTTGACCTCATGATCCATCCACCCCAGCCTCCTAAAGTGCTGGGATTAGAGGCGTGAGCCACCACGCCTGGCCCAAACATTTTAATTCAAAGTATTTTATTTTTCTTTAGGCTTCCTCTTTGACCTATGAATTTATCAGAATTGTACTGTTTAATTGCCAAATGTTTTTAAAGTTTTCTATCTTTTGTTTTGATGATTTTTTAATTGACAAAAATTAGACACACTATGATGTTTTGATACGTGTATATATAGTGGAATGGCTAAAGCGAGGTAATTAACATACACAGTACCTCACATAAATTTTTTTGTGTGACAAGAAACAAAGTTTACTCTTTGTAGTTTTCAAGAATACATTGTTATTAACCATATTCAGCATGTTGGATAAAAGGTCCTGAAATTTTCACTCTCATCTAACTGAAATTTTATATAATTTACCCCACATCTCCCCAAACCTCAGTGCCCCCCTCTACCTCTGGTAACCATTCTACTTTCTGCTTCCATTAATTCAACTATTTTAGCTACCACATATATGTGAGATCATGTAATACTTGTCTTTCTGCACCTGATTTATTTGTCTTCCAGGTTTATCCATGTTGTGCATTTTCAATGTAATAACAGGATTTCCTAGTTTTTCAAGGCTGAATAGTATTCCATTATGTAAATGTACTACTCATTATTTATCCATTCATTCATCTGTTGAGAGACATTTATGTTTATTCCACTCCTTGGCTATTTTGAATAATACTTCAGTGGACATGGGAATACAGATATCTGTTTAACAGATTGTATTCCCTTTGGATATATATCCACACATGGAGTTACTAGATCATACTAAAAGTAGAACTGGCAGTTCTATTTTTAACTTTCTGAGGGACCGCTATACTGTTTTCCATAATGGCTGTGCCAATTTACTTTCCTACCAACAATGTGCTACAGTAGTTCCCCATTTCTCCACATTCTTGTCAACATTTACTTTGTCTTTTTGATAAAAACCATCCTAACAGGTGTGAGGTGTATCTCATTGTGATTTTTAACCTTGCATTTCCCTGATGATTAGTGATATTGAGGTTTTTTTCTTATACCTTTGGGGCATTTACATGTCTTCTTTTGAGAAATGTCTTTCTTTACAGGTCCTTCATCCATTTTTAAATTACATTATCTGTTTTCTTGCTACTAAGTTATTTTCGTTCCTTACACATTTTAAATATTAACCCTTTATCAGATATATAGTTTGTGGATAACTTTCCCCTATTCTGTAGTTTATCTCTTCACCTTGTTGTTTCTTTTGTGGTGCAGCTTTTTAGTTTGAAGCAATTTCTGGAGATTTTCCTGTTATCTTCCTATTACTGACTTCTAGTTTGTCAGATAATTTACTTTATATGATTTCAATTTTCATAAATTTGTCAACATTTGGTGGACCTAGGATATACTTAACAAATCTTCAGGTATACTTGAAAATCATGTGTTGTTCAGTGTATTTATATTCTTGCTGGTTTTCTTTCTAGTGATTCAATCAACTCTTGATGAACTCCCCAATTATAACTGTAAATATGTCTGTTTCTCCTTTATGGTTTGTCAGTTTTGCTTCAGTTCTGCTGCATTTTGTGGTCCTTACCCATTTTGGAAGAAGATTACTCATTTTATCATCATTTAATGTCCCCAGTATTTTTCTTTGCACTGAAGCTTATTTTCTCTGGTATAAATATAACTCCTGCTGCTTTCATTCATGCTTGCATGCTATATCGTTTTCCATCTTACCTGGAATTCTAATAACTTGAAGGTTAAATTCTTTGTTATTGTTACAAAAGATGTTTATTATTGTTACAAAATATTGTTTTCCTTTTTGTTACAAATCTCTGAGGTTCTATTACTTTCTCTTTATGATGAAAGAAATTTAGAAAATGTTTTTAATTTTTAATTTTATTTTTAATTCTAGGGTACATGTGAAAGATGTGCAGTTTTGTTACACAGGTAAACATGTGCCACGGTAATTTGCTGCACCTTCTCACTCATCACCTGGGTATTAAGCCCAGCATGCATTAGATATTTTTTCTAATTCTCTCTCTCCCCAAACCCCACCCCCGTGGCAGGTACCAGTGTGGATTGTTCCCCTCCCTGTGTCCATGTGATCTCATTGTTCAGCTCCTACTTATAAGTGAAAACATGCAGTGTTTGCTTGTTTGCTTTTCTGTTCCTGCGTTAGTTTGCTGTGGATTGTTACTTTCTTTTGAGTTTATTTCCTCTGTTGTTCAAATTGGATTGTTTCTACATTAAAAATTTCTCTAGTTAAAATTTAATTCTACCTTTAAATTAACTGATTCCTTCCTCTGGCATTCTGCAACTGTGCCCATTTAATGAGCCCATTTTTCATTTAATTGAGCTCCTTTTAAAATGTAATTTTACTTGTATTGTTTTGTAGTCTTCAGGTTTTCATTTTTGATCTTTATATCCCATTGATTTTCTAAGACTTTTGTTTTGTCCTAATTTCTGTCAAGAGTGTTCATAATTGCTCCTTTATAACTGCACATTTATAAGCTCCTTTATAACTACACATTTGTAAATGCTGCTTTAGAAACCTTCTGAGACTAAAAGATTAGTTTTGCCAGTGGCTTGAGGAAGAGGAGAATAGAAGTGAAAGTTATTGAACACTGGGTTCCTTTTGGAGTGACAAAACTGTTTTCAAATTAGGGGTGATGACTGCACAACTCTGATTACTCTAAAAAACACTAAAAGTAAATGTTACAGTGTTGTTGGAATAGAACATTGAAAAAAAATTATTTTCTCTGACACGTAAAACGTAAGTTTAATTTTGAATTCTAAAAGCAACGTTCGAATTAGTCCTTGCTTATTCTTTGTGACTAAAAAAAATTTGTTCAGAAACTTTTATTTATCAGTTTTGTCTCAATTCAAAATATTTCTCAGATATTTCCAACATATGTATCATTGTGGTATTGGCTTCTGAGTTGCTTTTTATTTCTGATTTTATTTTTTAAAATCCTGGTTTTTGCTATAATAAGTAATTTTTTGTTGTGTTCTGGACATTTCTGATATTATATTACAAGATGATTCCTATTTAAATGTAGTATTTTATTATCAGTTACTGTACAAGTTTAGCATGCAAGTGTCTTAGTCTACTTTGATGAGCTATAGACATTTAAATGACAGTTTCATTTTAAGAGATTTGCAGTGCTTTTCTGATCCTAAAATGTCCAGTATTCCTTGCTGATTCTAGTCAGTGTTTTGCGTGGGTTGCACAGGGAAATACCCAGGTTCGGGAGGTTTCAATTGTCTTGTTTTGAGAAACGATCTTGCTTTGTCACCTAAGCTGTAGTGCAGTGGTGCAAATACAATTCACTTCAGCCTCAACCTTCTAGGCTGAAGTGATTCTCTTGCCTTAACCCCCCAGGTAGCTACGACTACAGGCACATGTCACCATGCCCAGCTAAGTTTTTATTATTTTTTTACTTTTTATAAAGAAGGGGTCTCACCACATTGCCCAGGCTGTCCCAAATATCTGGTGTCAAACAATCCTCCCACCTCAGCTTTCCAACGTCCTGGGATTACAGGCATGAGCCACTACCATACCACGCCCACTCACAGGTTTAAAAAATCCCTTTAAAACTTCTAGTTCCCTCCTTTCTGTAATCTTCCCCTACAGTCTGTTTTAAAAAGAAGGGCCCAGGAGCAGTGGCTCACTCCTGTAATCCCAGCATTTTGGGAGGCTGAGGGGGGACCGATCACCTGAGGTCAGGAGTTCAATACCAGCCTGGCCAATATGGTGAAATCCCATCTCTAATAAAAATACAAAAATTAGCGAGGTGAGGTGGCACACGTCTGTAATACCAGGTACTTGGGAGGTTGACTGCCTTGTAACTGCTAAGAGGGAACTGGAATTCCAATCTCTTCACTTAGCCTCTGCTGCCTCCTCACACAGGCAGAATGGAGGGGACGGTCCACTTCATTAATGTCAGTTGGGCACTGAAGTTCAGGCATTTCCTTCTTCTTTACCTGACACTATGCAGGCAGAAAGTAAGGGGTGCTGTCTTGTTAGTGCCAGGTGGGAAATAAATCTAGAACCCCCAGTTGTCCTTCAGTGATTCCATACCAGGAGGACAGGGGTTAGGGAAGAGGGTAGAGGTGCATTTTAATTTCTAAGTTCTGGACTCTTTCACCACCCAGATCAAAAATACAGGTGAAAAATAAGAAAAGAAAGAAGACACTCAGACCAGGGAACTGACTGCCACATCATTCCTCAAGTTCTGAGAGCCCTATCAAGTTCACCTTCTTTTCCCTAACCTGCATGTTTCTCTTCTGCATTATGTCTAGGGTAGCCAGCTGTTGAAAGAATTACAAGAAATAAATTTTCCTCTTGTCTGAATCCAGACTAGAGACCGGTACCTACTTTAACTGTTCATTAGCATGCGTACCCTGCTGAAACCAGCAAACTGCAGGCAAAGGACTTGATTAGACATTTCTTCAAAGAAGATATACCAATAGCTAAAAGCATGAGAAAAGATGTGCAACATCACTCATCACTTGAGAAATGCAAACCAAAACCAAAATAAGATATTGCTTCATATCCATGAGAAGATATATAATTTTTTAAAGAGTAAAATAACAAGTATTGGTGAAAATGTGAAAATTGGAACCCTCAGTTAATGGTAGGAATATAAAATGGTAACTGTGGGAAGAGTTTGGTGTTGCCTCAAAAAGTGAAGCATAGCATTACCATATGATCCAGAAATTACACTCTTAGGCATATCTAAAAAAATCAAAAGCAGAGATTCAGACAGAATTCCTATACACCAGTGTTCATAGCAACATCTGAATAGGCACAAAAAGATTAAAACAACCCAAGTGTCTCTATCATTTTCTTCATGATATTTTTAGGTCACTTAATGAAATACATTTTTCTTTCTATTTAAATTCTGGCATATAAACTTTCTTTATTAGAATATTTATATGTTTCATATTTCTACTATGTACTCATTGTTTTACTTATTCTGAGAAAACTAAATTCATGGTACTCAGAAGACTAGAGATGATTCAGCAAGGAACAGCAGCTATAGATTAGACTATTTATTTATTTATTTATTTATTTATTTATTATTTATTTTAGGAGACACAGTCTTGCTGTATCGCCAAGGCTAGAGTGTACGGGGGCAATCTCATCTCATGGCAAACTTCACCTCCCAGGTTCAAGTGATTCTTTTGCCTCAGTCTCCTGAGTAGCTGGAATTATAGGTGCCAGCCTCTACCCCAAGCTAATTTTTGTATTTTTAGAAAGATGGGCTTTTGCCATGTTGGCCAGGCTGATCTGGAACTCCTGGCCTCAAGTGATCTGCCCACCTCAGCCTGCAAAAGTACTGGGATTACAGGTGTGAGCCCCTGCACCTGGCCAATTAGACTTTGAATAATCCTCATTATGAAGGGCACATCGATAGTCAGATTTCAGAAAAAAAAAATGCTTTCAATAAAAAAGACTTTGGTCAGGCACAGTGGCTCATGTATGTAATCCTAGCACTCTGGGAGGCCAAGGCAGGTGGATCATGAGGTTAAGAGATCGTGACCATCCTGGCCAACATAGTGAAACCCTGTCTCTACTAAAAATACAAAAATTAGCTGGGTATGGTGGCACCTGTAGTCCCAGCTACGCAGGAGGCTAAGTCAGGAGAATTCTTGGCAGTGAGCCAAGATGGCACCACTGCATTCCAGCCTGGCAACAGAGTGAGACTCTGTTTAAAGCAAAAAAAAAAAAGAGTTCATAAAGACAAGGAAATTAGGGAAGAAAAAACTTTAATCTGAAGAAGGCAAGTCTTTTTAAGTGATCAGGCCCAAAGAGGCATTAAAATTAGACAGCAATTCTGTCTCACTCCCCGCTTTTTTTTTTTTTTTTTTTTTTTTTTTGAGAGAGTCTCGCTCTGTCACCAGGCTGGAGTGCAGTGGTGCAATCTTGGCTCACTGCAACCTCCGCCTCCCAGGTTCAAGTGGTTCTCCTGCCTCAGCCTCCCAAGTAGCTGGGACTACAGGCGCATGCCAACATGCCCAGCTAATTTTTGTATTTTTAGTAGAGATGGGGTTTCACCATGTTGGCCAGTATGGCCTCCATCTCTTGACCTGGTGATCTGCCTGCCTCAGCCTTCCAAAGTGTTGGGATTACAAGCATGAGCCACTGGGCCTGGCTCTAACTCCTCACTTCAAGCTATGTATCCATCTCTTGAAACTGCCTGCTATTGCCACAAGTAGCAACAAATTTATCCAATAATGCCACCCCAGATACTACAGCCCACACTGAATAGCTTAACAATGTGTAGCCAGTAATTAGTTAATGTTATTTCTGTAAACCAGTGAGAATTCCTGACAGGTGACTTTTATCAGCCTACTCCCCATCCCCTATCTCTTGGTTTAAAACTGGCTTGTTAATAGAGACCAAATGAAGCTCATATCCAATGTTATTTGGTTCTGAGTTTTTCAGACAGCTTGTGCTCACTTTAGCTCATGTAAATTCTTTACACCATGTTTTGTTCTTCATCTCATTCTTTTTAGGTTGACATAAGCTATAATCAGTAGGTTGAATGGCTAGTTATGGTGGGGTGCCTGTAATTCTAGACACTTGGGAGGCTGAGGCAAGAAAATCACATAAGCCTAGGAGTTCGAGATCAGCATGGGCAACATGGTAAGACTACATCTCAAAGCAAAAACAAACAAAAAATAGAATATATCCCGAAGTCTTTATAGTCATGCCATTCCCTCAGTATTATATCATAGGAAAATATTATCCTCAGAAAAAAACTGATCCTCTCTCCTAACAGACTGAATATACAAATGGACATTGGTTATACTATACATAAAAATAGAACTTTTGATCCTCTGCCTTCCCAGGAAGCCAACCTCCTTATCTTTAATAAACAACCCAGGAAGCCAGTCTACCATGAGTCAGATTCATAGAAAGCCAGAGAGCTATATCCTTAATGACAACAAAGGAGGCTAAAAATAACTTCAGTATCAGTGAGCTGAAAATGACCAGGACTTGATTAATTGGCAGCTTCCATAATTTTTGTCTCTGACTTCCACTTTAGGACAAAACCGAGAAAACTAATATAGCTATGTGCTGCATAATAATGTTTTCATTGTCGGACGGACAGAGCAGCATGTGGAGGCTCACATCATGAATTTAAGCTCCAGAACAACTGCAGAAATAAATCAGGAAAACTGAGAGGACCCACAGACCCTCTGAAGGAAGCAGATTGCTCCTGTAGGATGCCGAAGAAACCCCAAATCCTGTTACGGTCCAAAATGTGGAAGTGGGAAAGGGATCTTGTCTGTCTCCAAACACACAGCCCAACTGGGGAAATGAAGGTCTAGTTTATGGGAGAAGATTCCAACCTTACCTGGAGCTGAGTCAATTTAGAGAGCCGAGCAAAATACAAGGGTAGAGAAAGAAGAGGGAAAATCCCTGTGAGCTCACTGGGGCCCCAAGCAGGCCATTCCTGCCTGGCATCACAGGGATCCTTCAGGAGGGCAGCCAGAGGTATAGGGAAAATGCCACAGGGAGAAGGAAATCTCCAGATGAACTTTGTAACAATTTGAGCTGATTGAGAAACCTTGTGGCCAGAACTTGGGTTAGCGCGCGAATCTGACATGCAGACTCCACAGGTGTGGGAAGAACTAAAGCCCTACTTTCCTTCACAGCTAGGAGGTGGGTAGCCTGGGGCAAATTCTCACCCCTGCTTGCCCACTGCCTGGAAACAGACTCAGTGCTGTTAGGGGTGAACTCAGTAGAAATGAGACTGGCCCTTAGGATTGTGTGGAAGCTGGGTGAAGCCTGTGACTACCAGCTTTCCCCCTCTTCCCTGACAACCTGCATGACTCAGCAGAGGCTGCCACAATCCTCCTGGGTACACAACTCCATTGAACTGGGAGTTTAATCCCTACCCCCAGCAGCCACAGCAAGACCTGCCCAAGAAGAATCTGAGCTCAGACATGCCTAGCCCCGCCCTCATCTGATAGCCCTTCCCCAGTGGCCCTGTTAACTGAGGGCATATACTTTTGATAGTTCTCAGGCCCCACCTTCTGCTGGTTCGTCTCCATACTATCACAGCTGATGCTCTCTGGAAAGTGACACCTTCCAGCAGGAGGCCAACCATCACGAAAATTGGGTATTAAATGATCAAAGCTAAGTACCCTCACAGAGTCTATTTCACCCTCCTGCAACCTCCAGCAGAACAGGTGCCAGTATCCATGGCTGAGAGAACCATAGATGGTTTACATCACAGAAACCTGTGCAGACAATCTCCAGTACGAGACGACAGCCTGGTAGACACGCTGGGTGGCTAGATCCAGAAGAGAGATAAGAATCACAACAGCTTGGTTCTCAGGAAGCCACATCCCTCGGAAAAGGAGGAGAGTACAATATCAGGAGACCACCCCATGGGACAAAATAATCTGAACAACACCCTTTAGCCCTAGACCTTCCCTCTGATGGAGGCTACCCAAATGAGAAGGAACCAGAAAACCAACTCTGGTAACACGGCAAAACAAGGCTCTTCAACACCCCCGAAAAATCACACTAACTCACTAGCAATGAAGCTATGCCAAGAAGAAATCCCTGATTTACCTAAAAAAGAATTCAGGAGGTTAGTTACTAAGCTAATCAGGGAGGCACCAGAGAAAGACGAGGCCCAATATAAGGAAATAAAAAAAAAAATACAAGAAGTGAAGGAAAAAATATTCAATGAATTAAATAGCTTAAATTAAAAAAAAGAAACCGCAAGAAACACTGGACATACTTATAGAAATGCAAAATGATCTGGAAAGTCTCAGCAATACAATTGAAGAAGTAGAATAGGGAAATTCAGAGCTTGAAGACAAGGTCTTTGAATTAATCCAGTCCAACAAAGACAAAGAAAAAAGAATATGAAAATATGAACAAAGCCTCCAGAAAGTTTGGGATAATGTTAAACAACCAAACCTAAGAATAACTGGCATTCCTGGGAAAAAGAGAAATCTAAAAGTTTGGAAAACATATTTAGGGGAATAATCAAGGAATTTTTCCCCAACCTACCTAGACAACTAGACATCTAAATGCAAGAAGCACAAAGAACGCATGGGAAATTCATTGAAAAAGATCATTACCTAGGCACATTGTCTTCAGGTTAACTAAAGTTAAGACAAAGGAAAGAATCTTAACAGCTGTGAGACAATAGCACCAGGTAACCTATCAGATTAAGAGCAGATTTCTCAGGTGAAACTCTACAAACTAGAACAGACTGGGGCCCTTTTTTAGCCTCCTCAAACTAAACAATTATCAGCCAAAATTTTGTATCCAGTGAAACTAAGCTCATATATGAAGAAAAGATACAGTCTTTTTCAGACAAACAAATTCTGAAATAATTCACCACTACCAAGCCAGCACTATAAGAACTGTTAAAAGCAGTTCTAAATCTTAAAGCACATCCTGGAAATACATCAAAAGAGAACCTTTTTAAAGCATAAATCACACAGGACCTATAAAACAAAAATACAAGTTGAAAAACAAAAACGAAAAAACCAAGATACATAGGCAACAAATAGCATGATGAATGTAATGGTTAGGTACCTCACACTCACTTACATTAAATGTAAATGGCCTAAATGCTCCATTTAAAAGATACAGAACTGCAGAGTGGATCAGAATTCACCAACCAACTTTTTGCTGCCTTCAAGAGGCTCACCTAACAACACGTAAGGACTCACATAAACTTCAGGTAAAGGAGTCTTGCTCTGTCAGCCAAGCTAGAGTGCAGTGGCATGATGTCAGCTCACTGCAACCTCTGTGCACCAGGTTCAAGCAATTCTCTTGCCTCAGCCTCCTGAGTAGCTGGGACTACAGGCACATGCTGCCACGCCAGGCTAATTTTTTGTATTTTAGTAGAGATGGGGCTTCGCTATGTTGCCCAGGCTGGCTGGTCTTGAACTTCTGAGCTCAGGCGACCCATCTGCTTTGGCCTCCCAAAGTGCTGGAATTACAGGTGTGAGCCGGGCCCAAAGTACCTATGCTTATATCAGAAAAAACAAGCTTTAAAGCAACAGCAGTTAAAAAAGACAAAGAGGGACATTACATAATGGTAAAAGGCCTTGTTCAACAGAAAAATATCACAATTCTAAAAATATATGCACCTAACACTGGAGCTCCTGAATTTATAGGACAATTACTAATAGACCTAAGAAATGAGATGGACAACAACACAATAGTAGTGGGGAACTTCAATACTCCACTGACAGTACTAGACAAGTCATCAAGATAAAAAGTCAACAAAGAAAAAATGGATTTAAACAATATCATGGAACAAGTGAGCTTAACAGATATTTACAGAACATTCCATCCAACAACCACAGAATACACATTCTATTGAACACTGCACAAAACTTTCTCCAAATTAGACCATATGATAGGCCACAAAAATGAGCCTCAATAAATTTAATAAAATTGAAATTACGTCAAGCACTCTCTGAGACTGTGGTGCAATAAAACTGGAAATCAACTCCAAAAGTAACCTTCAAAACCTTGCAAATACATGGAAATTAAAAAACTTTCTCCTGAATGATCACTGGGTCAAAAATGAAATCAAGATGGAAATTTAAAAAAAATCTTTAAACTGAACGACAATAGTGACACAACCTGTGAAAACTGTGTTCACAGCAGAATTCTAGCAGACATTCTAAGGAGAATTGGTATCAATCATTTTGACACTGTTCCAAAAGAGAGAAAGAGGAAACCCTTCCTAAATCATTCTGTCAAGCCAGCATCACTTAATACCGTAACCAGGAATGGACATAATGAAAAAAATCACTCCAGACCAATATCCCTGGTGAACATAGATGCTAATGTCCTTAACGAAACACTAGCTAACTGAATCCAACAACATCTCAAAAAGATAATCCACCATGATCAAGTGGATATCATACCAGGGATACAGGGATAGTTTAACATACTTAAGTCAATAAATGTGATATACCACATAAACAGAATTAAAAACAAACATCACGTGATCATCACAATAGATGCAGAAAAAGCATCTGACAAAATCCAGCATCCTTTTATGATAAAAACTCTAAGCAAAATTGGCATACAAGGGACATACCTCAATATAATGAAAGCTGTCTAGGACAGCCACAGAGCCAACATCATAATGAATGGGGAAAAGTTGAAAGCATTTCCTCTGAGAACAGGAAGAAGAAAAGGATTCCCCCTCTCACCACTCCTCTTCCACATTATACTGGAAGTCCTAAACAGAGCACTCAGACAAGAGAAAGAAATAAAGGGCATCCAAATCGATAAAGAGGAAGTCAACTGTCACTGTTTGCTGATGATATTATTGTTTACCTCTAAAACCCTAAAGATTCCTCTAGAAAGCTCCTAGAACTGATAAAATAATTCAGCAAAGTTTCTGGATACAAGATTAATGTAGACCAAACAGTAGCTCTTCTATACACCAAGAGCAACCAAGCAGAGAAGCAAATCAAGCCCTCAACCTCTTTTACAATTGCTGCAAATAAAATAAAATACTTACACATATACCTAACCAAGGAGGAGAAATATCTCTACAAGGAAAACTACAAAACATTACAGAAAGAAATCATAGATGACACAAACAAATGCAAACACATCCTATGCTCATGGATGGGTAGAATCAATGTTGTGAAAATGATCATACTGCCAAAAGCAATCTACAAATTCAATTCAATCTCCATCAAAATACCACCATCATTCTTCTCAGAATTAGAAAAAACTATTATAAAATTCATATGTAACCAAAAAAGAGCCCACATAGCCAAAGTAAGAATAAGCAAAAAGAACAAACCTGGAGGCATCACATTACTTGAATTCAAACTATACTGTAAGGACACAGTCACCAAAACAGCATGGTACTGGTATAAAAATAGGCACATAGACCAATGGAACAGAATAAATAACCCAGAAGTAAACCGTAATACTTACAGTCAACCGATCTTTGCCAAAGGAAACAAAAACATAATGTAGGGAAAAGATACCCTATTCAACAAATGGTGCTGGGATAATTGGCTTGTCTCGCATATAGGAGAATGAAACTGGATCCTCATCTCTCACTTAATACAAAAATCAACTGATTAAGGAATTAAACCTAAGACCTGAAACTATACAAATTCTAGAAGATAATGTTGAAAAAACCCTTCTAGACATTAGCTTAGGCAAGGATTTTATTGCCAAGAACCCAAAAGCAAATACAATAAAAACAAAGATAAATAGCTGGGACTTAATTAAATGAAAGAGCCTTTGCATGGCAAAAGGAACATTCAGCAGAGCAAACAGACAACCCATAGAGTGGGAGAAAATATTCACAATCTATAAATCTAACAAAGGACTAATATCCAGAATCTACCATGAACTCAAACAAATTCGCAAGAAAAAAAAACAACAAATAATCCCATCAAAAAGTGGGCTAAGGACATGAATAGATAATTTGCAAAAGAAGCTATACAAATGGTCAACCAACATATGAAAAAATGCTCAACATCACTAATGATCAGGGAAATGCAAATCAAAACCACAATGCTATACTACCTTACTCCTGCAAGAATGGCCATAATCAAAAAATCAAAAAGCAGTAGATGTTAGTGTGGATGCAGTGATCAGGGAGGACTTCTACATTGTTTGTGGGACTGTAAACTAGTACAACCACTATGAAAAACAGTGTGAGGATTCCTTAAAGAGCTAAAAGTAGAACTACCATTTGATCCAGCAATACCACTACTAGGTATCTACCCGGAGGAAAAGAAGTGATTGTACAAAATATACCTGCACATGGCATGTTTATAGCAGCACAACTCATAATTGCAAAATCACGGAACCAACCCAAACGCCCATCAATCAATGAGTGGATAAAGAAACTGTGATAGATAGATAGATAGATAGATAGATAGATAGATAGATAGATAGATAGACAGACAGACAGATAGATACAATGGAATACTACTCAGCCACAAAAAAGAATGAGCTAATGACATTTGCAGTGGCTTGGATGAGATTGGAGGCTATTATTCTAAATGAAGTAACTCAGGAATGGAAAACCAAACATCATACGTTCTCACTGATATGTGGGAGCTAAGCTATGAGGATGCAGAGGCATAAGAATGATGCAACACACTTTGGGGACTTGGGGAGATGAGCAGGAGGGGTGCGAGAGATAAACGACAACAAATAGGGTGCAGTGTATACTGCTAAGGAGATGGGTGCACCAAAATCTCACAAATCACCACCAAAGAACTTACTCATATAACCAAACACCACTTGTTTCCCAATAACTTATGGAAAAATAAAATAAAGTTTTCATCAAGGACAAACATGTATATAAGACATCATTTACATCAGATTATAATGGAGCTGAAAAATTCCTATCACCTAATGATGCTGGAACAATTTTAAAGTCATAGGACAATGAATTACTCACATGTTTGTGGTGATGTGGGTGTAAACAAATGTAATGTCATACTGTATAGTATGTATAATACATAACACATAGTAATGATAATGAATTAAAAACTATGCTTTTTTTCAAAGTACATATATTACCAGAAATTTACCCTTTAAATTTTTAAAAAATTGTTTTTAAGTCCTCAGGGAAAGTAAGCCTTCCAAATTTTACAACTTAACAGGAATGAGATTCACATTATTTGCTCAAAGTTGTAGAAGTTTGGAATAGGTAACATAGGTTATTTTGATTATAATACACAGTTCTTAAGTTTCTAGTAAAGATGTCTAGTGAAGCTGAATATCTACTGTGCCTATTAATCATTTGTTTCTTCTGGGTGCTCATCTGGTCACTCTCTTTGCCTTGAATATTGCGACAATAATGTTTCTTTCCTGAATCTTTATGAATGATTCATATAGCAGAAATCTTTATACTTTATTCATATTTGTGGCAATATTTTCCAAGGTTATTGTAATGCCATTTAAAAATAAAGTTTGCTGGCCAGGTGTGGTGGCTCATGCCTGTAATCCCAGCACTTTGGGAGGCCGAGGTGGGTGGATCACCAGGTCAGGAGATTGAGACCATCCTGGCTAACACAGTGAAACCCCGTCTCTACTAAAAATACAAAAACAAAATTAGCCGGGTGTGGTGGCAGGCGCCTGTAGTCCCAGCTACTTGGGAGGCAGAGGCAGGAGAACGGCCTGAACCCAGGAGGCAGAGCTTGCAGTGAGTCGAGATCACGCCACTGCACTACAGCCTGGGGGACAGAGTGAGACTCCATCTCAAAAATAAAAATAAAAAATAAAGATAATAATAAAGTTTGCTTTTCATTTTAAAAGAAACCAATAAGTTCCTTTTCAGAAACTCCACTAAAGGAATAAATAAAACAAGTATAAGCCCAAAAAGAAAAAGACAAACAGGAGAGAAGTCAAGAGGAACAGAATCTGAGAAGCTGGAAAGCAGATATTTGAGTAAAGTAGTAACTTATCTTTGAGACTAGAGAAAGGTGAACCCTAAATTTTCTTGATGGTAACAGTGAAAGGAGTTGGTGGTAGCCAAACAGCAAACTTAATTCTTACCATGGGATCTCAGATAGACTCAACAGGAGAATACAATAACCTAGCTGTAAATTCCAACCTAGTTCTTAAAAGAGCACATTCTAGATGTTTCAGGCCAGTTCCAAGATATAGGAGTCTGCTTCTCTGGGGAGCTGTAGGAGGTGGCAAATTACCAAAGCTATATTAACTTGGCTATTTACCCAAAAATCTCCTTTGCTGTTAACTATTTAGCTTTTAGTCTCTAGAATGTCGTAGAAATTTGCAGCCCTAAAATTATTGAATAACAATTATGTACAAGTTCTTCTTATCCTTTTTAAAAAGTTTTATGGAGAATAATTCATAAAGCATAAAATGTACTGATTTAAAATGTACAATTCAATTCAATGGTTTTAGTATATTGTATTCATGGGAGTTGTACAACTATAATTATAATCAGTTTTAGAACATTGCATCACCAAAAATGATATTCCATACTCATTAGCAATCACTTCCCATTACCCCCCAGGCACCTAGTGATATGCAACCTACAATGTACTATCAGCTTCTACAGGTTTGACTATTCTAACATTTCACAAAATGCGAGGATACAATCAATTAGTTTGTGACTGGCTTCTTTTACTTAGCTTAACGTTTTAAAGGTTTATTCATATTATACAATGTATGAGTACTTCATATTGCTGCATAATATTCTATGGTATTGAAATAACACATTTTAGGCCTGGCACAGTGGCTCACACCTGTAATCCCGCAGTTTGGGAGGCCAAGACAGATGGATCATGAGGTCAGGAGATTGAGAACATCCTGGTCAACGTGTGGATCACGAGGTCAGGAGATTGAGACCATCCTGGCCAACATCATGAAACCCTGTCACTACTAAAAATAGAAAAATTAGCTGGGCATGCCTGTAATCTCAGCTACGTGGAAGGCTGAGGCAGGCGAATGCCTGAACCAGGGAGTCAGAGGTTGCAGTGAACTAATATCATGCCACTGCATTCCAGCCTGGTGACAGAGCAAGACTCCATCTCAAAACAAAAAAGCAAGAAAAAAAGAAACAACATATTTTATCCATTTATCAGTTGACGAACATTTGGGTGATTTCACTTGCTGGCTATAATGAATAATACAATGATGAACAATTGTGTAAATATTTTGTGTGAATATATGTTTTCACTTCCCTAGGGTACATACTTAGGAGTGGAACTGCTGTGTCTATGTTAAAATTTTGTAGAATCAGAATCATAGATAGTTTGTCAAAGTAGTTGCACAATTTTATATTTCCATCAACAGTTTATGAGAGTTTTAACCTCTCCACACTCTTGGCAGCAATTGCTATAATCCAGAATGCAGCATCTTTTTAATTATAGTCAACCTAGTAGATAGAAGTGGTGTCTTACTGGGTTTTGATGAGCATTTTCCTGATGGCTGATGGCGTTGAGACTTTCTTGTGTGCTATTGTCCTTTAGTTAGAGAAATTTCTTTTCATTTTCATTATCTAGTTTTTAAATTATGTGATTTATCTTTTTATTATTGAATTGGAAGTGTTCTCTTTTTTTGTTTTTGTTTTTGTTTTTTTTGACACAGAGTCTCGCTCTGTCGCCCAGGCTGGAGTGCAGTAGAGCAATCTTGGCTTTCTGTAACCTCCACCTCCCCAGTTCTAGCAATTCTCATATCTCAGCCTTCTGAGTAGCTGGGATTACAGGCATGCATCACCATGCCTGGCTAATTTTTGTATTTTTAGTAGAGACTGGGTTTCACCATGTTGGCCAGGATGGTCTCAAACTGCTGACCTTGGGTGATCAGCCCATCTCGGCCATCCAAAGTGCTGGGTTTACAGGCATGAGCCACAATGCCTGGCCAAGTGTTCTCTCTTTTAAAAAAGACTCAAAATGACTTTTTACAGTGGATTTTTTATTTATTTCCATTGAATTCCATCCTTATGCCACTGCCACACTGTTTCAATTACTATGGCTTTATAGTAAGGTTGTTGCTGTTGTTGTTGTTTTGAGACAGAGTTTTGCTCTTGTTGCCCAGGCTGGAGTGCAATGGCATGGTCTCGGCTCACTGCATCCTCTGCCTCCCGGGTTCAAGCAAGTCTCCTGCCTCAGCCTCCCAAAGTAGCCGAGTTTATAGGTGCCTGAAGTAGCTAGGATTACAGGCATGCACAACCATGCTTGGCTAATTTTTTTTTTTTTTTTTTTTTTTGAGACAGTCTCGCTCTGTCACCCAGGCTGGAGTGCAGTAGTGTGATCTTGGCTCACTGCAACATCCTGCTCCTGGGTTCAAGTGATTCTCTGGCTTCATCCTCCTGAGTAGCTGGGAGTACAGGCATGCACCACCACACCTGGCTTTTTTATTTTTATTTTTTTAATTATTTTTTTTATTAGAGATGGAGTTTCACTGTGTAAGCCAGGATGGTCTTGATCTCCTGACTTCATGATCCACCCACCTTGGCCTTCCAAAGTGCTGGGATTACAGGTGTGAGCCACTGTACCCAGTCTTAATTTTTTGTATTTTTAGTCAACATGGGGTTTCACGATGTTGGCCAGGCTGGTCTGAAACTCCTGACCTCAGGCGATACACCCACCTCGGCCTCCCAAAGTGTTGGCATTACAGGCGTGAGCTACTGCACCTGGCCCTATAGTAAGTTTTACAGCTAGGTAGTATAAGTCCTTCAACTTTATTCTTTTTCAAGATGTCTCTGATTATTCTTGTACTGTGTGTAAATTGTAAGATCCATTTCTCAGTGCTGCAAAATATCCAATGAAAAGTTTAATCCGGATTGTGTTGAATCTGTAGATCAATTTGGGGAGTATTGCAATCATCATAGTATTAAATCTTACACTTCATAAATGAGAGATGTCATCTCATTTTTCTTGGCCTTCTATAATTTCTTATAAAAATATTCTGTCACTTTGAGAGTGTAAGTTTTGCACTTGTTAAATTTTTTTTTTTTTTTTTTTTTGAGACAGAGTCTTGCACCATCCCCCAGGCTGCAGTGCAGTGGCACAATCTTGGCTCACTGCAGCCTCTGTCTCCTGGGTTCAAGGGATTCTTCCACCTCAGCCTCCTGATTAGCTGGGATTACAGGCACATGCCACTACGCCTGGCTAATTTTTGTATTTTTAGTAGAGACGGGGTTTCACCATGTTGGCCAGGCTGGTCTCAAACTCCAGGGTGATCCAGTCACCTTGGCCTCCCAAAGTGTTGGGATTACAGGTGTGAACCATTGTGCCCAGCCCTAAAATTTTTTCTTAAGAATTCTTTTTCTTATTGATGCTATTGTGAATGAGACTGTTTCATTTATTTTTCAGATTGTTCCTTGGAGGTATAAAGAAATACAACTGATTTTTGTATGTTAGTCTACAACCTTAACAGAACTCATTTATTAGGACAGAGTTTTGGTGGTTGCTTCAAAGTTTACAAATTCATGATATACCAAATCATCTCACCCGTACATGTTGTTTTATTTCTTCTTTTCCAATATGAATGCCTTTTGCTCCTTCTTCCCTATTTGCTCTCATTAGGATCTCACTATGATGCTGAGGAAATAGCAAGCACAGATATTCTTGTCTTGCTGCTGATTTGAAAGAAAAATTATTCAGTCTTTCATCATTGTAGAGATATCACTCTGGGTTTTTCCTGTATGTCCTCCTGTTTCTAACTTCCTAATCTTTTTTTTTTTTTGGCCAAGAAAGATTGTTGGATTTTTGTCAAATTATTTATTATATATGTTATTATGATGTTTGATTTGTCCTTTATTTTATTGAAATGAATATTATGTTAGTTGATTTTCAGATGGTAAACCAACTTTTCATTCCTGGGATAACTCTTGTTTAGTCACGGTGCATGGGTTTTCTATTGCTTTTTTTTCTTTTTTTTTTTTGAGATGGAGTCTTACTCTGTTGCCCAGGCTGGTGTGCAGTGGCGTGATCTCGGCTCACTGCAAGCTCTGCTTCTGGGGTTCACACCATTCTCCTGCCTCAGCCTCCCGAGTAGCTGGGACTACAGGCACCCGCCACCACGTTCGGCTAATTTTTTTATATTTTCAGTAGAGACGGGGTTTCACCGTATTAGCCAGGATTGTCTCAATCTCCTGACCTGGTGATCCACCCGCCTTGGCCTCCCAAAGTTCTGGGATTACAGGCGTGAGCCACTGCGCCCTGCCTCCTATTGCTTTTTAACAAATTATCTTATGCATCATGGCTCAAAGTAGTATAAATTTACCATCCTACATTTCTTAGGTCAGAAATGTGACACAATATTTTTTCTTTTCTTTTCTTTTCTTTTTTTTTTTTTTGTTTTGATACAGGGTCTTGCTCTGTCACTCTGGCTGGAGTGCAGTGGTACGATCTCAGCTCACTGTAACCTCCTCCTAGGTTCAAAGTATTCTCCTGCCTCAGCTTCCTGAATATCTGGGATTACAGGTGCATACCTCCATGCCTGGCTAATTTTTGTTAGTAGATAGGGCTTCACCATGTTAGCCAGGCTGGTCTCGAACTCCTGACCTAAAGTGATCCGCCTGCCTTGGCATCCCAAAGTGCTGGGATTATAGGTGTGAGACACCTTGCCTGGCCCAATGACCCAGTTTTTAATGGGCTAAATTAAAGGCTATATTTCTTTTTAAGGTAAAGTCCTTGCCTTTCCCAATTTTAGAGGCCAATCACCTTCCTTGGCTTGCAGCCACCTTCCTCTATCTTCAAGGCTATTAGCTTCCCATTTCTCTGACCCTTCTATCATTGCTGCAGCTCTCTGACTGATGCTTTTATTTATGGCTAGTGTCCATTTCTATTATCTCATTATTAGATTAGACCACTTTAAACAATCCAAGATAATCTCAACTCAAGGTGCTAAACATCAATCATATCTGCAAAGTCCTTTTGCCATGTGAGGAAATATATTCTGATATGCCCAGTATTATAATGTAAACATATCTGGGGGACATTATTCTCTCTATTCTCATTATTCTCTCTATTAAAATTCCTTCTACCATAATTCTTTTTATATGTTGCTGGATTTGCTTTCCTGGTATTTTGTTGAAGATGTTATTGTAAATATTTATAAGAAATATTTTCCAGGCCCAGTGACTCTCACCTGTAATCTCAGCACTTTGGGAGGACAAGGCGGCAGAAGGCCTTGAAGTTTGAGACCAGACTGGCCAAGATGGTGAAACCCTATTTCTACTAAAAATACAAAAAATAGCTGGGTGTGGTGGTGCCAGCCTGTAGTCCCAGCTACTCGACTTGGGAAGCTGAAGCAGGAGAATTGTTTGAACCCAGGAGGTAAATGTTGCAGTGAGCTGAGATTGTGCTGCTATTGCACTCCAGCCTGGGTGACAGAGGGAGACTTTGTCTCAAAAAAAAAAAAGAAAGAAAGAAAAAAGAAATATTGGTCTGTTATTTTCTTTCCTTCTTTTCCTTTCTTTCCTTCCTCTGTCCCAATCTCCCTTCTTGCCTTATTTTTTTCATTCCTTATTCCTTCTGTTCCCCCAACCCTGCCTTCTTTTCATGTTTTTGGTTTTGATATCTTAAATGACTTCACAGAATGAGTTGCAAATTTCTCCTGCCAGTTCTACTTTTGGAAGAGTTTATAAAGAATTGGTATTAATTCTCTGAAGTTAGTAGAATTGGCTGGGCACGGTGGCTCTCACCTGTAATCTCAGCACTTTGGGAGGCCAAGACAGGTGGATCATGATGTCAGGAGTTCAAGACCAGCCTGACCAAGATGGAGAAACCCTGTCTCTACTAAAAACACAGAAATCAGCCAGGCGTGGTGGCAGGCCCCTGTAATCCCAGCTATTTGGGAGGCTGAGACACGGAATTGCTTGAACCTGGTAGGTGGAGGCGGAGGTGGCAGTGAGCTGAGATTGCACCACTGCACTCCAGCCTGGGCAACAGAGCAAGCCAGACTCCATTTCAAAAAAAGAAAAAATATATATATATAAAAAGAAAAAAGTTAGTAGAATTGAGAAGGAAGCTCATTCAGACCTGGTCTTTTCTTTGAGAGAAGTTTTTATGGTATTAATTCACTCTCTTATTACAGGGTTATTGCAATCTTCTTTTACATTTTGAATTAGTTTGGGAAGTTTGTGCCTTTTCAGGAATTTAAGCTACTGATTTTGTTAGCATGCAATTGTCCATAATATTCCTGTGTAATTAAAATTTTTCATTAAGTTTGGTTTCATTAAGTTTAATTTCTGATTTTAGAAACTTGATTCTTGTCACTTCTTTTCTTGGTCATTCTACCTAAATGTTTGTTCATTTTGTTAATTGTTCAAAGAATAAA
Organism: Homo sapiens; assembly: GCF_000001405.40. NCBI lineage: Eukaryota > Metazoa > Chordata > Mammalia > Primates > Hominidae > Homo > Homo sapiens. The sequence goes on from NC_000024.10 coordinate 12,657,087, forward strand.
CTTTTAGATTCATGGATGTTCTTTTTTTTATTATTATTATTATTTTATTTTTAGACAGAGTCTCACTCTGTCACCCAGGCTGGAGATTGCAGTGGTGCAATCTCAGCTCACTGCAAGCTCCACCTCCTGGGTTCAAGCCATTCTCCTGCCTCAGCCTCCCAAGCAGCTGGGACTACAGAAGCCCGCCACCATGCCCGGCTAATTTTTTGTATTTTTTTAGTATAGACGGGGTTACACTATGTTAGCCAGGATGGTCTCAATCTTCTGAGCTCGTGATCTGCTCGCCTTGGCCTCCCAAAGTGTTGGGATTACAGGCGTTAGCCACCACGCCCGGCTGATGTTCTCTGTTTTTCTATTCTTAATTTAGTTATTCGTGTTATTCTCTATGTTTTATTTTACTTTATTTTTATTGTTTTAGAGACAGGGTCTTGCTCTTTTGTCCAGGCTGCAGAGCAGTGTGCAATCATATCTCACTGCAGCCCCAATCCCCTAGGTTCAAGAGATCCTTCCACCTTCAGCAACCTGAGTAGTTGGGACTACAGGTGTGCACCAGGATGCCCACGTAATTTGTTTAAAAGAGTTTTGCAGAGAAGGAGTCTCACTGGTCTCAGAATGGTCTTAAACTCTTGGCCTAAAGTGATTCTCCTGCCTCAGCCTCTCAAAGCCCTGGGAGGCCTAGATGTTTTACAGTTTTCATTGCATATATCCTTGTTAATCTTATTCTAGTTGCTCTTAATATATTACTAAAAGTAGCATTAGAAATCTCCAACAATTATTGTTGAAGTGCCTATTTCTCAATTCAAGGGGTTCAAATACCACAAACTTGTGTTTTTTTCAGCTTTTGTAAATTCACTTTAATAAATGTTTCTCCACTTGCTGTATACCTTTAGAACTACTTCTAGAGATTTATTTTATTTTATTTTTTGAGAGTCTAACTCTTTTTGCCCAGGCTGGAGTTCAGCAGTGCAATCACTGCTCACACAACCTCTGCCTCCCGGGTTCAAGCTATTCTGGTGCCTCAGCCTCCTGAGTAGCTGGAATTACAGGTGTGTACCACCATGCCCAGCTACTTTTTGTATTTTAATAGAGACAGGGTTTCACTGGTCTGATCTCGAACTCCTGACCTCAAGTCATCTGCCCACCTTGGCCTCCCAAAGTGCTGGGATTTACAGGTGTGAGCCATCACGCCCAACCATTATTAATTTTGTTTTTTCATATAACTTTTACCAGTATGGCTGTTTTGCTGGGGATGGAGACTCCTCATGCCACCATTCTGAAAGTCCTTCCTTTCACCTATCTTACAATATGGGTTTAATAGTAAGAGATAAATATACTTCCCAAGGCTTTCCAGGTAGAACAAGAATGAAGTGGGTCATTTTGATTAAAATGTAATGTAATAGCACTTTTTCTCCTAAAAATACAGAACCAGAAAGTAAGGAAGTAATATTAATGTTAAATGCAGTAGTTATTGAAGAAAAGTATAAACAAAAGAAATGGGAAAAAAGCTCTGAACTTATAAACTTTAATTTGAAGTGTTTTACTCTACCATTTAATCTATTATTTTAACTCAGATGTCTTCCCCATTTCTTATGCCATTAATTGAATAGAAAGTGTCAAAATTCGAGACCCATGCTGAATTAAGGTGCTTGATGGGTAGCTCCTTAGAGCACAGGAAGAGAGTTGTTGGTGAGTTCAATTTGGTTGAATATTCCCCTCTGGCAACACTGGTGGAGATATAACTTTACACACTAAACCATATGAAATTATCAATGTTTATCAATTATCAATATTGGTTGCTTCTGACATACAAACAAACCCTGAAAGTTTATGATTCAAATAAACACAACCACTTTGGGAAACTATTTGACACTATCCATTGAAGATAAGCATATGTATACTTAAAAACTCTAGGAATTCCACTAATAGGCTTAGTACAAACAAGGACATATGTCTACCAAAATACATGGACTATAATTAATGACCCAAATGTCCATCAATAGTAATGAGACAGATATGTTCTGGTATTTTATATGTTATAGTACATAAATGAAGCTCTTGGATATAATATTGAGGAGGGAAACCAGAAACAAGTTTACTGCCACATGAATCTTTTTTTTTTTTTTTTGAGACGGAATCTCGCTCTGTTGCCAGGCTGGAGTGCAGTGGCGCTATCTCGATGCATGGCAAACTCCGCCTCATGAGTTCAAGCGATTCTCCTGCCTCAGCCTCCTGAGTAGCTGGGACTACAGGCGGCTGCCACCACACCCGGCTAATTTTGGTATTTTAGTAGAGATGGGCTTTCACCATGTTGGCCAGGATGATCTCAATCCCTTAACCTAGTGATCTGCCCGCCTTGGCCTCCCAACGTGCTGGGATTACAGGCGTAAGCCACCATACCCAGCCCACATGAAACTACTTATATAAATCAAAATCAGGTAATGATAGAAGTCAGAAGAGTTAACGGAAGGCGGGTGGTGGGGAGGCAAGGACTAGGAAGATACGGTTCTGACATGTTAGCAGTATTTGTTGGAAGAGACAGACTTCCATCAATCTTGCATTTCTTATATGCCTTCCTGGGTATGCCACAATGCAATATCCTGACAACACTTTATCTATGTTATTTTTCTTTTTCTTTTTTTTTTTTTTTTTGAGACAGAGTCTTGCTGTTGCCCAGGCTAGATTGCAACGGCACTATCTTGGCTCACTGCAACCTCTGCCTCCCGAGTTCAAGGGATTCTCCTGCCTCAGCTTCCTGAGTAGCTGAGATTACAGGTGCCCGTCATCTTGCCCAGCTAATTTTTGTATTTTTAGTATTGACAGGGTTTCATCATCTTGGCTAGGCTGGTCTCGAACTCCTGACCTCATGATCCACCTGCCTCAGCTTCCCAAAGTGCTGGGATTACAGATGTGAGCCACCACGCCCAGCCTATCTATGTTATTTCTTAGTAACCTAGACAGATAAGGTAATATCATTCTCTACTTTCCAACAGACAAAGAGCAAGCTTGCTTATTTTGCCTTAGTATAAACGTAGTAGAATTCCAAACTGTTCCTTATCTGCAATGCAAGGAACTGCATTGCACTGCTGTCTGACATATAAATATGTGGGCCCCTTTGCATCACTCGTACGTGATTTAGGAAGCACAGGTAGTCTGCAAACATGATGCTCATGCTGCTTGTTCTGTTACAAGTAGTAAAGGCCTTGATACTGCTTGTTTTTGCCTTTATAAAGTCTGCGGATCTTAGTCCCAAAATACTGTCTTTGGATCCACTAAATAGTAACAGGTGAATCTTATAGCTTTTGAGAAAGGTAAAATAAAATCCCAGATCCAACAGAGTTCTATATTAAAATGGTGGTAGTAACATCGGTAGACCTGTGTATTAGTGTATTATTACACAGTGTATTAGTATTTAGTGAAAATTGGGCTGTGATGTTTATAGGATGTATGTTATACAATAAAACCTTACCAGCAATAAAGAAAAAAATTAGCCTATGTCTGCATATCTATACCTATCAAGACTTCTTCAAAGGAGAAGTAAAGTTAGTAAGTATAAGGCAGGAATTAAGTTCTAGAGTATCTTTTGATTATGATTATTACATGGGGCGCAGATGTAGAGCACAAAGTGGGCTTTGTTAGGGGCTTAGAACACTTGCATTCTATTTTTTTTTTTTTTTTTTTTTGAGATGGAGTCTTGCTCTTTTCACGTTGGCTGGAGTGCAGTGGCACTGTCTGGGATCCCTGCAACCTCTGCCTCCCTGATTCAGGCAATTCTCCTGCTTCAGCCTCCTGAGTAGCTGGGATTACAGGTGCCTGCTCTGACAGCTGGCTAATTTTTTGTATTTTTAGAACAGACGGAGTTTCGCCATGTTAGCCAGGCTGTTATCAAACTCCTGACCTCAAGCGATCTGCCCATGTCGACTTCCCAAAGTGCTGGGATTACAGGACCGAGACACCGTGCCTGGCCAACACTTGTACTTCTTATCTTTGCTGGCTGATGATCTTGGGCAGTTAACTTATTTTTTCTAAAATTTTTTTATGGAAAACCAAGGATAGCAATACATGTATTAAGAACTTCATAAGATAGTAAGTTTTGCATGATATCTAATCCTAACAAATCTGCAATTTTGTATGTGTGTGCTAGGTGAGTACAAAAATGGACAAATAATACCAAGAGTCAATCTGCAACATATAAGAAATATCTTCAATCATGAGCAAGTGGGGCTCATAATGGGAATTCATGACTGATTTAATATGAAATATTAATCGATGTAATATACCATACTAACAGATTAAGGAACAAAGGCGAAATTACAACTGAATACATCTTGCAGGAGACAACAACTAGGCTTTTCTCCTATTCGTCCAGATAGATGGTCTGGCCCAGGATTCTACAGAAGCAGCTCTTCCAGTCACCCCAGGCAAGGGTCTCAGGATAGGGTAGGTTTACTTGCATGGCACACGATGCGAGAAGTGGTGGCCCCTTAAAAGCTGCTCTATGAATTCCCAGGCGCCGCAGCACGGTCTCAGGATCTCAGCATTCAGGCTCACTTTTCTATGTACTGTTCATCCTGAGAAAAACTTGAAAACTGGTGATGTTTTCATGCAGGCTGTTATCGGCCAGAGCAGAGATTAACGATGAAGTAAAAACCAGTAGTGCAAGTGGAACCGTCAGAGCAACATAGTTGGGACACAAAAGATTAATCCCTTAGCCATAGCACCTCGCCTGGCGTTGACTTCTTTCTTGACTATGCCATACACTCTGCGTCCTACCAGTTCACATCAGATTTGCAGTCTTACTAAACGCCTTTCGTACTCCCACCTGTCCAGTAATCAGCTGTTTCCACAAGCAGTTACAGAACTAAAAGCGATTAAGGACAGGAATTCTATAGCTGAAGGGGCAGCGGATAGCCAGTGCCGTCCTGGGCTATTTTTATTGTGTGGCCCTAGCTGCAGCTATCCCAGTGTTGGTGATGAATACGCTTCAGTCGGGACTGAGGTTTCCGTCTAGGGCACCAAGGTGTTGCCAGTTCCGCTGCTTCTGGGTATAGAAAGAGTAGAAAAGGGGAAGAAAAGTAGAAACAGCAACCGTTAGCAAAGAGAGGAAGACGTAAATCAGAGCAGGGGAGGCCCTAGGGGCGGGGCTTGGCGGGGGTGGGGTCTTGGAGGGTCGCAGGTCGCGGCGCTGGGGATGGTGGGAGCCTGCGCAGCTGGCTGGGCGGTCTCTTTCTCTCTCTCCTTTTTTTTTTTTTTTTTTTTTTTTTTTTGTCAGCCGGGTTCAATGCGCCATATTGAAGAGGACGGGTCTAATAGATCGCTGGAGACACAATTTAACTGAACCCCGCCCGTTGTGGACTGACTTTGATGCTCTGAGTCCCTCCCTCCTTCACGCCGCTAGCAGGCCCTGATGTAGATTGCCTTTGTCTTACTTGGGACGTTTACCTGAGCGCTTGGTGCTGGTGTCGGGACCGGGAGATAGGAGTGTCTCAGGAGAGACCTGGCCGAAAACCGCGAGAAAGAAAAGTGAAGCCTAGTGAAACTGCCTTTGCAGTGACTCAAGAAAAACTCATCACCTGGAGTCCGTGTAAGCTCGGCGACAGCCCTAGCAGCGAGGCCAAAACAGGTAAAGAGGGCTACTGAATGACAAAGAGGTAGCGGCATCGGTCACCTGTATAAAGAGATGGACGCTTCTTAGGCCAAATCCCGGTATTTGTGAGCAATGTCTTCCTCAGGCATGCAGGCCGCAGTCACGACCGCGTGCCTAGAAAGTACCTAATATCAAAATATTTTACAGATATTTTGTTGTCCGCCATTCCCAGGTGTAGGTCTGAGTCTAGTCTCTATTTCCCACTGTCGGGTGCCCTGATTACGTGGACCTGGCGCCTGTACCGTAAACCACCCGCGCCTCCGAATCACCGACAGACAGATGTGAGATAATGTCGGAGGCTCAGGGGATTCTGAGTATGTGCGTTTCTTCTTTTGCCCTACCGGGCTTGAGACTTCTTATTTCGGAGGGCTAGGGGCAGACGCGGGCGGAACTGCTGTGTGTGTATTTTGCACTGTAAGGAAAAATGGCCGCCTAGCCTCCCCCGCCTTCCCTATTTCTCGTAATGCCTAAGGTGAAGTGGGAGGATTAAATCTCTGGTTTCACAGGAAGAACCTCCTGTCTATGCCCGGGGCCTCACTCAGAGCCAGGGACTAACCGCTCCTGGTTACACACCTTGCCCCACGGTCCTTCACAGGCTCGAAACTGGCTCGTTGCACCAAATGCTCTTACCCAGGTGGAGTGATGAGGAACGGAGTTAGGCGTTAGCTGTCCTTAGTCATTAGGCCAGACTTCTTGTCCACCTCCCGCAATCAGCCCTCACCATCTGACCTGAGAGTCTGCACCAGGTTTTTGCCCTCTTACAGCCTTATACCTCCTCTTCCTCTCCGCTACTTTGCTAAACGCCAAGACGCAGTATGACGTATTTTAATGAACAATTCGGTTCCGATTTAGTTTGTATCAGATCTCCTTTCTGTTCTCTACAGAAACAACTTGTCTCTGTTAGTGGTTGAACCTGTTTTTGTGATAGCGCATTACGCATAATGTACTTTTTCGGTATCTCAAAATATTAACTTAGACTTATGGAGCAGATATTTTACTAATTTTTATGAAATTTTTTGCAAACTAGAAATTTACACAGGAATTTTAAACGTTTATATTAAGAATGTTATTTATAAAATTTGCGCATAAGTTTACTTAATTTGTACGCTGCCCGGTGTATCTTACTTGTTCAGAAGGTTTTTAAGTTTGAAAGATGTATACGTAACCCTTAACTATTAATGCTGGTTTTTTGTTTTTTGTTTTCTTTTTGAGACGGAGTTTCGCTCTTGTTGCCCTGGCAGGAGTGCAGTGGCGCGATCTCGGCTCACCACAACCTCCACCTCGCGGGTTCAAGCGATTCTTATGCCTTAGCCTCCGGAGTACCAGTGATTACAGGAATGCGCCACCACGTCGGGCTAATTTTGTATTTTTAGTAGAAACGTGGTTTCTCCATGTTGGTCAGGCTGGTCTCGAACTGCCGACCTCAGGTGATCTGCCCGCTTCGGTCTCCCAAAGGCCTGGGATTACAGGCGTGAGCCACCGTGCTCAGCCTGGTTTTTGTTTTTGTTTTTTTAAGGGGGGCATTCTCTTACTGGGCAACTCGTTCATCCTCTAAATCCACAAAACAAGATCACTGTTAAGAAGGAAATACAGGTTCTTTCACTACGAAACTTTCAAGACTTCTTTTCTTGGGGTTCATTCTCATTAGTAATTATCCGATAAACTAAGTACCAGATCATAAGGTACCACGGTTGTCTAAAACTATACCGTTAAACTTTAAAAATATACACCATAAACTTCTACATTTTTCTTAGTTTGCTGCTTTAATCACTGCCATTTTCGTCTCTGCAAATGCGCAATTGTTTAAAAGTGTAAGGATTTGTTTTTCAATTAGAAAACTCATTGATATGCTTTTAACTTTCTCGCTTCACATGCTTTTAACTTCTCGCTTCAAACTTTATTCTTACAGTTTGGGAAGAAAGAAAACCTAAAGTATTTGCCGTTGGTGATTCAAGGGTGAGTTGGGAGTATTTTTTATTTCACTGACTTGAAAATAAGATTGTGGGATTTTAATTATTTCTTGTTGCCGTTTTCTGTTAACGGTGATTGCGTGAATGTTTACTCTTGTCAATCTTGTCTTACTGTTACAATATTTCTTTTTGTCGGTTGGCTTTAGTAATATATATGACTGTGGGTCCGGGTGTGGTGGCTCACTCCTATAATCCCAGCACTTTGGGAGGCCCGGGCGGCTGGATTGCCTGAGGTGAGGAGTTCAAGACCAGCCTGGCCAACATGGTGAAACCCCGTCTCTACTAAAAATACAAAAAAAAAAAAAAATTAGCTTGGCGTGGTGGCGGGTGCTTGTAATCCCAGCTTCTCGGGAGACTGAGGCAGGAGAATCCCGTGAACCCGGGAGTTGGAGGTTGCTGTGAGCCGAGATCGCGCCACTGCACTCCAACCTGGGCAACAAGAGCAAAACTTCGTTTAAAAAAAAAAACAAAATATGTATATATGACTTTTCATCTACACTTGGAGAAAATTTTTATAATGACTACATAATGGCAAAAACATTGTATTTGAGAATCTACGTAATAAAGAAGTGATTTTTAACAGATTTTATTTAACTTATTGAGACCGTAAACCACCCGTGCCTCCCAGTCACAGACAGACAGATGTGAGATAATGTAGGAGGCTCAGGGGATTCTGAGTATGGACATTTCTTATTTTTGGGCTTTTGAATGGTTACCGTGGTTTGTCAATGAAAATGGAAAAGAAGGATTTCTTTTCCAGGCCAGGCACAGTGGCTCATTCCTGTCATCTTAGCAATTTGGGAAGCCGAGTCAGGCAGATCACCTGAGGTTAGGAGTTTGAGACCAGCTTGGCCAACATGGCAAAACCCTGTCTCTACTAAAAATACATACATTAGCTGGGCATGGTGGTGGGCGCCTGTGATCCCAGCTACTTGGGAAACTGAGGCAGGAGAACCACTTGAATTCAGGAAGCAGAGGTTGCAGTGAGCCGAGATCTGCGCCATTGCACTCCAGCCTGGGAGACAAAGCTGAGACTCTATCTCAAAAAAAGAAAAAGAAAAAAGAAGGATTTACTGTGGGTCTTTTTTTCTTCTCGGATGTTGAAATGCGTTTTCCAGTATCTAGCATTACGTATTTTAATGGATATCTTCTAATAGATTTTTTCATCAGATATTTATGAGGCAGCTTACAGTTTTAGAAAGTAGGTATTTGTCTCAACTTCAACATTCACTTCTTGGTTTGTTGCACAAATTAACACTTTGTTAGCTTTTTGTTGTTTTATAAGATTCGTTTTTAAACTACAGTAGACAGTTTTGTTTTAGCATTTTGATGTGGAAACCATCCTTTGCTTGAGTTAAAGATAATTATTTCAAATCTATGTTTTTTAAAAAATGTGCATTAAAGGATTGGTAGTCATTTTTGTGCAATAAACGAAATATTTTTTCTTATTGCATAAGTTAGTGTAATAGCTTTATTGAAGTATAATTTACATATTAAATGTTTCTTTTACATATACAACTTACTGGTTTCTAATACATTTACAGAGTTCTGAAACACTTCCAGTTTTAGAACATTTTCATCACTCCAGCACATCCTTGTTCCTTTTCAAGCCATTCCCCACTCATATCCTCAGCTCTTGGTAATCTGTAATCTTCTATATCTACAGATTTGCCTTTTTTGGATGTTTCACAAAAATTGAATCAAAATATGTAGTCTTTGTATCTCACATCTTCCACATAGATAATGTTTTTGAGATTTGCGTCTTCCATGTAGATAATGTTTTTGAGATTCATTCATGTTGTAATATGGATAAATACTGTGTCTTTTTTATACTAATGGTATATCATTATATGGGTGCAGTTTACCTGTTTACCAAGTGTACATTTGGTACACTTGTTTGCAGTTTGGGGTTTTTATAAGTGAAGTTGCTAGGAACATTAATGTACACAAGGCTTTATGTGTGAACAATTAGGGTTTTTGTTTCTTTGTTACATTTTAAGGACTTTAAGAACAATTACAGGGTGGGGCACAGTGGCTCATGCCTGTAATCCTAGCACTTTGGGAGGCCAAGGCGGGTGGATCACCTGAGGTCAGGAGTTCGAGACCAGCCTAGCCAATATGGTGAAACCCCGTCTATACTAAAAATACAAAAAATAACTGGGCATGGTGGTGTGTGCCCATAGTCCCAGCTACTTGGAGGCTGAGGCAGAATCCTTGGGAGCCAGGAGGCAGAATCCCTTGAACCCAGGAGGCAGAAGTTGTAATGAGCAGAGATCTCACCACTGCACTCCAGCCTGGGCAACAGAGCAAGACTCTGTCTCAAAAAAAAGAAAAGAACAATTGTATCTTGGGGAGGTATGTAGTAACAAAATTACTTATTGTATTGTAAGTTTATATTTAACTTAAGCAATTGCCAAATTGTTTTCCAAGGTGTCTGCACCATTTTACATTCATACCAGCTGTTTTGGTATACTCTTTCCATTGGGTGTGCAGTGGTATCTTATTAGTGGTATCTTATTTTGCATTTTCCTAATGGCTAACAAATGTTGAACATCTTCTCATGTGCTCATTTTCTGATTGTGTTTCTTTAGAGAATATTCAGACTTGCCCATTAAAATTTATTGTTTGTTTTAAATTGACCTGTAAAAGCTCTTTGTTTGGCTATGTCTTTTTTTCCTTTCCTTCCTTTTTTTAATGTGTGTGTGTGAGACAGACTCTGCTATCAAGGCTGAAGTGCAATGGCACACTCTCGGCTCACTGTAAACTCCATACCCCAGGCTCAAGTGATCTTCCTACCTGAGCCTTTCGAGTAGCTTGGACTGCTTGCCACCAGGCCCAGCTAATTTTTGTACTTTGTTTTTTTTTTTGAGACAGAGTCTCTCTCTGTTGCCGAGGCTGGAGTGCAGTTGTGCGATCTCGGCTCACTGCAGCCTCCACCTCCTGGGTTCAAGCAATTCTTCTGCCCCAGCCTCCTGAGTAGCTGGGATTACAGGCACAGGCCACCATGCCCAGGTAATTTTTTGTATCTTTAATAGAGATGGGGTTTCACCATGTTGGTGAGACTGGTAACTTTTGTACTTTTTTGTGGAGATGGGGTTTCACCTTGGTGCCGAAGGTGGTCTCAAACTCCTGGGCTCAAATGATTTGCCCGCCTTGGACTCCCGAAGTGCTGAGATTGTAGGTGTGAGCCACTGCGCTGGCATAGATAATATCTTCTGTCAGACATATGATATGCAAATATTTTGTCCTAGTCTGCAGCTTATCTTCACTTTCTTAATGACATATTTTGAAGCACAAAAGCTTTTTGTTTTGTTTTGTTTTATTGCTTGTGCTTTTTATGTTCTAGCTAGGAAATCTTTTCCTAACTGAAAGTTATTGATGAAGAGTCACACTCCGTAAAATACTTGAAGGGATTTATTCTGAGCCAAGTATGAGGGACCAGTGGCCCATGACCCAGCACTCAGGAGACCCTGAGAACATGTGTCCAAGGTGGTCTGGGCACAGCCTAGCTTTATACATTTTACAGAGGCATGAGATATCCATCAAATACATATGTGGAAGATGTACATTGCTTCGGCCCAGAAAGTTGAGACAGCTGAAAGCTGGGGCTCCCAGGTTACTGGTAGAGTTAAAGTTTCTCTGATTGGTAGGTTGACAGTTAAGTTATTACCTAAATACCTAGAGTCAATAGAAGAGAACGTCTGGGTTATAATGATGAGGGATTGTGAAGACCAAAGTTCTCTTATGCAAGTGAAGCCTCCAGGTAGCGGGCTTCAGAAAAAATGGATTGTAAGATTGTAAATGTTTCTCATCAGAAAAATAGTCTATTGTATTAGTAATTCCAAAAGAGAGGAGCATATAATGAGGTATGTCCGTACTCTTCTCCGCATCACAACCTGAACCAGCCCCCCTCAGGTTAGTCTTGGAATGTCCTTGCCAAAAGGAAGGGTCCATTCAGATGGTTGGAGGGCTTAGAATTTTATTTTTGGTTTACATTCTCCCCCTTTAGGCCAAGATTTGCCAGAGGCAACATCAGTGGCCACCAAATTTTTATTCCATCCCATAAAGTTGGGACAGATGAACCCAGTGTGGCCTGGGTGTCTGGTCTGGGTTCATCTTGTCCCCCTTCGTGGGGACTCACCACCATTCCTCTATTGCCAGGGAACTGACAGTGAAAAGACTTATAGCCAGTTGAATATTTAGACAAAAAAAGAATGGATATAGACACACATTCATTACCCTGAGATTTTTTTTTTTTATTTGAGAGAGAGTCTCACTCTATCGCCCAGACTGGAATGCAGTGGGGTGGTCTCAGCTTGGTGCATCCTCTGCCTCCTGGGTTCAAGCGATTCTCCTGCCTCAGCCTCCTGAGTAGCTGGGACTATAGGAGTGTGCTACCACACCCAGCTAATTTTTTGTGTGTTTTGAGTACAGACAGTTTCACCCTGTTGGCCAGTCTGGTGTTAAACCCCTGACCTTGTGGTCTGCCCACCCTGGCCTCACAAAGTGCTGGGATTACAGGCGTGAGCCACTGTGCCGGCCACATTGTTTTTTGTTTGTTTGTTTTTTGTTTTTTAGTAAGTAAAAAGTCAACCAGCAAAAAGTCAAAGGTGAGGTTACAAAACTGACTTACCTTTAATTTCTATGCGTTCTGCTACTAATCATATAGTTTTAGTTACAGAATTACAGCAATTACCTATTCAAAAATGAGCATTGTTCTGAAAAAAAATTTTAAAAATGTATTATCTAGATGTACAACTTATAGCTGGGAGGCTTTGTCATGAGGTATCTTTACCCTCTCAGTAATTGTTTTCTTTTAGTTTTATGAAAAGCAGAAAATACTTTATGGTTAGAATGCGTGAAAAGGCGCCACATGATAGCTTAGAGGGCAAAGTCCCTTGTTTACTAGCTGTGGAGGCATTTGTTTACCTCTGGTTACTTTGGCGGGTATGACCTAATTCTGCCCCTTAAAACCAGTCCTTAGAATCTCATGTGCCCACCGCTTTGGCAGTCGCTGGGCCTAGAAAGAGGGTGCTTGGATAGTCCTAGCAGCAGGACATTTGCAGAGAAAAACAGTCTAGGCCCAGTAGATGCCAAATGAGGGAAATTGGCATCTCTAGTCTTCAGGAGACCATGAATCTGGTTTCTTTGGAAGTAAAATAAGGAGAGATACATAACGTTAGTATTTTGACAATCAAAAGAGTATTTGCATGTCAGAACGAAAAAAGAACCTATTCCATTAGGGCACCAACTAACAATATGAAAACAAATTATAATCTGGTAATCTTTAGAGGATTATTGTACCCAAGAAATAACTCATGCTCTATTCTGCAATTAAAAACAGAAGTCAGGGCTGAAATCTAGTAACATGCTAAACTTTTCCTTTGAAACAGTTTCTCTCTCCAGCACTCCTTTTCCATTATAGAGGAATTACAGTAAGACCAATTCATGTGCAAAATAAGTGTTAGGCTTATTGTACTTGGCCTGATTGTTTGCATAATGTGCAGCAAGCATTGATTGCCCATATAGGCTCCTTTTAAGTTGGCTTTGCTGGAACTTTACCTAAAAATATGTTAGTCTAGTCAAAGTCTTGGTGAAGTAACTAGTGATTCAAGCTGTCTCATTTTAAGAGAAAAGACTCTTAATAAACTTAGGCAAATAACTGCATTACCATAAAATCAGTTTCTGAATTCTGGAGAACTCGAAGTGAAAGGGAAATTTCCTTATAAGAACATACTTTACCCAAATGTTTTAAACCGTAAATAATCTAAAAAAGCATACTTCCTTGACTCTTCTTTAACCAGAGCAGCAGCCTTACAAAACAAGATTGTATTTGTGTACCTTGGAACTGCTACTCACATGCTAAGCAGCTCTTGTCAGATGAGAGCTGTCAGGCATTGTACAATCTGGGAGCTCTTCACATGATTAGAGTAAGTCCTAAGGAAGAAGGAGGCTCCCTGCTCATGAGTATCTCCTCCTTGTATTTTCCAGGTAGCAATATTCTATGTAAAGCATTATTAATTTATCATGAAACTTTTGGGCAACATTATTTCCATTAGCATGGGGGAAGCTTCAGTTAACAACCCATAGCAAGGCAGTTACTGCTCCTCAAGTGGAAATGTTCTACTTCAGGTATTCTCATTGGGAAGTAGTCACAGGCTTATGGTAGAAGCCCCAGTAAATGCTCTGCAAAGGCTGTGAAGTGGAGGATTTGTTCTATCACTGCAGCTTCTACCTTACATTCTGTGGGCTCAGGCAGTCTTACTGGTTCCTATTTAGCATGTCCACTTTAATTAACATTTCTCAAAGGGCAGATTTACGTGCCTTCCGTTGTTGTTGTTTTTCCTTTAATTTGCTCAGGTTGAATACCTGCCTTCAGTAAAGCTGAAGACACTAGTTAGGGGAAACATCCTTGCGTCAGGTACATTGGTACCCATTTTCATAACACGTTTAGGTAAAGGAGTCACAGCTACTTTATAGAAAGCCTGTTTAAACACTCAGGTTTCATAATCTTTACATTTTTTATGTTCTGGTCTGAGGAATCTTTCTTTTCTACTCCCAGACCATTTTACCTTTTCTGGTAAAAAAGAATTTGGGTTTCCAGTAGGGGATCCAGCCAAGGGACACAGGCTGTTTTGTCAATCTTTATCTTTATCTTTTTTTTATTTTTGAGACGCAGTCTCACTCTGCTGCCCAGAGTGGCAGGATCTTGGCTCACTGCAAGCTCTGCCTCCTGGGTTCACGCCATTCTCCGGCCTCAGCCTCCCAAGTAGCTGGGACAACAGGCGCCCGCCACCACGCCCGGCTAATTTTTTTGTATTTTTAGTAGAGACGAGGTTTCACCGTGTTAGCCAGGATGGTCTCGATCTCCTGACCTCGTGATCCACCCGCCTCGGCCTCCCAAAGTGCTGGGATTACAGGCGTGAGCCGCCGTGCCCGGCCCAATCTTTATCTTAATTGACTTAAGCATTGCTCCAGGCAGTGCCACCTTTTTCATTATGCTTTACCTTTTGATTTTTCTTAACTTTCCCTAATATGGTGCAAATAGTAGAAAACTACCTTTTGGTGTTTTTTAATGTTGGGGGACTAGCAGGGGTTCCCTTTGGTCCACGCAACCTTTGATAGTATGTAAATTCCTTTGTTTTTGACCCTATCAATTTTCATTTTATTTATTAATAACCATTTAAAGATTTATGTAACCCTTCTGGGGCAAGTCCTTTGATTTTCTTTCCCTTTTCCATTTTGTTGTTAATTATCCTAATGTTTTAGTAAGCATCTTTAGGACTCAGGAGAGGCAACAAATTTAATAAGGCTTCTGAAATAGTTGTATGATTCTGCAAGAGGAATGCCACATGAGGTGCCCATGTAAAAGGGGCCTTCTTAACCCCAGCATTTAGTATGACCTAGGTAATAGGCATATTCAGTGGGAAAATATCTGGTCATCATAAGGCCAAACCCATAGGCTTCCATGTGAAGCACATCAACTGCTTCATCTGGGTGCTCCACTTGGCATTTTATTGGAGAGAATTGGACAGTCCCTTTCTCAGGGTCAACGGACCTTACAGTGGCCATTTATCAAGTCCAGTAAGCTGGTTGTTATTTTAGAAAAAGTCTTCTGTGCCTTTGGATTGCATATACTCATCAGTGATTGTTTAATAATGAGCTTTGTGTCCAGCATCAACCCATTTACAATTAAGGATTCTGTCTTTAAAATTATTTTTACAATCTATTATACTAAAAATTTTTCATGAAGCTGATAATATCAAACTGCAAATTAGAATAATTTCTTTATATTCCACCCTTTGGATTTGGTAGTTGATTTTGCCCTTCCCCTGTATTTATGATGTTTTTGGTAAAATAGTACATTTTTTCCTACTATTTTAACTCTTAGAAACCCAAATTCCTAGTGAGAAAACCTATGTAATTTAACATAACATCGCTTTTAAAATTTTAAACTAGTGAAGAGGATTTTCAGATTAAATTTGTCAAAGATAACCAAGATGATGTGAATTAAAAGGCATTTCAGCTAGCTTCTTTTAGTCTGATAAGCATTCTTCTTATTCTTCTTTTCTTTTTTTTTTTTTTTTTTTTTTGAGACACAGTTGTACTCTGCCGCCCAGGCTAGAGTGCAGTGGCATGATCTCTGTTCACTGCAGCCTCTGCCTTCTGGGTTCAAGTGGTTCTCTTGCCTCAGCCTCCTGAGTAGCTGGGATAACAGGCCTGCACCACCACACCCAGCTAATTTTTTTTTTTTTTTTTTGAGACAGTGTCTCACTCTGTGGCCCAGGCCGGAGAGCAGTTGTGCGATCTCAGCTCACTGCAGGCTCCGCCTCCTAGGTTCACACCATTCTCCTGCCTCAGCCTCCCGAGTACAGGCACCCGCCACCATTGCTGGCTAATTTTTTTGTATTTTTACTGGAGATGGGGTTTCAGCGTGTTAGCCAGGATGGTCTTGATCTCCTGACCTCATGATCTGCCTGCCTCGGCCTCCCAAAGTGCTGGGATTACAGGCATGAGCCACCACGCCTGGCCTAATTTTTGTATTTTTAGTAGAAATGGGGTTTCACCATGTTGATCAGGCTGGTTTGAAACTCCTGACCTTGTGATCGCCTGCCTTGGCCTCACAGAGTGCTGAGATTACAGGCATTTGCCACCATGCCTGACTAAGCACTTTTCTTTAAGCCAGTTGACTAGAGCTCTTTTATTTAGTTTGGTAGTGAAAAATCACTTCCACATGACACATAAACATATAGACATAACAGACATAATGCACATACAGACAAAAGGCAGGTCCAAAAGATTTATTTGCCTGTTTTCAAAACTTCTGTCTCTTACTTTAGAATATAAATTTAAAAGGTTACGGGAGCCAACAAAAGGTGAAGGAGAGTTACCATCCCAGGACTTTTTTTTTTTTTTTTTTGAGATAGAGTTTCATTCTTGTTGCCCAGTCTGGAATGCAATGGTGCGATCTTGATTTACTGCAACCTCTGCCTCCCGGGTTCAAGTGATTCTCCTGCCTCAGCCTCCCAAGTACCTGGGATTACAGGCATGTGCCACTTTGCTCAGCTAATTTTTGTGTTTTCAGTAGAGACAGGGTTTCACCATGTTGGCCAGTCTGGTCTTGAACTCCTGACCTGAAGTAATCTGCCTGCTTCGGCCTCCCAAAGTGTTGGAATTACAGGCGTGAGCCACCGCACTGAGATTGTCTCAGGCCTTTTCAAAAGAAAGATCTGAAATTCTGAGATATCAATCTAGGAATTTCAAAAGAAACAGATTATAGAATTTAAAACTTAACACCTTCTTGTATTAAGAGAAGTCAACATTTTAAATAAAACCTTGTTCTTACCAGTTCTTTAGTTTTTCATTAGTGTATTTCTAATAAGTTCAATTTCTAGAGAGAATGTTACAGTTTTTTTAAATACAGCCAACTTTATTATGTAACTTAAAAAAATTTTTTTACTAACCTTTTTACAAATTATATCAATCATTCATTACATGCTTGGACTTTCTGGTTTGTTCTAAATATCTCTGTTTCTTGAACAACCAGTTACCTTATTTTAGGACAAAAAATTTACCACACAAGATTCTTTTTTATATTTCATTACTTTTCTTTTAACCTCTCTTTAAAAAACACAAAACTATTTCTGTAACTTTCTTTACATCTGTCTTATTTCCTGGTTCCTTTTTTGTATACCCACTAAATAAGATTTGCATTAGACAAAAATATTTACCATTAAATAAGAAAACAATTTTTTTTTTTTGAGATTGAGTCTCCCTGGGTCGCCCAGGATGGAGTGCAGTGGCATGATCTTGGTTCACTGCAACCTCTGCCTGCTGGGTTCAGGCGATTCTCCTGCCTCAGCCTCCTGAGTAGCTGGGACTACAGGCGCCTGCCACCATGCCTGGCTAATTTTTGTATTTTTAGTAGAGACGGGGTTTCACCGTGTTAACCAGGATGGTTTCGATCTCCTGACCTCGTGATCCACCCGCCTTGGCCTTCCAAAGTGCTGGGATTACAGGCGTGAGCCACTGCGCCTGGCCGAAAACAATTTTTAAAGACATCTTCTTACAATTTTTAAATTGGAAATTACCCAGAAATTTAATATGTATTATTTAATATAACCATACATTCTAATTATATGACAAATTTGTTTACAAGCATTTATTCCATTATATTTACCTGATTATTTAATAAGGATAGTCATTATTTAAGGTTATTTCCCTGTTAATATTTTTATGGCCTATGAATTTCAGGTGCATATCTAAGTAAGAAACTTAAGTTTAAATATATGAACAACACATGATTTACTTGTTTTCATTAAACCAAAAATCTTAAATATCTTATTTGTCAAAAATTATACAAAGTTCATTCTGTTTTGGGCTGGGTTTATAGTTTTATGACCCTTCTGACAAATTTTAACACCTTACAAGATTTGGCAAGAATAAGTATGAAACCTCTTAATCAATAAATGTAAACAAAACATGTGCTGACAGTTCTTAAGATATTTCTAATACTATTTTACTTGTACTTTTAAAGCTAACGTATTTATTAAGATTTTTACTTCAGTCACATGAACTTGAAAAGCATTTAGGCTTACTATTTAACTTTAAGCTGATTTGGTACTTTGTGACCAAAACACTGAACAAACTACATGTATGTACACATAAACACACAACTACACACTCAATCAAACAAATATCCTGTAACTTTTACTTAGAAAAGTAACAGCAGATTTAAAGCAGGTGGAAAAGAAAATAGAGAAATAGAGAATTTTTTCTTAATGTAATTTGTCCCTCAGTTAAAATGTTCAAATAGAGGCTCCATGGTTTTTTCGTCATTCTTAGATGTTTCCCACATTTAGGTTGTTTCCCATTCTTAGATTATATGTTTCCACTTAAAAGGACCAACTGAGCTGTGGCCTAGGGTTTAGTGTAATGGATTGGAGTGTGCTGGTTATGAGCAGGACTCCACAGCATGTCACCACTGAATTATTTCCGCCCTCTTAAGTGTCTCATTCTGTGTCTCTGTTTCCCTCTCTGGAAGTCTAGTACCTCTGAGTGCTGAGAACACTGGCTGATCAGCCTTTATATGCATTTCTTGCAAAAGCTATATATATATATATGTGTGTATATATATATATATATATATGTATATATATATATGTGTGTGTGTGTGTATATATATATATATATATATATTTTTTTTTTTTTTTTTTTTTTTTTTTGAGACAGAATCTCGCTCTGTTGCCCAGGCTGGAATGCAGTGGTGTGATCTCTGCTCACTGCATCCTTCACCTCCCGGGTTCAAACAAAAAAGCCTATATTTTTATTTATTTATTTATTTATTTATTTATTTATTTGAGACAGAGTTTCACTCTTGTTGCTCTGGCTGTAGTGCAGTTGGCACCATCTCGGCTCACTGCAATCTCCGCCTCCCAGGTTCAAGTAATTCTCCCGCCTCAGCCTCCTGAGTAGCTGGGATTACAGGCATGCATCACCACATCCACCCAATTTTTTTGTATTTTTAGTAGAGATGGGGTTTCACCATGTTGGCCAGGCTAGTCTCAAACTCCTGTCCTTAGGTAGTCCGCCCGCCTCAGCCTCCCAAAGTACTGGGATTACAAGCATTAGCCACCATGCCCAGCCAAAGCCTATATTTTTAAAAAAGTAATTTTTGTTGGGGGTGCCCTGTAAGGCCACTGCATGTCACGGGAGGTCAGTACCCCAGACATTCCCACTTGATCCGCAGTCACTCAAGGGCACCTTTGAGTTGGGAGGAACAAAATGCTGTTTTCCTTTAGAGCTGAGGAAACTCAGTCTCTCATTTATCTATGAAAATGACACTTCAGTTTCTCATACAAATGCTCATTCAAACCACCTGAGATTAATTTTGGGAGAAAAAGCAATGGAGAAGACCCTTTAGAATGTATTTCTGAACTAGAAACCAGTTGAGGAGCCCAAATTGTTCTCCCTGTCTTTAGAAAAAGGAAATGGAAAAGACCCTTTAGATTACACCTCCAAACTAGAATGAGGATCCTACACAACAGTTTCCTAGGAAGAAACAAATAAACACAAAAACAGAATACATCAAGGACTGTCAATCAAAGGGAGGCTGGTGGGCTCAGGAGCACATACCAGTTCCACCAGAGGAGAAGCTTAAAATTGGAGAGGCTTTCAGGCTGGGCACGGGGGCTCACGCCTGTAATCCCAGCACTTTGGGAGGCTGAGGTGGGCAGATCAGGAGGGAGGTCGGGAGTTCAAGACCAGCCTGGCCAACATAGTGAAATGCCGTCTCTACTAAAATAACAAAAAATTACCCGGACAAGGAGGCAGGTGCCTGTAATACCAGCTACGTGGGACGCTGAGGCAGGAGAGTAGCTTGAACCTGGGAGGCAGAGGTTGCCATGAGCGGAGATTGCACCTGGGTGACAATGCAAGACTCTGTCTCAAATAAAAAAAAGAAAAAAGAAATTGGAGATGTTTTCAATGAGCCGCTGCTGGTGCCTTTAGCTCTAAGTTTGGGCAACTCCTTTGTGGTCCAGAGTGTTCTCTGATGCCCCATGTTGGGCACCAAATTATTGTCAACGAAAAAAGTCAAACTCTTTAAAATATTTGAAGAGACTTATTCTCAACCAACTGTGAGTGACAAATGGCCTGTGACACAGCCCTCAGGAGATTCTGAGAACATGTGCCCAAGATGATCAGGGCACAGATTAGTTTTTGTTTTGTTTTGTTTTTGTTTTTGAGACAGGGTTTCACTCTTGTAACCCAGGTTGGAGTGCAATGGCGTGATCTCAGCTCACCGCAACCTCTGCCTCCCAGGTTCAAGCAATTCTCCTGCCTCGGCCTCCTGAGTATCAGGGATTATAGGCATGTGCCACCATGCCTGGCTAATTTTGTATTTTTAGTAGAGATGGGGTTTCTCCATGTTGGTCAAGCTGGTCTCGAACTCCCAACCTCAAGTGATCTGCCTGTCTCGGCCTCCCAAAATGCTGGGATTACAGATGTAAGCCACCATGCCCGGCCGGCGCAGATTAGTTTTATACATTTTAGGGAGACATGAGATATCAATCAAACACGTTTGTAAGATGTAGGTTGCTTTGGTCCAGAAAGCCTGGATGGCTTGAAGCCAGGGCTTACAGGTTGTTGGTAGATTTAAACATTTTCTGATTGGCAGTTGGTTGACAGAATTAAGTTATTATCTAAGGACCTAGAATCAGTAGAAAGGAATGTCTGGGTTATGATGCTGAGGAGTTGTGGAGACCAAAGTGATGCAGGAGTTTTCTCTCCTTAGCTAAGCTAGGTTTGGTTTCTTGTCTCATGACCAGGAAAAATTAGGCATGTGGACACTCACAGAGTGAGTGGAGTAGAATTTATTAAGCAAAAGGAAAGCTTTCAGCAAAGAGAAGGGTCCTGAAAGCAGGTTCCTGATTTCACCCTTTACAGTTTAATACAAGGGATTTTACATACAGACATATAAGCTGATAGTCCTGGTTTCCCTATTTGTTTTAAGGTGCCATTCCTGGTGGCTCTACCTCCTTCCCCCAGTGCCCATATGGGCCCTTAGTCTGCTGTAGGCATGCTCAGGCAAGCCCTTGAGCAAATTCCCTTAATCTGCACGAAACATGGGCTGGAGATTCAGTGGGACCCTTTCTTTAGTGTCTGCCTAATGCAAGCTGGCTAACTCCTTTCAAAAGTTTTGTCTTGCTGATGAAGCCTCCAGGTAGTAGGCTTCAGAGAGAATAGATTGCAAATGTTTCTCATCAGACTTAAAGACGGTTTTATTAATAATTCTGAAAGGGAGGAGCCTGTAATGAGGCATGTCTTTCCTTTGCCCTGCACCATGGCTTGAACCAGTCACTCAGGGTAACCCTGGAATGTCCTTGCTAAGAGGAGACATCCATTCAGATGGTTGAAGGGCTTAGAATTTTATTTTTGGTGTACAAGGTCACAAAGATTTACTCATTTTTTTCTCTAAGGATTTTATATTTATAGTACTTACATTTGACATACAATGTTGTGGGTTAATATTTGTATGTCGTGTGAGGTACACATTCAGATTCATTCTCTTGCATATAGATAATTGTCTTAATATCATTTGTTGAAATGACTTTGCTTTCTTCATTGAAAGGTATTAGTACCTTTGTCGAAAATCATTTTGTATAAATGTAACACCTTACTTCTGTTCTTCTAGTTCTGTGCTGTTGATCTGTAAGTCTGCCCGTTTGTCAGCAATGGGCAAATTAATTTTTATTCTAAATAGGAGCAACTCTTCTTTAATTTTTTTTCCCAATTGTAGTTAAATACACATAACATAGACTATACCATCTTAGCTCTCTGTAAGTGTACAGTTCAGTGGTATTAAGTATATTCACATTATTATGCATCTGTAATGATAGTTAACCATTTTTTGGTAGCCTTAATTACATTTTGGCTCTTATATTCTCTATTTCAGTAATTGAGAAATAGATTTTTATCTTCTCTTTGGTTCTCTTAAGTACTGTGTTCTTGAAAACTACTATTTAAAATTGTTTTTGCATGTCTGGCATTAATATTTGGGTACAGGTTAATGCAGGGCTTTTTCTGAACCCCAGCTACACAATAGAGTCATTTGAAAGAGTGTTATCATGTCCTTCATACTTCTCCCTCCCCCATTCTCATTTGATTGGTCTGAGACCTAGAAAAAGTTCTATTTAAAAGAACTGCTGAACAACAAAGAATTACTTGGTTATTGTTTCTGAGCATGAATAAACCTTTTAAATGAACAAGAAAATTATTTTTTTAATTAATAGTTTTTATATAGCAACAGTTGTCATTTGAATGTTAATTATGCTAGTACTGGGTAAGCATTTAGTATTCAGCATCTGAAACTCTTATTTCCATACACATAGGCTCAACTAGTGGGTATTCCAACTCCTGTTATGCCTGTTATTGACAAAGTGTATTATAATTTAATGTACTGATTTTACATGCTTTTTCTTCTTAAACAAAGAAACTTGATTTTCTTTATGTAACAGAGTTGCCTGAGGTTTGATTAAAATTTTTTGATTGTAATTTTGTTTTAGAAATTATAAAAATGGTCTGTTCTTTGAGAAATGTCTTGATTAGCCACAGAGATGTTAAAACTTTAGATTGAATAAGATTCTCATTTCATTTGCGTCTTAACATGTGAAGGACATTTTACTTGTTGAGTTTATTCTTTTAAAATGTTTGGTTAACATAATGTTGCTAAAAGATGCAAAATTGGGGCATATGTCTCCCTATCATTTACTGATATCATTCCATAAATTAAAAGTTTGGTTTTACGTGACACTGTATTATGTTAATTTAAACACTTTAAGTTTAATTCAGTTTTTAAAACAGATTTAATATCTACAAAAGTTTTTCAAACTTTGTTAACTTTTGTGGATGTGTATGTCTGTGTGAGTGTGTGTGCACGCACGTGCATGTGTGAAGTTTACAGTATTTATACAGCTGTTGAAATAGTAATGTTTACTTCTTGTTTCTCATTTTGCTTTTTTCTTAGTTGAATGTGCTAAATTCCCTATTCAGAAAGGAAGAGAGAAATACTTTAGAGTATAATCTGTGCAGGTTCTTAATGTTAGCACAAGATTCTTCACAGATCTGTTCAGCAAGTAGTGTAGAAACTAGGACTACAGTAATAATTAAGGTCAGCTTATATCCTTACTGGTATAAGAGGAAGAATACAGCTGTATTAAACTTCTTGAGCTTTATGTATGTTTGGATTTGAATTTATCGTCCCCAAACTTTCCATTTTTTACTGTTGATTATGTGAACCCAAAATATGTGAGACACATCTCAGCCAATTTGGAAAGTTTGCTTTGCCAAGGTTCAAGACACATCCATGACACAATCTCAGGAAGTCCTGACAACATGTGTAAAGGTGTTTTGGGAAAAGATTGGTGTTACACATTTTACGGAGACTTGAGACATCAATCAGTATGTCTCAGATGTACATTGGTTCGTTCCAGAAAGGCAAGACAACTTGAAACAGGGAAGGGGCTTTCAGGTCATAGGTAGATAAGAGACAAACAGTTACATTCTTTTGAGTCTCTGATTAGCCTTTCAGTGAATACACAATTTACCTGTGGGAGGAGGGTAGAGGAGTAGTCACTTATGCCTTGGTTTGGCTTAAGGAAACATGTGAAAGGCAAATAAATCTTGGGGCCCCCAAATCACTAAACTAATGGGAAAAGTCAAATCGGGAACTGTTTAGAGCCAGCCTGCCTCCCATTCTATTCACAGTCACCTCTTTGCTAACTGAGATAGATACATATCTGATTGCCTTCTTTGGAAAGGCTGGTCAGAAACTCAAAAGAATGCACCTGTTCATCTCCAACCTATTTGTGGCCTGGAAGCCCCCTCCCCTCTTCAAGTCTTCTTGCCTTTGCTTCAATTTGTCCTTCCTTTTCAGGCCAAACCTTAATGTATGTTGATTTATGTCTCATGTCTCCCTAAAATGTGTAAAATCAAGCCATGCTTTGACCACCATGGGCACATGTCATTAGGACATCCTGGGGCTGTGTTAGAGGCATGTGTTCTCAACCAAAATAAACTTTCTAAATTAACTGAGACCTGTCTCAAATTTTCAGGGTCCACATTTTGGTAACCATTGAGGGATTGTGAATGGAGATGCCCCTGACCTTTTACAGGTCTCCTGTCAGTGCTTGGTACCAGGATGAGTTAACTTTATGGCTCAAACCAATAGGAC
The DNA here is from genome assembly GCF_000001405.40 of Homo sapiens. Classification (NCBI taxonomy): domain Eukaryota; kingdom Metazoa; phylum Chordata; class Mammalia; order Primates; family Hominidae; genus Homo; species Homo sapiens. The sequence goes on from NC_000024.10 coordinate 12,681,433, forward strand.
AATTTGCTGAGGTCTGAGAGCACCCCCTCCTGAGAAGCCCTGATCTCCCCAAATTTGGTCAAGATCTGTAATTTATTTTGCTGTACAACTCCTCTTTTATTTTGGAGTTTTACTTACTTCCAACACAAGGAAGGCAAGTCTTTTCCTGCTTCCGTGATGATCGAAGGCAAATAACTCCTTTATGGAGTTTGAGCTTGCTTCCAACAAGGAAGATGAGGTTTTTTTTTCTTGCTTCTAGGATGGTAGAGACCAGTCTACAGCCTGAGACCCATCACTAGTAAGAAACTGGTTTGGAACTCTGTCTTTCAAATTCTTTTTAAATGACTAATGTTACCATTAACAACCAGCTGGTGTTAATTTCTGCTTACACTTAGAGCACTCAGAAATTTTATAATTTGTGTGATTCTTACTAGTTTAGCAGCATTTTGTCCTAGCTGACATATGGTAACAAGATTAAAAAAATTTTTTTTTAAAGAAGTTCAGTGGTTAAAAGTCAGCTTCATTAAAAGGCCGACATCCAGGATGTGTGTGTGTATGCATGTATGTGTGCATGTTTTTATTTAAAAGGCCTTCATGTTTTTGTTTTTGTTTTTCTTTCCTAAGACCTTGTGTTTTTTTGAGCAAATGTCTTTTTTTTCATTTTCAGTTAACTGATTCTGTTTCCACCTGGGTTTTTTTTTGTTTTTGTTTTTGTTTTTTTGACAAAAAATAGTTATTGCAACAGAGGCTACTCTTGGGTTTTTAAGAACAATGTAGTTTAGACACTCAGAAAGGTCTTTAAAAAATTTTTTTAAGTGCACTGTGTCTCCCTGTAGCACCACCAGACTTTTTCTCTCTATACTTTTTGATGTAAATTTTGCTATTTGATTTTCACCTGAGTTGTTTCCTTTAATATGCAAATTTAAGGCTATTTAGCTGACAACTGCCTATGGTTGTAAAACTGGTTATTAAGAATCTGAAAGTCAAAGATAACAAAAAGGAGGGGATGTCTTTTTTTTTTTTTTGAGACAGAGTCTCGCTTTGTTGCCGAGGCTGGAGTGTGCAGTGATCTCCGCTCACTGCATGCTCCAGCTCCCAGGTTCATGTCATTCTCCTGCGTCACCCTCCCGAGTAGCTGGGACTACAGGTACCCACCACCATGCCTGTCTAATTTTTTCTATTTTTACTAGAGACGGGGTTTCACCGTGTTAGCCAGTACGGTCTCAATCTTCTGACCTCGTGAGCTGCCTGCCTTGGCCTCCCAAAGTGCTGGGATTACAGGCGTGGGCTGCTGCGCTCATACAAAAGGGGGATGTCTTTATGAATCTATAAAATGTCTTCCATGGCCATGCCTAATACATTTATGTATTTGTGTTGTGTACACAATGTTTCACTACGAAAATTAGATAAAAGCTCTAATTGGCTTAAAGAAAAATAAAAGCACATAAATCAGATACTGTATCAAAAAAAGACTGGTCAAATGCTTTTTCAGATTTATGAAACTTAAGTAAAATCCTTAATAAGCTACCTTTAAAATTATTGTTAAAGTAATATTAGGAATGTCTTAAGAATTGCCAGCATACATTTTTTGTTTTGCATTTATTAATCAAGCAATATCATACTTATCCCTGGCAAATATTATAAGGTATCAAAATTTGTCATAGGAGTTACAAAACTAAACGCAGCCAAAAAAAATCCCAGAAGGATTTTTGCTTGTGTACTTTTTTCTTTCTTTCTTTCTTTTTTTTTTTTTTTTTTTTTTTTGAGGCAGAGTCTCTGTCACCCAGGCTGGAGTGCAGTGGTGGGATCTCAGCTTACTGCAACCTCTGCCTCCCCTGTTCAAGCAATTCTTTTGCCTCAGCCTCCTGAGTAGCTGGGACTACAGGCACGCACCATCACGACCAGGTGGTTTTTTTATTTTTAGTAGAGACAGCGTTTCACCATATTGGCCAGGCTGGTCTCAAACTCCTGACCTCATGATCTATCCACCTTGGCCTCCCAAAGTGCTGGGATTACCAGCATGAGCCACTGGCCCCAACCTATAATTTTTAATATATTAGACACTGAGGGGCCAGGTGTGGTGGCTCACGCCTGTAATCCCAACACTTTGGGAGGCGGAGGCGGGCGGATCACGAGGTCAGGAGATCGAGACCATCTGGCTAACACGGTGAAACCCCATCTCTACTAAAAATACAAAAAATTAGACGGGCATGGTGGCATATGCCTGTGGTCCCAGATACTTGGGAGGCTGAGGCAGGGGAATGGCTTGAACCCTGGAGGCAGAGGTTGCACTGAGCCGAGACGGTGCCACTGCACTCCAGCCTGGGCGAGTGACAGAGCGAGACTCCATCTTGGGGGGCGAGGGGGGAGGGAAAGAAAGACATTGATATGGGTTTAATGAAAATAGCTGCATCTTGAATTTAGTAAGATTACCTTAACATCTAATCCTGTGGATTTAGGCAGTCAAGTCCACAGGCAGTAAGGAGGTTTGGGAAAGGACTGTTACTGTCTTTGTTTCAAAAATAAACTATAAACTAAGTTCCTCCAAAAGTTAGTTTGGCTTATTCCCAGGAATGAACAAGGACAGCTTGGAGATAAAGAGCAAGGTGGAGTCAATTAGGTCAAATCTTTTTTCAGTGTCTCAGTTGTAATTTTGCAACGGTAGTTTTCATAGCTTTAAATTCATGACTATCACAGTTGTCATAAATAATCTAAGTAAACAATTAAAATCATTACGTAAATGTAATGCAATAAATATTTGTAGACAAACTGGTCATAATTTTGAATATAAAATTAAATAGTAAATACTTCATTATTTGGGTACTTTCCAATAAATAATATATAATAGGAAAACATTCTTGCTAAAACAAAGAAGTGTATTCTTTTTAAACAAAAAAAGGTAAAAAATTTTTGCCTAATTCAAAGCTCATTTAAAGGTTATGTATAAATATGGTAAAAGGAACAAGGAAATAAAAAGAGATGTAAAGAAAGTTGTAAAAATAAAGAGGTTTTTTTGCATGTGGTATGAAAGCTTAAAGAGAAATACTTTTATGTGAGAAAGAACCTTATGTGGTAAATTTTAGTCCTAAAATAAAATGACTGGTTGTTTAAGAAGGAGGAGTGTTCAGGACGAACTAGAAAATCGAAATATTAAGTTTTGGTTTGCTTAAGGAAAAAAAGTGAGACTAATTTTTTTTTTTAATTAGCGTTATTACATGTGCATCCACGTATCTTCCTGTATGTGTTTTTAAAGTTCTTGTGACATTGAGTTACAGGGCTTTGACTCCTGGATATAAAAAGAACACCAAGTCCTGCTAAATCTTAAACACTGAGAGCGATTAAAGTCTCATCTTCAAGCCCAGTAGGAGATTCCAATCAAAATAAACTGCATTTGTGAGACAAAGGGGAATAAATAAAAACTTTAACTCCTCAAGGCCCAGGGACAGTTGTGGAAGAGGTAGGCATAAGATTGTAAGGGCCAATTTTGAAAGATAAAATAAGTTCAATTCCTCTATGAACTAATCATTAATGTCACATGCACACTGATGCAAGATGAGTATATGGGCCCCTGTGTGAGATTAACAAAATTTTCTTGAAGCATTAACCAACCCCTTAATAAAGGTTTTTCAGGTTATAAAAAGATTTATGGAAGCTATATCTTATGGTTAAAGTTAAAATTTTATAGGTTGTGGCTGGGCGTGGTGGCTTATGCCTGTAATCCCATCACTTTGGGAGGCCAAAGCAGGCTGTGATTGCCTGAGGTCAGGAGTTCAAGACCAGCCTGACCAACATGGATAAACCTCTTCTCTCGGAAAAATACAAAAATATTAGACAGGTTTGGTGGTGCATGCCTGTAATCCCAGCTACTCGGGAAGGCTGAGGCAGGAGAAGTGCTTGAACCTGGCAGGCAGAGGTTGCAGTGAGTCAAGATCATGCCATTGCACACCAGCCTGGGCAACAAGAGTGAAACTCAGTCTCAGAAAAAAAAAAAAAGAAAATTGTATAGATTGTTTATACAACTTTGACAAACAAATTTAATTGGCTTCATGCTGTTCTTCTTAAGGCTTATTGTTTGGAGAATTAGGTCTTCTTTCAAAGAATAAAGGTTCTTGTCTTTTTCTGAAATCCGTGACTTGTCACTTTCGTTAAATGAATGACTTATTTTATAATGACCTGTGATCCTGTTTTGTGATATTGTCTTTAAAACCTTTGATATTTGGTAAACTTTCCAAAATCAAATGATAAATTTTGTCTTTTTCTGACCTAATTAATTCTTTAAGATACTAGGTTTCCTAATGTCCAAAAAATAACATAATTTGGCTTATTTGGTACAAAAATTATACAGGAAGCATTGTCAGATATGAAATGGTGTTGGTTTTTGTTTGGCCTATATTTGTATAAATATGTTATTATGTGTTCCAAAATTACAGGAAACTCCTATAGTTCTGATATAACAGTGTATATTATCAATAATCATAATTGTTATGATAAAATTATTGCATGCCACAGAGGTAACAAATTTCCTTGTCAGTTGTGTTTTTGACTATGGCTGCTCTAAAATGTTTTGCCATCCACCGACAATTGTCTTGCTTTTGTCTTCAGAAGGTGGTTTTATAATCAGATTTAAAACTCTAGCAGGTGCTCTTGAATGCAGGTTTCTGATAACTTTGGAGAGTGTGACATCAGAATAGAGGAAAAACTTTCAGGACTCATTGAGAGCTAAAATGAGTATTTTATGTTGTTGATGAGTATCAAGCAGAACAGGAATTAACTGCATGGACTGAACTAATCTTTTTGACTTTTTGCTTAAAATGTTGTGAATCTTTTTTTTTGGTTTTCAGAGTCTTAAAACTTTTCTTTAGAGCTATTGACAGCTGTTAACAGTTTAGGACACTCCCATGAACAAAATTTGGAGCATATTTGTTTCTCTTTACCTGATTTCTCCCAAAATTGCAAACTATCTGTAAGTCTTCTTAACTTATGGAAATACAGTTATTTGCATAAGTGCCATCAGAATCTGTTTTCATTTGTAACACGACACAATTGGACAAACTGGTTATTTTACCAAGGCTTTGACTGGAATGATGTGCTTCCCTTTAAGGAATCAAACTTGACGTATGGAGCCAAGAAAGCCCTTGGAAAAACTGGCCTCATATTTTGTGTACACAGTCCCTGTACAGGGTTTCTGACCTGTGGTAAGTAAAGAATGTTACTTTGTTTTTTGTTTTTTGTTTTTGTTTTGGGGACAGAATCTCGCTCTGTCTCCCAGGCTAGAGTGCAGTGGTGTGATCTCGGCTCACTGCAAGCTCTGCCTCCCGGCTTCATGCCATTCTCCCACCTCGGCCTCCTGAGTAGCTGGGACTATAGGCGCCCGCCACCAAGACCAGCTAATTTTGGTTTGTATTTTCAGTAGAGATGGGGTTTCACCATGTTAGCCAGGATGGTCTCAATCTCCTGACCTCGTGACCTGCCTGCCTCCACTTCCCAAAGTGCTGGGATTACAGGCGAGAATGTTACTTTCTAACAGACACAGAAGCCCCAAGTTTATCTTGGAACCCCAAGAGGAGAGAAAATCCATCCAACTCAGATATTTGTTGGCCCAAATCCATGGCTTAAAAAAATCTTATGTGGGATTCCTTCTGTGGAACAAAGTTCCATCAAAGCCAATTTAAAACTCATGTAAAAAAATAATTATTCCTGCTGCAGTGGAATATAAATAATCTGGCCTGTATATAAATAATCTAGCCAAGTATATAATACAAGTATTTAATATACTTGTGTACAAATAATCTGGCCAAGTATATAATTTAAAGCAAACCAGCCCTACCATAATTTGTCTTTAGGGAAAACGGAAACGGAGAGAGAAAAATTGTGTTTCGGAAAACTATAGTACACCTGTTAGATTCTAAACTTGCCTACTGTTTTTCAGTTTTTATTATCTCTGCAGTTCGGGCTGAATTCTAGTTTTTTCTTGGCTACAAGTCTTCAAAATACTGTTTCTAATTTTTTTCTGCTTTTCCTCCGTTTTTTTTCCCCATTTTTTTGAATTCAGAGTCACTGAAAACTAAGCTGCGCTTTCCTAAAGTCCTGCGAACTGAAGCCAGACAACTTAAACCTCAGAAGAAAATAACAGCAACCTATTTATATACATAAGCCACTTTCATACCTGCCTACTGTTGTATAGACTTCAGAGTAATGTGGCCTGTATCGATTTTCCAGGAGTATTCTTTTGTGTGTTGTTTTTTCTCAATTCCTCCTATTTTCTCTTTACAGGATGTGAGACTTCACAACCTGCTAAAAATGAGCTTTCAGGACCTACCCATATAGGAATAAACCATCCTAGCCATGAGAGATCAGATGAAACCTGAGACCAGAGAGACTCATTTGTTTCAAAATAGTTTCTCCAAAAGATTTTATAAAAGAAAAGGCTGGGGGGAGTGGGATATGAAAGGAAAATGAATCTTGGGGCCCCCAAATCACTAAGCTCAAGGGATAAGTCAAGTTAGAAACTGTTCAGGGCCAACTTACCTTGCATTCTATTCAAATTCACCCCTCTGCTCACTTAGATGCATATCTGATTGTAATCAGAAACTCAAAAGAATGCAGCAGTTTGTCTCTCACCTATCTATGACCTGGAAGCCCCCTTCCCCGTTTGAGTCTTCCTGCCTTTGCTTCACTTTATCCCTGCCTTTCTAGACTGAACCAACATACTTCTTAGATATATTGATTGATGTCTCATGTCTCCCTAAAATGTATAAAACTAAGCTGGGCCCCAACCACCTTGGGCACATGTCGTTAGGACTTCCTGAGACTGTGTCACAAGTTTGTGTCCACAACTTTGACAAAATAAACTTTTTAAATTAACTGAGACCTGTCCTAAATTTTTAGGGTTCCATCAGATATGCATTTCTCTCACCTGAGCATCAGAGGGATGATTTCGAGTTCTCTGTGTTTTTTGTCCACAGGAATTTCCTTGTGGGCAAATTCTGAGGGAGGGATGTAGCTTTTTTATGTTTGGAGCTATTTTATTTAGAAATAAAATGGGAGGCAGGTTTGCCTGAGTCAGTTGCCTGCTTGACTTCCTTTGGCTTAGTCATTTTGGAGTCCTGAGATTTATTTTCTTTTCACATACCTGTTTTATTTATGATGGTTTATGGTCATTGAACCTTGTAACATTGATTACATTTCTTTTCACTGGTCTTTTTTCTTAAGTAGATAAACTTATTTTTAACTTGGGCACAAGAGAGCATAAAAATTATATGAGGTACATAGCCTGCTTAAATAGAATATTTAAAATACGTTTTGTCCACAGAGCTGGAATTCTTTGTAAATGAAAACCAAATTTTACTTAATTTTTAGAGATAGGATCTTGGCTTTGTCGCCTAGGCTAGAGTGCTGTGGGGGCAATCATAGCCCACTGCAACCTCGAATTCCTGGCTTAAGTGATCCTCCCATCTCAGCCTCCTGGGTGCTTGGACAACAGACATGACACCTTACCTGGCTAGTTAAAAAAAATTTTTTTTGTAGAGATGGGCTTTGCCTGTGTGGCCCAGGCTGCTCTTGAACTCCTAGGTTCAAGTGATCCTCCAGCTTGGGCCTTCCGAAGTGCTGGGATTACATTGCTTCCAGCTTTAGTTTTTTAAATGTTTAACTTGTTTAACTTATTTAACTTGCTGTTTATTATTTAATGGAGAGCTTTTAGTGTTTGTCTTTTGAGGTGGGATCTTGCCATGCCCAGACTAGCCTTGAAGTCCTACAGTCAAGTGATCTTTGCATCTCAGTCTCCCAAGAAGTAGTGGTAGAGAATTTTTATGTTACATTCCTTTCTCTGTGTATATGTTTGTGGGAGGACATATGTCCCTTTGTATGTTTGGGCATATATATTTTTTGTGTGAAAGTTATGCATGTTATTGTTGATCAATACAAGAGGTTTAGAGGCCAGAGAAGAGAAATAAAATGGGAAAAACTACAAACATTCTACCTCCCATGATACCATGCTATAATGGCAATCATAATATTTATGTATTTTTTACTTTTTTGTGTTCATTTTTAAAAATTAGATAAAAATAGTTTAAGCTAGAGGCTTCTCTCTTTCATCTTTTTTTTTCTAATTTAAGTTTTCCCTAAGTAGGAATTTTGGTAATACTTCATTATATTGATGTATCAAGATTTCTTTAGTTTCTCCTTTGTTGTCTTTAGGTTGTCTACAATATTTTTTGTCATTGTGAATATGCTGTCATGAACATTTTGATGCTGATTATTACCAGATTAGTGTGTTGTGTCAAAGTTTTCATCAGTTGGATTATTTTTCAGTTTAGTAAGTGATGCAAGCCAAAACTAAAACTCTAAGGCACCTTCTCCCCACCCAACCAGTCATCTGAGTAGACTTCCTCCTCAGCCAGGGCAGTCATAGCCCACTGCAACCAGCCAGCCCCTTTCCATTCCAGTATCCCTTTCCCTTTAATAAAATTTAAGGCCAAACATGGTGGTTCAATGCCTGTAATGCCAGCACTTTGGGAGGCTGAGGTGGGCGGATCATGAGGTCAGGAGATAAAGACCATTCTGGGAAACATGGTGAAACACTGTCTCTACTAAAAGTATAAAAATTAGCTGGATGTGGTGGCATGTGGCTGTGGTCTCAGCTACTCGGGAGGCTGCTGAGGCAGGAGAATCGCTTGAACCTGGGGAGGCAGAGGTTGCAGTGAGCAGAGATCATGCCACTACACTTTAGTCTGGTGACAGAATGAGACTCCATCTCAAAAAAAAAAAAATGATTTGTGAGATGAATTTGTTTTGAAAATATTAGCTTGTTTTCAGTTGTGATACATTTGAAGTTGGTACAGAGTCCATTTTCTTTTATGTGTTAATGTATTGACAATATAGTTGTGTTGACAACTTCTTTTCTTATTTCCAGTTCAGTCTTTACAGAAGCTGACGAGAGATTTCCTTGTATTTTATGGTGGTATGATTGGCCTTAGAGCACTTCAGTTTTGAGATCTCTGCTGTATTTGTATACAAGTATTTTGGAAGGTCAGTTGATAGGATGAATGAAAAACAAAAATTGGAAGTAATGGTACTAGTAATAAGTGGGGATTTTCATGTAGGTAAAGGAACTGATAAGTCATAGGGAATCCGTGAGTTCTTAATCTTACTGAGTTTAGTTGTGTTCTTTGATTATTTTGGATAGCTTTGTTTAACGGTGAATGAAATGATTAAAATGGAAAAATTAAGTGCAGAAAATATGTTTAACATTATATAGGATGTCTTGTTTTAGGCATTTATTGCTAGATAACATATGTCCATTCTTGTATTGCTATAAAGAAATATTGGATACTGGCTAATTTATAAATAAAAGAGATTTATTGGCTCATGATTCTGCAGGCTGTACAGGAAATATGATTCTGGAATCCGCTTGGCTTCTGGAAAGGCCTCAGGAAACTTAGAATGATGACACAAGGCAGAGGGGAAGCAGGCACATCTTACATGGCAGGAGCAGGGAGCAAGAAAGAGTGAAGCGGGAGGTGCTACACACTTTTAATAATCCAGATCTGAGTCAGGCATAGCAGCTTATGCCTATAATCCCAGCACTTTTGGGAGGCCAAGGCAGGCAGATCACCTGAGGGTCAGGAGTTCAAGGCCAGCCTGGCCAACATGGTGAAACCTCATGTCTACTAAAAGTACAAAAATTAGCTGGGTGTGGTTGCACCTGCTTATAATCCCAGCTGCTCAGGAGGCTGAGGCAGGAGAATTGCTTGAACCCGGGAGGCAGATGTTTCAGTGAACCAAGATTGCACCACTGCACTCCAGCCTGGGTGAACAGAGTAAGACTCTGCCTTAAAAGTAAAATAAAATTAAATTAAAATTAAAAACCAGATCTTGCAAGAACTCACTGTCAGAAGAACAGCACCAAGGGTATGGTGCTGAACCATTCATGAAGGAGCCATCCTCAAGATCCAGTCATCTCATACCAGGTCCACCTCCATCTAATATTGGGAATTACAATTCATCATGAGGGTTGGTGGAGACATGGATCCAAGCCATGTCACATATTATCCTGACTGTAGTGGTTTAAGATAACAATTTTTATCTCACAATTTATTTTGAATACAGGCATGATTTAGCTGTGTCCTTTGGTTCAGTATCTCTTCAAAGCTGTAATCAGGTTTTTCATGTGTTTGTCATCAACTGAAAGATTGACTGAGTATGGTTCTGAGATCTCTCAGGTGATTATTGGCAGAATTAAGTTCCTTTTCGATTCTTGGTCTTATTTCTTCACCCATCTACTATAGTGCATTCTTGCCATGCAGCCCTTTTTATGGAGCAAGTCACAATACAGCAGCTTGCTTCATTAGGGCAAGCAAGCAAGACAAGCTGCAGCAAATGCAAGTAACATGGAAGTCTTTATAATCTAATCATGGAATTGACATAGTTAAAAACAAATCATTAGGTAGGCTCCAAATTGATCAGAACATGGTTATTGGACAAAACCATGACTGTCAGGAGGCTGCATCATGGGGAGCCATTTTACAAGCAGCACCATGGGTGTTATGGGGGATTTTATTACATTTGTTCTGCTCTTAAGAGTTGAAAGTCTTTAAAAATGTGTAAGTCTGTCGTTTGTTCTTGACTTCTGTCATGTTTTCAAGAATGCATTATGCAATGATGTAGAATACTGTTTGTAAAGTAGTTGTCTAGACTCTAGTGAAAATAATTACAGATAATCTCAGTTCATCAACGAATCGGTATATTAATGTCATATTTAACAGTTATAGGAATAAACTAAGCATAATAATAAATGATGATTTGAATGTTATTATAATTATTATAGTGTCTAAAGCAGTGCTTCTTGACTGGGGCTGATTTTGCCTTCTCATAGGGCATTCGGCAATATCGGGGGACATCTTTGGTTATGATGTGAGGGGATGGTGATTAGCATACACTGGTTGGCATCTAGTAGGTAGAGGCCAGGGATAGTGCTAAACATCATACAGTGCACAGAATTCTCCCACTTGCAAAGAGTTATCTGACCCAAAATGGTAACAGTGCCAAGGATGAGATACCCTGGTCGGCAAGATTATTGTCATTTCTTTGTATAAGACTTCACGTCTGTTACTAGCCTTAAGCCCCATAGTTTGAGAATATACATATATTCTAACAATTATTCAGTATAATTGGTATAATGTACAATTTTTTAGTGTATATACATATACTAACCCATAGTCCTTCTTGCTGCAGCTTACCAGGACCAAGCCAACAACACCTGTAATAATCTTAAAATGAGGGTCATTGTATGTGTGTGTGTATGTTCCTTGCCTGATATAAAGGGTATTATTATCTGAGCCACATAAGTATCAGCTGTCTAAAAGTATATTGCTTTTATCGAGGATGATTTTAGTAATTGTAAGTACACGCTTAGTGCAGGAATTACGTTAGTGAAAAGAATCATGGGAGGCTTCTTTGGCTTCCTTTTAGCTACACAAAACAAGTAGTAGCTTCCTCAAGGAAGCTTTCTCTTCCAGTTACTCTCAAATATTGTTCACAACTATTTACTGTGTTGATTCCACTTGAATGAAGTTATTTTGACCTAGCTCTCCTCTACATGTTCATAATTACTTAATATTCTTTCATCAGATAAAACTAGCCGCAATTGATGTGCATGCTCTGACCTTTTTTATTCCTTCTTATTAGTGTATGCTTAATGTTTGGCTTGCCTGGCCTGTGTTCTCTCATGTCTGACCTACAAGGCCCAGTTCATATGCCATCTTCATGAAATATTGCATCTTTATTTGGTAATGATGTACACTCTTTGAACTCTGCTTGCAATTTTTCATGAACCCAACACTTTCTACTTTATTTAATCTTTTGTGTTTTTGTCTTCTACTGGAACTTAAGTTTATGACTATTGGCATGGTCTCTGGCCCAGTAATAGTGATGCAGGATTTTCTTCATGGTCCCTTTGCCAGTTGGGGACCTCTGGAAATTGATGCTGGAGGCCTCACTTGGGACATGCTACCTGCCACAAGAGGTACCCCACCCCATATGCTTGCCCAGGTCCCATCTGGCTTGTGCACTGGTTCTCAAGTTCTTGTCCCGTGCCCAAGAAGAATGAGGATATGCTGACAATCAAGAGAGTGAGCAAAGCAGGGAGTTTTATTGAGTGATGAAACAGCTTTCAGTGGGGAGGGGACAAGGGGATGGTCCTCCTACACAAAGGCTGGAAAGTGTCCCTAATATGGCTGAGTCTGAGGCTTTTTATGGGCTCAGAATGGGAGGAGCAGACCCTAGGTAGTACTGGAAAAGAAAGAATTGATTGTGAAAGGGTGGGCAAACAGCTGGAGAAATTCCCATTCTTGGTCTCGAATTTCATCCAGGACCAGCATCTGGTCTTTTAGCCTTCAGGCCATTTTTGGCTTTATGGGGTTTTACCAGGGACCTATCCCTATCTGCCTAGGCATTTGGCTGCCTCTTACTGCTGTAAGTTCCCTCCTCTGAAGAGGTACATCTGACTGCCCTTAGGTTAGGGATGAAGACCAGTCTTAACTGCTTCCTGCTGTTACGGGTGCTATTTTGGGAAAACGGCAGTCAGATCTTCCTCAGAGGCCTGCCTAAGGGTCCTCAGTAAAAGGGGCCATCGTCCAGGTGTCCTGTTGCATGACCGTTTGGAGTTTTATGCCCTGAAGATGAGAAGCGACAAACCTGGTTATTAGAAGTCACGTATGAAAATGAAACGAGGGAAAGAACAGCTGAAAAATCTGGAGGCTGCTGACATGCCCAGATAACTGGTGGCTACTGGTATGCCTGTTAAGATTTGGGTGAATGGGGCTTGGCTTTGGTTAGTTCCCTTGGTTTTATTTTCCCAAAGAAACCTCTGGGTTATCAGCACCCTGTTTACTCTTATCACCTGGCAGGATTTGCAGGTAATTACCCAGAATTAGAATATTTATCCAGATTTTTATATTATCCATCCCTTTTGTTTCTTCTGAAATGCAGCCAAAGATCACTGGTTGGTTCACAGGAATAAGCAAGGTTAGTTTAAAATGTAGGCTAAAACTTACAACAACTAATGAGATTAAAATTATGTAAGTTTTGAAATGTAATTTTTCATTTTCCAGTTCTCATATTTGTTAAAAACAAATCATGATAGGACTCTGAGTTCTTTGCAAAATAAAACTTTAGTTTTTTTCCTTGGCCTGCTTGTTTGTACAAAGGGTAGCAAGAATAATTATTTTTCACATAGGTGCTCTAAATTGTCTTTGATGGAACTCTGCTCCACAAGGAATCTTAGACAAGACCTTTTAAAGCTGAGCTCAGCCATGGGTTTGTACCCTCAAATATCTATGAGTTAGGTAAATTCCCTGTCTTCTTGCAGTCCCAGGATAACATCGGGCTCCTGGGCCTGGTGGTAAGTGACATTCTTTACTCACACAGGTTAGGAGCCGCATACTAGGACTGCATAGACAAGGTATGAGGCCATTTTTCCAGAAGGGGTTTTATTGGCACTGCAAGTCAAGCTTGATTCCTTAAAAGGAAGCACACCCTTGCAGTCAAAGCATTGGTAAAACCACCAGTTTCTCCAGCTGTATCCTGTTGCAAAAGAAAATGGATTCTTACTTCACGAATGCAGATAACTGTATTGCCATAAGTTAAGGATACTCATCAATAGTTTCCAAATTCTAGAGAAACCAGGCAGACAAATGTGCTACAAATTTTGTTTTCAGGAAGATACCTTACTCAATTGTTAAAAGTGTAGATATCTCAAAAGTTTTCTTGACTCTGAAAAACAAAAAAACAAGGATCCAAAATGTTTTAAGCAAAAAGTTAAAAAAATACCTGGATGGGCATGGTGGCTCATGCCTGTAATCCCAGCACTTTGGGAGGCCGACGGGGGTGGATCACGAGGTCAGGAGACTGAGACCATCCTGGCTAACACGGTGAAACCCCATCTCTATTAAAAATACAAAAAATTAGCCCGGCATGGTGGCGGGCACCTGTAGTCCCAGATACTCGTGAGGCTGAGGCAGGAGAATGGTGTGAACCCAGGAGGCAGAGCTTGCAGTGAGCCGAGATTCCATGCCACTGCACTCCAGCCTGGGCGACAGAACGAGACTGTCTCAAAAAAGAAAAAACAAAACAAACAAAAAAAAATATTCCTTCAGTTTTGTTCAGTCCATTCAGTTAACTCTTGCTCTGCTTGATATTCATGAACATTTCAGCTCTTCATGAGTCCTATACATTTTTCCTCTATTCTAGTGTCACAGTTTCCAGTGTCATCAGAAACTGGCATTTAAAAGCACCTGACAGAGTTCTATAGCTGATGATAAGCCATCTTTTGAAGAGGATCAAGACAAGGCAATTGTCTGTGAATGACAAAATGACCCAATTACAAATACAATTGACAAAGAAATTAGGTTATTAGTGGTTTACAATAACTTAAAATCATAATGTTAATGATGATTGAAAACATATACTCAGACATTAGAATTTTAGAAATCCCACACAATTTTGGAACATACATTATAATTTACTAACATATAACCTGAAGATTAAATATAATTTTTATTTTGCCAATCCCACAGAACTTCCCCATGGGCCCTCTGTAGCATCCAAAAGTTAGGGGTCAGAAGAGATAACCTTGAAACTGAAGTTTGATTTGGGGAAGCTTGTTAAATATGTTAGATATTTAAAACACTTAATATTATGAAGTAGAATTCCAGATTATAATAAGTTATTTAGCCAAAATGATGACTCAAAAATTTTTAAAAAGGCAAAAACCTTTTTTCATTAAGAGAGAAGACTTAGCTTTCCAATCTACTCCTGTCTTAACTGCCTGTTTTTTGGAAGTTTATTCTCAAGGTGCAAACAAAAGTCTTTAATTATTCTTTCCTATTACATGAAAATCTTATTCAAGGGAGAGAAAGCCAAAATTCACCCTTGATTTAGTCTACGGTTAACATCAACCCCAACTTTTAAATGAAACCTTATAGATGATTCTCTCTGATCTTAGCCAGTTTGACCGTGAGGTGATAATCTTGTAAATCTTTCATAACCCTTTACAAATTTTGTTAAAGAGCAAATCAGTGCCTTAAGAAAACCTTGTTGTGTTTTTTATTTAAATGCTCAAATTAGAGACAAACCAAAAAAATACTTTTTGAATTTAGTCAACATGTTCACACAGAATTTATTTTATAAGATTAATTTTTACAAAACTAAAATAGACAAAACCCATTTTATCTAATTTAAAATAAGGCTTCCACCCTCCTAAGGAAAAATTTACTTTGCCATGCCTTTTTATATTTTTTACTGCTAACACATTTTACTTTTCTTACACACCTTTCGTATAAATCTATTTTCAATAGCTTCAGTTACATAAGGGTAATTCACAGCAATTTGTAATTTTAATGTAAAACCTGGTAAGCTCTTTGTTTGTTGTTTTGGAGACTGAATTTCACTCGTTGCCTAGTTTGTATGGCGCCGTCTTGGCTCACTGCAAACTCTGCCTCCCGGGTTCAAGCAATTCTGCCTCAGCCTCCAGGGTAGCTGAGATTACAGGCAGCTGCCACCATGCCTGGCTAATTTTTTCTATTTTCAGTAGAAATGGGGCTTCCCCATGTTAGCCAGCTGGTCTCGATCTCCTGACCTCAGGTGAGCCGCCCACCTCGGCCTCCCAAAGTGCTGAGATTACAGGTGTGAGCCACTGTGCCCAGCCGGTTAAGCTCTTTTGATTATGTGCCAGGCACAGATAAAGTTTATGGCATAGCTAGGAGGAGCACTGTTAATTACATATGTCCCCAGGCCTGACCAAATTGTGAAACAGGCAAATCAAACAATTCTCAAAAGCCAAAGAAGCAGTTTATAACCTTGACATTTAGCAAACCTAGAATCTGACCTGCATAATTTAGACTATGTATTTACATTTTGAAAACAATTGTATTTTACCAATAATCTTTAAAACTTTTAATTTCTGAGAGATTAAAGTCGTGAACAAAAAAGGCATTATAGCTTTTTTCCTTCAAAAATATTTCATCTAAGCACATATTTTTCTTTAAGCCAATTAATTAGACCTCTTTTTTATATAAACATAATACACATAACACATATATATAACTACACAAACCACAAACAGAAGATCCAATATTTGCAAGATTTTTAATTTGCTCATCTCCTAATTCGATTACCACCTGGTGGAGCCTGTCCAAAAACAGAGCTAGGAAAACATGGAGGTTTTAGGGCCTAATGAACAGGTATAGGTAGAAGCCAAAAGCAGATTTTTGAGAGGGATCTATTCACTTTTAATTTCTGGAGTTCCATGAGGAAAACAGAGTTGTTTTTTTTTTCCTTCCCAAAATGGGGTCCATGTCACATTTTCTGTTTATTCCGAGCAGCCTCATGCTCTCAGAAGTTATCTCAGAGCCTATCATGCATGCATTTAGAGTGGCACAACAAAATGAAGAAAAGTAATTCAGATGACTAAGAAGAAAAAAAAACTTTTTCCAGAAAGTTCCAAGAAGAGGAAGAAAAACATAGATGCCTTTTAAATATACCTATAGCTTGGTCCAGGCATGGTGGCTCACACCTGTAATTGCAGCAGTTTTGGGAGGCTGAGGTGGGTGGATCATGAGGTCAATAATATATAGCTTGGTTATCCACTTTTAATTAAGCATAGCATTCCTTAAGAAAATAATTTAAAACCCCTTGTTACTCAACTTTAGCTATGCCAAGAGGCCAATATTTTTGGCTTTTGACCTTCACCAAAAATATAACCTCACAGGTGAAACCAACAAGCCTCAACTCAAAGTTATGACTTAATGAAGAGTGCATGTGGTATTTTCAAAGAGGTGGTAAGCAGTTTTTACAAAACCTAGACTCTTTAAAGATAGCTCAGAGATAGGATGAGTTAAGAAAGGAAGCTAGAAGTCGTTCATGGAAGGGAAGAGAATCAGCAAATAGTAAAATTCACACACTAACCAGAAAGTACTTAGTCCCTATGCCAATATTGAACCAGGACCACTACTGTAAAATGGCAGACACCCAAAGAAAGTACTGCCACAGGTTTACAAGGTCAAGCTCCCAGGGGCTTAAAACAAGATGGAGACGAGCAAAATTTGTTACTGACCACTTTGATGGCCTAGCTTGAACAGTGGGCTTATTGGGTCATAGGCCGTGCTCTATCCTAGGGTATTCTTACGACAGAACCATATAGAGAGACACATAAAGCATATCAGATTGGCTATAGCTTAAGAGTAGTCTAATAAATCCTTTTTTCTATTAATTAAAACTACAGAGAGGATTTAAATAGTGATTTTTATAACTCATTCTACCAGTTTACACAGGGAGAGCGAGGCCAGAAGTTTGGTAAGAAAAACGGTTTTTTGCTGATCTGTCATGTCAGGCTTTTGAGTTCCCTTCCCCCAAGTTGTGAAGACCTATCTATCCTGAAGTCCTGTGAAAGGGAAGTAGGCAATGATACTGTAAAAGTTGTCCCTCCTCAAGATATTTACTCAGATTGGTGCTTGCTTCCCAGTTTTTTTTTGTTTGTTTTTTGTTTTGTTTTGTGTGAGACAGAGTCTTGATGTCACCCAGGCTGGAGTGCAGTGGCACAACGTCTGCTTACTGCACCCTCCACCTCCCAGATTCAAGTGATTCTCCTGCCTCAGACTCCTGAGTAGCTGGGACTACAGGCATGTGTGCCACCACACCCAACTAATTTTTTGTATTTTTAGTAGAGATGGGGTTTCAGCGTGTTAGCTAGGGTGGTCTCGAACTTCTGACCTTGTGATCCACCTTACTTGGCCTCCCAAAGTGCTGGGATTATAGGCCTGAGCCACCATGCCCAGCCTTCCCAGTTTATTTTTAAGCCAAACAGTTTGAGGTTTGGGGAAATTGACTTTTCCCAGTCTGGGGGATGAATCTGTAGGGATTCTGTAGCATGGGGACACAATTACTCATCTGCAAAGAGGAGAGAGGAGGAAAAAGGAAAAAGAAGGTTTTGTTTTTTTTTTTTCAAGGGAGTCCCAGTGATTCAGGATGTATCCAAGAGAAGTGCAGACTGAAGGTGGCTGGTTACTTACCTGGAAGGAGGGGAAAACGGCATCCCTTAGTTCCTGTGTGTTTCCAGTGAATACCTGGGGTACACGAGGGAGAGAAAGAAAAGGCGTCCCCTTTATTTCTTCTGTCTTTATATCCCTGAGTCCCAGTGACTCAGCAGGGTGCTTTCACGCACGTGTAACAGGTAGGAATTATCCGCATTCACCTATCCATTGCCTATTTTTTCTGCTGTCTGTAACTTATCTATGCCATGGATGCTAGCATGACCTGTATCCATAAAATGGGCAGTGGGGGTGGAGATTCCAATTGGCAGGAATTAGTCATGCTCACCTGCACTGTGCCCCTTGACTATTGTCTGCCGCTGGATCCCTCAGATCCATTTTCCTTTCTAGAGCTTCAGCCTGAAGCTTGGAGTTCAGTTTGGGACAAGCAACTTCCTTAGGAAGGGGCATGGTTTCATTAAGTCCAGGTTGCCCTCACCAGACTGCAGCCAGCAGCTGTGAGGGCTACTTCTTTGCCATCTTCTTATAAGCTGAATACTCAGGTATAGCTGTGCAACGGGTTTGTACTCAGACAATGGAGAGAAAGGGAGAATTGGGGATCTGGCCTAGTAAGATGCCTTCCAAAAGAAAACAAAACCTCTTGCATAGAAAAGCTCCCTGTATGTGGCAGAGAAAAGAAAAGAAAAAAAAAAAAAAACAGCTTACATTCAGGGCAGGGAAGGTGCTTGGGGTGGAAAAAGCCTCTTTATGCAAATAGATTCCTCGAGCAGGGAGAGAGACTTTTAACCTCTGCTTCCTGTTTTCCTCTAGGAACAGAAACTGCATTGTTCTGAATTACATACCTGATGGCTGGTCCAAATGCTCTTTCCACCTAGTAATATGTTTGTAGTTTGCAACAACACTTGCAACATTGTAAAAGAGATAAGTACCATAACATCCCCGAAAAACAAGAAGACAAATGCCACAGGAAAAATGGGAATTGAATGAGGCCAACATTCCCTAACCCCAAGAGTGATGGGGGAGGGTCCTCTCCAGCATCCTGTCCTCTGTAGTTGCACCACTGTTCTTAACTAGCTTACCAGAGGGTTGGTGCTTCATCTGCCTTCAGAAAAATGTCTGAGGACAAGAGTTCACAGAAAAAAAGTGAAATTTAGGTCCACATTTACTCACCCTTCAGGTATCCTGAGTGAGCCCCCAAAATGATAGGATTTTTCTTCTCAGTCACTTCGTAAGCTGATGAACCCTGGCTGGTGATGCCCTGCTTGGGCCTTGCATGGCCATGCTGGCATGCCCCAGCTCACCTGTGTTATAGCTTGTACCCCTTTTTGGTGGTTCTAAAACTCTTGTCCTGCACCCATGAAGAATAAGGATGTGCTAACAAAGTGAGCAAGGTGGGAAGTTTTATTGAGTCACGAACTAGTCAGGCAAACCTGAAAAGGGACGAGGGGTTTGTCCCCCTTCCCAAAGGCAGGAAGGTCCCTCTAATATGGCTGAGTCGGGCTTTTTATGGGCCTAGAATGGGGGAGGGGCAAGCCATAGGTAGTACTGGAAAAGTCAACATTCGATTGGTTAAAAGATACTATTCAGAAAGAATCAATCATAAATGAAACGGCAGGCAAAAAGGAACAGAGGTTCTCATTCTGGGTTGTGTTTCATACAGGACTAGCAGTCAGTCTTTCAGCCTGTGGCCTGTTTTTGGCTTTCAGGTGGGGTTTCACCAGGGACTTGCCCCTGTCTAGGCATTTGGCTGGCTTCTGTAGCTATCAGACTGTTGAATAATTGAACTTTGTTTATTTCTCCATATTTTTGCAGTGGTAATTCCATTATAAAACCTAATGAAACAATGTTTTTATAGATGGTGTGGAAAGACTTTTCTGGGCTCAGAGGTGAAACTGACCCTTGTGTATCAGCAGCATTTCTGACTGACTGAGAGAGTGTAGTGATTAACAGAGTTGTGATGTTAGTTAAGAAACTTAGATTTGCCATTGTAGCTTTTCTACCAATTAGCAGATTGTTTAACTCACTGAAATTGTAAAGTGGTAGACGTGGACTTAGTCATTACTGGGCAGCTTATGAATTGTATTCATTTACTCATGATGTAAAAATGGTTAGTCTCCACTTTTAAGGCTCTAGTTCTAGTGGCTAAATAGGTACTTATTTATACAGTATGATAACTGCTGTATTAAAATACATGTCTCAAATGTGGAATAGTAGAAGAGGTGAAGAAAATCATAGTTTGAGGTAGAATACTGTTTGCTGGTCTTAAAAACTGTGGTATTTTGGTGATTCCATAAATTAGGTCAGATACTTCCACTGGAGGGAAACAGTTTAAAGGATATATGTGATACTATTAATAGAATGAGGAAGACACACCAGATATTTAGGAGGGAATTAGCGAGCTTGAAACTAAGAGCTGGTTTGAATGAGACTGGGTCATAAGTGATTTCAAGTACCAGATTAAGGCACTGAGATTTTATTTTTAAGCACTGAAGTCAGATTTTTTCCTTTTAAAAGAAAGGATTCATGATGAAATCTGCTTTTTGTTTTGCAGAGAGCTTGGAGATAATTCTGGTGGCTGTGTGGAGTATGTGTTGGAGGTGAGTTGCTAGCTGAAGAATTAAAACAATAGTTTTAGCAGTTTGGGTAAGAGATGTTTACAGAAATGTTTTGTGGAATAAAACTGAACAGTCAGAGACCTATGAGATTACCATGGTCTGATAGAGGGGCAGCTAATACAATCTTTTCTTTTTTTGTCACTGAGTTAATTACTAAGCTGGGGCAGGATATTTGTCTTTTACTTCATAAGAAAATAGCTCACAGTTTAACAGCTTAAAACAACAAACATATCTTTTCGTTTTTGTGGGTAGCAGTTATTTATCTGAAGGCTGGTATGTCCACTTCCACAATGGCTTACTCACATGATTGCTGACAGCAGGGCTGATTTCTTTGCTAGCAGTTGGCAAGAGGTATGTCCTTGCTGTAAGGATATATCTGTAAGCCTGTTTCAGTGTTTGGGGCAAGCCTTGGCTATCAAGCTAAGGGTACCTATGTTGAGGCCTAGGGAATTATCTATTGTAGCCTGCTTGGGAAAAATATTATGAGAAATTTTTGTTGTTCTGATTTGAACAGTAGAAGTGTGTAGTACTTGAGGTTCCTTGAGGGTATATTTAATATGGATTTTTCTGTCTGCAAAACAATATTGTGGAGATAGTGTTGAATCTGTAAATCACTTTGGGTAGTACTGATAACAGTAGTAAGTCTTGTAATACCTGGACATTAGAGGTCTTTGCCTGTATTTCTGTCTTTAGTTATTTTTCCCTCCACAATAAATTTTTGTTTTTAGTATAAGTCATTGGTCTCCTTGATTAAATTCTATAGATTTTTCTACATGTAATATCATGTCATCTCTGAATAGGCACAGTTTTACTCCCTTCTTTCTGATTTGGATGCCATTTTATATCTATCTCTTCTTTCTTTGCTCTGACTAGGACTCTCCATACTAAGTTGAATTAGAGGGGTCCTTGTCTTGTTCCAGATCTTAGAGAAAGGCTTTGCGCCTTTTCCCATTTGGTATGAAGTTAGGTCTTGCACTCCTCTTTGTCTTATATGACTTTTTTTTTTGACAGAGTCTTGCTCTGTCACCCAGGCTGGAGTGCAGTGGCGCAATCTTGGCCCACTGCAAGCTCTGCCTTCCAGGTTCACGCCATTATCCTGCCTCAGCCTCCTGAGGAGCTGGGACTACAGGCACCTGCCACCATGCTTGGCTAATTTTTTAAATTTTTTTAATAGAGATGGGATTTTAACATGTGAGGTTGTGTCCAGAATTTATTCCTTCTTGTGGGTTCTTGGTCTCGCTGACTTCAAGAAGGAAGCTGCGGACCCTCGCGGTGAGTGTTATAGCTCTTAAAGATGGTGTTCGGAGTTTGTTCCTTCAGATTTTCAGATGTGTCTGGAGTTTCTTCCTTCCAGTGGGTTCATGGTCTCTCTGACTTTAGGAGTTAAGCTGTAGGCCTTCGCAGTGAGCATTACAGCTCTTAAAGGTGGCGGGTCTGGAGTTGTTTATTCCTCCCAGTGGGTTCGTGGTCTCACTGACTTCAGGATGGAAGCCGCAGACCCTCATGGTGAGTGTTACAGCTTATAAAGGTAGTGTGGACCCAAAGAGTGAGTGGCAGCAAGATTTATTGTGAAGAGCGAAAGAACAAAGCTTCCACAGCATGAAAAGGGACCTGAGCAGGTTGCTGCTGCTGGCTGGGTGTAGCCAGCTTTTATTCCCTTATTTGTCCCTGCCCATGTCCTGCTGATTGGTTCATTTTACGGAGTGCTGATTGATCCATTTGACAGAGTGCTGATTGGTCTGTTTACAATCCTTTAGCTAGATACAGAGCGCTGATTGGTGCGTTTTACAGAGTGCTCATTGGTGCGTTTACAATCCTCTAGCTAGACACAGAGCAGTGATTGGTATGTTTTTACAGAGTGCTGATTGGTACATTTACAATCCTCTAGCAAGACACAGAGTGCTCATTGGTGCATTTTTATAGAGTGCTGATTGGTGCATTTACAATCCTTTAGCTAGACACAGAGTGCTGAATAGTGCATTTACAATCTTCTAGCTAGACAGAAAAGTTCTCCAAGTCCCCATTCGACCCAGGAAGTACAGCCGGCTTCACCTTTCAAGGTCAGGAGCTCGAGACCATCCTGGCTATATGACCTTTTTTTACGTTCTGTTTTGTTGAATGGTAATACAAGGTTGTTGAATTTAGTTAAATATTTTTTTCTACATCAAGATAAAGATCATGTGGTTTTTCTCCTTTTTTTGGTGATAGGGTATATTACATTGATTGGTATTCATGTATTGAACCAACTTTGCATTGCAAAAATCCCATCTGATTATAATTTTTTCATGATACTGCTAAATTTGGTTTGCTAGTGTTTTGTTGAAGATTTTTGCATTTATATTTATCAGAAACATTGGTCTGTAGTTTCTTTTTAGTAGAAAAGAAAGTGGAAAAGAAAACACTCACAGATTTAGTCTAAGAGGCCTGCATTACCTTTATTCCAAAGTCAATTTGTGAGTGTTTTCTTTATTTTTCAGGAAGACTTTCAGGATTTGTGATACGTATTCTTTAGATGTTTGTGTAATTCTTCAGTGAAGTCATGTGATCACAGACTTGTTGGTTGGAAAGTTTTTAATTAATGATTCAGCCTCCTTACTAGTTATAAATCTGTTCAGATTTTCTAATCCTTCATTATCTAGTCTTGGTACATTGTGTGTTTTTAGCAACTTACATTCATTTTTTGTAGCTTATCTAATTTAATGACATATAGTTGTTCAAAGTATTTTCTTAGACTCTTTTTTTCTGTTTGCATTGGTTGTATATCCCTTCTTTCAGCCTTGGTTTTAGTTATTTGAGGTTTTATTTTTTCCTCTTTATGTAAGTAGTGGTGTCAGTTGTGTTTATCTTTCAAACAGCCTCCTTTTGATTTGGTTGATCTTTTTTTTCTATTCTGTATTTTATTTATCTCTGCTATGATCTTTCTTCAGTTAGCTTCAGGTTTAGTTCTTTTTCTCCCTTAAGATTATAGTTGGGTTGTTAATTTCAGATTTAAGGCCAGCATTTTACAGGTATTAAACTTATAAACTTTAAAACTATGAACTTTTCCTCTAGCATTGCTTTTGCTGTGTCCCATCAGTTTTGGTATGTTTTATTTTTAGTTTTTCTCGATATATTTTCTAATTGTCATTTTAATGTTTTCTGACCCATTGGCTCAGAATGTTTTGTTAAATTTTCACACATTTGTGGATTTCCAGTTTTCTTTCTGCTGTTGATTCTATTTTCATCCCATTGTTTTCTGAAAAGATACCTTATGTTGTTTCTGTTATTTTAATCTTATTAATACTTGATTTGATATGAGGTTTGTCTTGGGGAATGTGCCATATACACTTGAAAAGAATGTGTACTCTACTGTTGTTGGGTTAGTGTTCAGCATATGTCTAATTGTTTTATTGTTGAAATCCTCTATTTCCTTGTTGATTTTTTTTTTTTGTCTGGTTGGGTAGAAAGTGAGTTAGGGAAATTTTGTACTATTATTTTGTTGCTATCTATTTTTTCCTTTAATCTGTTAATATTGCTTTATATATTTTAGAGCTCTGCTTTTTGTTGCATATTTACAGTTTTTTACCTTCCTAATGAATTACCTTTTTATGATTGTGTCTTTCCCTGTCTCTTGTGGAATTTTTTTATTTAGTCTATTTTGTGTGATATTAATATAACAAACTCTGCTCTCATGTGGTTATTATATGCATGAAATATCCTTCTCCATTTTTTCACTTTGAAGCTATGGTTATTCTTTGATCACATAGTCTACTGTAGGACTCTTGTGAGTCTCTTATAGGGAAGGATAAGGTTGAACTTGCTTTTTTATCCTTGCAGCTCATCTATGTGTTTGATTGGAGAATCCATTTACACTTAAAGTATTTACTGAAAGGAAAGTATTAACTATTGTCAGTTAGTTACTTTTGCCTCGTATTTCTTGTGGATTTTTGCTTATTTTCTCTTTTACTGCCTTTTGTGTTTTGTTTATTTATTTTTTGGTAGCGATAAGTAGTTTCATTCTGTTTTCATTTTCATTGGTATATATTCTGTATTTTGTTTCTGGTTATAACTGCAATAGGATCTTGTGACCTGTAGAGAGTTTACATAGTAAATTGATGTTGGACTATGCTTCATCTCTCTCCTCCCTAAAAAAAAATGCACTCCACAGAAAGCTTGCATATGCTTTTAGAGCAATTGGTTATTAATTCCTAAGTCATTCATAGATCTTACACCATCCTCACTTAAAGCAGCTTGTATACAAGGCAATCGATGAGGAAAAGGAAAGACATTGCCATTTTTTCAAGAATTTTCTGGAAGAAGAAGTTCAGATATTGGGTGGCTTTCAGTAGGGGAGCCTTGAACATATTTTATAGGCTAAGAAAAGTGAATCCAGGAAGAAACTGAGAAAAATTGAGAGAAGATTAGAGCAAGGTTTTTTTCATAAGTGGGGCATATATGTGGGATCAGGAGCCCCCAGGTAAGGGACAAAAGGAACAGACATGAGCAAGTTTGAAGTAGTGTTTAGTGAAGTGGCTGGTTTCTTTCTTACTTGCAGGAAAAACTTATTAAGTCATTTTTATTAGCAGCAGAACTAAAATAGAAAATGGGAGGGAGGGAGTTTTTTTAGTTTGTTTGTTTTAAAACCTATTTCATATAAAACATTTTGAATGAGAATTTTTATGTATCAAAAAACAATGAAAGAGAAGACTATATGATAAGATGACCATATAGAGGTAGATTTATGTGTGTATATACTTCACGTTTGGTTTTTGTCCATTTTCTTTTCAATCCTGCCCTTATGGAATAATATTAATTTGTAACTTGGTTTTCAATTTTATTTATTAAAGAACAATCTATGTCTGACTTAAATGTTTAGTTACCAGTCTTTAGTTTTTTTTTGATGAATATGGTCAGGAAAAACAGAATAGTATTGCATTGTTATAACGTTTTGTCTTGATTATTAATGAGATTGAAAGGGTATGTGTGTAGCGGTTTAATCATGGCAGACTTCCTATGTTAGAATCCCTTTTTCCACTAAGTACTGATTTGAGCAATTAACTTTTTTGTTTGTTTGTTTGTTTTTGAGATCGAGTTTCGCTCTTGTTGCCCAGGTGGGAGTGCAATGGCGCAATCTCGGCTCACCGCAACCTCTGCCTCCTGGGTTCAAGCAATTCTTCTTCCTCAGCCTCCCAAATAGCTGGATTACAGCCATGCGCCACCATGCCCAGCTAATTTTGTATTTTTAGTAGAGACAGGGTTTCTCCATGTTGGTCAGGCTGGTCGTAAACTCCCAACATCTGGTGATCCGCCCGCCTCGGCTTCCCAAAGTGCTGGGATTACAGGTGTGAGCCACCACGCCTGGCCCAGCAATTTACTTTTTTTTACTCTCTGTTTCTACTTACCTGTGAAGGTGGTTAATAACAACTACTAAATGGATTTGCTGAGTGAAATTAAGTGTTTCACATAGTGTCTGACTTCTAAAAAGTGCTGTTCTTAAATTTGTTATACACATATGTATTGGTCATGTGTGGTTTTTTGTTTATTTGATTTGTTTTACTTTAGTTTTTTATATACTGTGCCTTACTCTGTTTCTCTCTCTCTCTTTTTTCTTGGCAGTGTGTTTTGGACACATAGATATCACTGATTATTCTTTTCTACCTTGCTTTGATTTCAAGTTTTAATTTTTTTCTTTTTTTTTTTTTTTGAGGTGGAGTCTCACTCTGTCGCCCAGACTAGAGTGCAGTTGTGTGATCTCAGCTCACTGCAAGCTCTGTCTCCCAGGTTCACACCATCCTCCTGCCTCAGCCTCCTGAGCAGCTGGGACAACAGGTGCCTGTCACCATGCCCAGCTAATTTTTTATATTTTTAGTAGAGACAGGGTTTTACCATGTTACCCAAGATGGCCTCGATCTACTGACCTCGTGATCCGCCCGCCTCGGCCTTCCAAAGTGCTGGGATTACAGGCGTGAGCCACCGCACCCAGCCTCAAGTTTTAATTTTTATGGAAACAAACCTAGTTCTCAATCAGTGACACATCAGATTAAGCTTGGAGATTTTAAAGAAGTGCTGATTATTAGGTCTCAGATGTTTTGCTGTTTGGTCTAGGCTGGAACTTGGACATTAGCAGTCCTCTAGAAGTACTTCAGGAAATGCTAATTTGCAATTTAGTATGAAAACCACTGGACTAATGAATATGGAATGTAAAGGATTTGGTGGCGTTTTCCCATACTCCTATCAGATTGCAGTGAACCCTAACCAGTAAATTTCTGTGTCCTCTAGTCCTGTTAAGATTCTTTGAATATACTGTTGATTCTCCTGAAGGACTATTAAAAAGGACCTTGGGAAAAAAGACTTGTCAAAGTGGAAACGTGAGCTCACTTGACAGATTTGATGGTTTTGGAGAAATATGGTATAATTTAAACCCTTTCCAAAGAAGTTACCCGAAAGTTTTAAATTTTATATTTAAATCACTTAAAAAATTATCTTAAAAGCCATTTATAACGCTCTGATACAATGATGTGTTGACTGTGCATTGTCTTGAATTCTTTGTAAAAATCTAATACTAGTTTCCTTATGTTTAGGTATTAAATTTTCACAGTATATATAAGGCAGCAATTGATAGGCCTTTCACAGATTCTTCTGTAAGTTAAAAATGACAACCAAGAAGCTTACTTATTTTTCTGGAATGTTATATAATATATGGCATGTTTCCTGGCATAACTGCTTGTACAATAGTGTGAATTTCTTAAGGGAAGTAAAACTGTAAATACACATTTAGCTTTTTATTTCTCTCATTTTTATAATCCTCTGTTATTAACTGTAAAGACTGGTGATTTTAGTGTACATATTAAAATTGTAATAATTTCTTATTCATCTTTTTTTGTTGTTTTTTGGAGACAGAGTTTTGTTCTTGTTGCCCAGGCAGGCTGGAGTGCAATGGCACCATCTCGGCTCACTGCAAAGTCTGCCTCCCAGGTACAAGCGATTCTCCTGTCTCAGCCTCCCAAGTAGCCCAGATTACTGGCAGGCATCACCACACCCAGCTGTATTTTATATTAGAGATGGGGTTTCACCACTGTTAGTCAGGCTAGTTGCAAACTCCTGATCTCAGGTGATCCACCCGCCTTGGCCTCTCAAAGTGCCGAGATTACAGGCATGCACCACCATGCCCAGACTCTTACTGGTCTTTTTAATATGTAAGACAGTGGTACCTTTTTTCCTTTTAGGTTATGAAATGGTCTCTGCAAGATGTTTTGTCCTTGAATTGGAAATTTTTAAGGCTGATATATGCTGGTACTTCATCTTCTATATGTGGACTATAATTTCTTCCCTTAGGATAACTACATAAAGAGACAAAAAAAAGAAAAAAGAGCAAAGATCTGTGCTGTGTCAAGTATGACAGCCATCACTCATGGCTCTCCAGTAGGAGGGAACGACAGCCAGGGCCAGGTTCTTGATGGCCAGTCTCAGCATCTCTTCCAACAGAACCAGGTAGGAGTAAGACTGTGTTGTTTTGAGTACTGTGAAATACAAAATTGTGAAACATGTCCTGAATGATTTGTAAAGTAATCATAAAATATGTGGTTATTTTAAGTTACACGTGAAAAAAGTGACTGTGGGCTAAGTGTGGTAGCTCATACTTGTAATCCCAGCATTTTCAGAGGCTGAAGAGAGAATTGCTTTAGCCCAGGAGTTCAACAGCAGCTTGGGCAACATGGTGAAACCCTGTCTCCCATACAAAAATTAGCTGGGCATGGTAGCACATGCAGATAGTCCCATCTACCTGGGAGGCTGACGCAAGAGCATCACCTGAGCCTGGGAGGTCAAGACTGCAGTGAGCTATGATCGAGGCACTGCACTCCAGTCTGGGTGATAGAATGAGACCCTGTCTCAAAAAAAAAAAGAAAAGAAAAAAAAGTGACTCTGGCATTTAGTGAAAGGAAACCTTGATTACTGTACATGGTTGAGAATGTAGCCCTGTGTTTTTCTGTATCTAAGGTCCCATGTGAATCTGAGGGCAAAAGTATTAAATTAGTCCCTGTAACCTTAGTTATAAGCACAGACTTCAGGCAGCTATTTATATTCAAACCCCACTTTATAAGATTATCTTATGACTCTAACTGCTATAATACCTAAGCCTCAGTTTTCATATCTATAAAACAAGGATAAGTGAAATAATATTTCTAAAAGGTTTAACATAGATTTAATATCAAAGTTCTGTGCTGACCTATTTGGAAATAATTACTTCTTTTACTATACTGTTAGATTTTTTTGTAAGATACATGAAGCTTCTAATGTTAGTAATTTGCCTTTACTTTTTCTTGGCTTTTTTCCTAGGGTGATTCATTAATTGCATTGAGCTAATGTTTTCAGGGTTTTGGCTTTTTAATTCCCATTTGTGTGTTTTTTTTTCCTTTTTCTAAGATTCATTCTTTTGCTTTCTTTAGGTTTTGTTTGCTGTTCATTTTCTAGTTCCTTGAAGTAGTATTTTGTTGATATTTGGATTTATGTTTATGATATATTGGTCTAGTTTTCGTGCAATATATTTGGTTGTTGATGTGAGGGTAATGCTGACCTCATAGAATGGCCTAGAAAGAAAGTATTCCCTTTGCTTCCATCTGGTGGAAAAAAACGGTAGAGAATTGATATATTTGAGAGAATTTACCACTGAGCCTTTCTGGGCATTGTGCTTTCTGTTTCAGAAGATTGTTATTTATTGACTGTTTATTTAGAAAATATTGCCAATTCAAATGATCTGTTTCTTTTCTGAGTTTTGGCAGATTATGTCTTTAAAGGAATTTCTGGTAGGTGTAGAGCTGTTCATAGTATTCCTTTATTATCCTTCAATGCAGCAGCCCCAACCCTTTTAGGACCAGCAACTGCTTTTGTGGAAGACAATTTTTCCATCGATGGGGGGATGTAAAATGGTTTTGGGATGAAACTGTTCCACCTCAGAACATCAGGCATTAGTTAGATTCTCATAAGGAGCATGCACCCTAGATCCCTCACATTGATTCAGTTTACAATAGGGTTCAGGCTCCTGTGACATTCTAATGTGTCTGCTCATGTGGCAGGAGTTGGGGCTCAGGTGCTAATGCTGGCTCACCTGACACTCACCTTCTGCTGTGCAGCCTGGTTCTTAACAGGACACGGACTGGTACCGTCTGTGACCTGAGGCTTGGGGATCCCTTAATGAGTATGGCATCTGTATTATATGTCCCTTGTTTCAATTCTGTAATTAATAATTTGTGTCTTCTTTTTTCTTAGTCTGGCTAGAGGTTTATTGATGTTTTCAAAGAACCAGTGTGTATGGTTTTGCTGATTTTTCTGTTAATTTCTTGTCATTTTCATTCCTGCTGTAGTTTTTTTCTGCTTACTTTGGAATTTGTACTTCTTGATAGTTTTTTTTTTTTAATGGAAGCTTTGATTATTGATTTAAGAGTTTCTTTTTAATATATGCATTCAATGGTATAAATTTTTGTCTTAGTTGTGCTTTTGCTGTATTCCACAAATTTTAAGTTGGATTTTCACTTTGTACAAATTTTATTTTTATTTCTCTTGAGCTTTCTTTCTCTCTGTCTTTTATTTTTCTGTTTTAGACTGAGTCTTGCTGTGTTACCCAGGCTGCAGTGCAGTGGCTTGATCTTGGCTTACTGAAACCGCTGCCTGCTGGGTTCAAGCAATTCTCCTGCCTCAGCCTCCTGAATAGCTGGGATCACAGGTGTGCGACACCACACCTAATTTTTGTATTTTTAGTAGAGATGGGGTTTCACCATGTTGGTCAGGCTGTTCTCGAACTCCTGACCCTTGTGATCCACCTGCCTCAGCCTCCCAAAGTGCTGGGATTACAGGCATGAGCCACTGTGACCAGCCCTTTCTCTTTCTTTCTAAATAACTCACGTTATTTAGAAGTGTGTTAGTAACGAAATATTTTAGGATTTTACAACTGTCTTTTAGTGAGTTCTGGTTTAATGCTATTGTGGCCTGAAAGCATGTGTTTTATTATTTTTATTTTAAATTTATTAAGGTGAGCTTTATGGCCACTGGGCGGGTTATCTTGGTGAATGTTCCCAGTGCACTTAGGAAGAAGGTATACTCACTGTTGTGGGGGAAATAATCTAGAGATATCAGTTAGATCCAGTTGATGGATGACGCTGTTTAGTTTTTTATGTTTCTACTGATATAGTCTGCTGAATCTGTCCATTTCTCATGGAAAAGTGTTGAACTCTCAAACTATCTTAATGGATCAATCTAGTCCTGCTTGCATTTATATCACTTTTTGCCTCACATATTATGGGGCCATATTGTTAGGAGCATATACATTAAAGATATTTCCAGCTTTTTGAATTGACCACATATATAATGTTGTTGTTTATTCCTGATAATTTTCCTTCACTGAAGTTCACTTTGTGAAGTTAGTATAGCTAATTTTCCTTTGTTTTGATTAGTATTAGCTTGGTATGTTTTTCTTCATTCCTTTAATTCTAATCTACATCTTTATATTTAAAGTGGGTTTCCTATGGACAGCATATAGTTGACTTTTGTTTTTTGATCTACTCTGATAATCTTTTAATAGGTATATTTAGGCCATTGATATTGAAGGTGATTATTGATATAGTTGTGTTAGTAACTACACTATTTGTTATTATTCTCCATTTGTTACCCTTATTGTTTGTTACTGTGTCCATTTTTTCTGCCTTTTGTGGTTGTAATTGAACATTCTATATATTTTTTTCTTTTCTAAGCTTATTAATCATAGGCTTTTATTTTTTATTTTTAAATTTTTTAGTGATTGCCCTAGAATTTGCAATATGCATTTATACCAAATCCGTAAGTCCACTTTCCAAAGTGGAGTACATGTACTATCATAACAAAATATCTGTAATTGTTTCCTCCTGTTCTTGTATCATTGCTGTCTTTCATTTCATTTTTACGTAAGCTGTAATCATTGAATACGTTGTTGTTAATGCTATTTTAATTTATTTTATTATTTTTTGAGACAGGCATCACTGTCAACCCAGGCTAGAATGCAGTAACATGATTTTAGCTTACAGTAGTGTTGAACTCCTGGGATCAAGTGTTGTTCCCACCTCAGCCTCCAAGGTAGCTAGGACTACAGGCATGCACCAACATATCTGGCTTTTTTTTTTTTTTTTTTTTAACTTTTGTAGAGGCTCTCACTATGTTTCCCAGGCTAGTCTCAAACTCCTGGACTCAAGCAACCCTCCCACTTGAGCCCTCCCAAGTCACTGGTATTACAGACAAAAGCCACTGTGCCCAGCTGCTAATTTTATTTTAAAGAAACCATTATGTCTTAGATCATTTAAGATAAAAAGAAGAGTTTTTATGTTACCTTCATGCATTACTTACAGAATGCTTTTCTTTTGAAGATGTTTCTGTTGTATATCATTTTTCTACTCTCAGAAAAACTTGCAGAGCAGATACATTGACAACAAATTCTCTTAACTTTTGTCTGAGCAAGTTTCTATTTCTCCACTTTTTAAGTATACTTTTGCAGAATACAGAATTCTAGATAGGTAGTTGTTTTCTCTCAACACTTATAGATATTTTATTCCAGTCTCTTGCTTATATGATTTCTTAGACCAAACCCAGTGTAATTCTAATCATTGCTTTGCTTATAGGTAAGATGTTTGCCTGTAGCATGTTTCAAACTTTTTATTTTTCATCTTCTGCAATTTGAATGTATTTCTAGATGTACTCTTTTTTTTGTTTTTGTTTTTTTTTTGGCATTTATCTAGCTTGGAATTCTCTGAGCTTCCTGAATCTCTTGTTTATTGTATGGCACTAATTTGGGGACTTTTTTAGTTATAATTGCTTCTTTTTTTTTTTTTTTTTTGGAGGCGGAGTCTCGCTCTGTCACCCAGGCTGGAGTGCAGTGGTGTGATCTCGGCTCACTGCAACCTCCACCTCCCAGGTTGAAGCGATTCTCCGGCCTCAGCCTCCTGAGTAGCTGGGATTACAGGCACGTGTCACCACGCCTGGCTAATTTTTGTATTTTTAGTAGAGACAGGGTTTCACCATGTTGGTCAGGCTGGTCTCAAGCTCCTGACTTCATGATCCGCCCACCTCATCCTCCCAAAGTGCTGAGATTACAGCCATCGTGCCAGGCCAATTTTTTTTTTTTAATTTTCAGCCTATTTTTCTCTGCTCTTCAGTGTTCAAAGTCTAATTTTTTAACGAGTGCATCATTAAAATGCACAGGAATGAAGGCATTCTTCATTCCTGTTGCAGTGTTTTTGATCTATACTGTATTACCTTGAATCTTTTTTAGAATTTCTCTCTCTTTGCTTACATTAACTACCTTCTCATGTCATCTACTTTATTCATTAGAGCCCTTAGTGCATTAATGGTAGTTATATTTCCATCTGATAAATCTTTTTATTTGGAGACAGGCTATCACTGTGTTTCCCAGGCTGGAGTGCGGTGGCGGGATCTTGGCTCACCACAGTCTCTCCCTCGTGTGCTGAAGCTATTCTCCCATGTCAGCCTCCCAAGTAGCTGAGACTACAGGCATGTGCTACCACGCCTGGCTGATTTTTGTGTTTTTTTTTTTTTTTTTTTGTAGAGATGGGGTTTTACCATGTTGCCCAGCCAAGTCTTGAACTCCTGGATTCAAGCTACCCACCTGCAATCGCCTCCCAAAGTGCTGGCATTACAGGCTTGAGTCACTGCGTCCGGCCTCCATCTGTTAAATCTAACATTCCTGTTACATCTGAGTATGAATTTGATGCTTGCTCTGTCTCTTCAAACAGTTTTTTTGTCTTTTAGTATGCATTGTAATTTTTTCTTCAGAGATGCACATTAAGTACTATGTAGAAAGGAACTTTGGCAGATGGGCTCTAGTAATGTACTACTGGTAAGGTATTCGGGTAGGGGAAGCAATCTGTAATCTTACGATTAAGTCTCAATGTCGTAGTGAGCCTGTGGCCTTTGGGCTGTGGCTTAGATGGAACATGATGGGTATAGGGAGCTGGAATTGGAGTTTTTAGTTCTACCATGTAGAATGCTGTAGCAGGCTAGAGTTGAGTATTTTTTTTCCTTTAGGTCTCTTAGTCATTAAAAAACCTCAGTAGTATAAACTAGTTTCTCTTGAGGGCTTTCTTTTAACAGAACAGAATGTCCTTATGTATTTCAAAATGGCTACTTTGCATCTTTCCCTCCGAGAAGCTCAAGGGACTTTTTTCTTATCTTTTCAGGGAAAGGTTAAAAAAAAAATTGTTCATTCCCATAAAATTTGGCTTCTTAGTAGTTTTTTTTTTTTTTGAGAGGGAGTCTCGCTGCGTTTCCCAGGCTGTGGTGCAGTGGTGCGATGTCGGCTCACTGCAACCACCGCCTCCCAGGTTCAAGCAATTCTCTGCCTCAGCTTCCTGAGTAGCTGGGAATACAAGCACCACCACCCCTAGCTTATTTTTGTATTTTTAGTAGAGATGGAGTTTTACCATCTTGGCCAGGCTGCTCTTGAACTCCTGACGTCATGATCCACCCACTTCAGCCTCCCAAAGTGTTGGGATTACACAAGTGAGCCACCACGCCCAGCCTCTTAGTGGTTTTTAACTTGCATTGCATACTTCCCACCATGAGCCTTCAATAATTCTTTAATTACAGTTTAGGTTATCATACCTTGGGACTGGTTGCCACAGAGGTTTAAGATCTACTCAGATTGTCTATTTCTTTATAACTTGTTCTTGGCGTAGATTGTATGCCTCTGGGAATTTGTCCTTTTATCCAGGTCATGCAGTTTGCTGAGATACAGTGGTTTATAGGATGCACTGATAATCCTTAACTTTTTTGTATAAAATTCATTAATGCCTCTTTTATTTTTAATATTAATTATTTGACTCTTCTCTTTTTCTTAGTCAATCTAGCTAAAGGTTTAGCAGCTCTTTATTTTTTTCAGGAACAGAATTTTGATTTCATTGGTTTTTCTTAGTTGTTTTTCTAGTCTCTATTTTGCTTACATCTGTGCTCGCTTTTGCTTTAATGTGTCACTTAATGAAGGCATATGTTCTGAGAAATGCATTGTCAGGTGATTTCACTGTCTTGCAAACATCATAGTGTGCTTACACAAACCTGGATGGTATAACCTACTACACATGTAGGCCAGTTATTGCCCTAGGCTACTAACCTGTTAGCATGAGTTGAATATGGTAGGCAATTGTAATACAATGGTAAGTTCTAAACAGAAAAAATTTAGTAAAAATGGACTATTGCAATATTATGAGATGACCATTGTATATTTAGTTCATCTTGAATGAAATGTTTTGTGGAGCATGGATGTATTTTGTTATTCTTTTAGTTCTTTAAGGTGCAAATTTGGTTGTTGATTTGAGATCTTTTTTTAAAGTACTTTATAAGGTTTCCTCAGCACTGGTTCTGCTCTATCCCATAAATTTGGCATTTTTTCATTTTCATTTGCCTCACATATTATATAGTTTCTATAGGATTTCTCCTCTTTGATGGATGGGCCATTTAAGATGTATTGTTTAAATTCTACTTATTTATGAATTTTTCAGTTTTTCTTCTGCTATTGCTTTCTTTTTCTATTTTTGAGGCGGAGTCTCGCTCTGTTGCCCAGGCTGGAGTGCAGTGGTGTCATCTCAGCTCACTGGAAGCTCCGCCTCCTGGGTTCACGCCATTCTCCTGCCTTAGCCTCCCAAGTAGCTGGGACTACAGATGCATGCCACCACGCCCGGCTAATTTTGTTTTTGTATTTTTAGTAGACAACGGGGTATCACCGTGTTAGCCAGGATGGTCTTGATCTCCCGACCTCATGATCTGCCTGCCTCGGCCTCCCAAAGTGCTGGGATTACAGGCGTGAGCCCCCACGCCCGGCCTCTTCTGCTATTGATTTCTACTTTAATTGTATCCTGATCTGAAAAGAAACTTTTTATGAGTTAAGTCTTCCTATATTTGTTAAGATTTGTTTTGTGGCATTACGTATCCTGATGCATGTTCCATGTGCCCTTGCAAAGAATGTGTATTCTGCTACTGTTGTGTATGTAGAGCAGGAATCCCTAGTCCCCAGGTCGGACCAGTACCACACTGTGGCCTGTTAGGAAGCAGGTCGTACAGCAGAAGGTGAGCATCAGGCTGGTGAGCGAGCATTACCATCTGAGCCCCAACTCCTGTCAGATCAATGGCAGCATTAGATTCTCATAGGAGCATGAACCTTACTGTGAACTATGCATGTGAGGGATGTAGGTTGCGTGCTCCTTATGAGAAATCTAGTATCTCATGATCACAGGTTTCATCCTGAACCCTCCCACCCCTCAACTGGCTCCATCCATGGAAAAATTATTAATTATTGTTGTTAATCTCTTACTGTGCCTGATTTATGAACTTTAACTTTATCATAGATATGTATGGATAGGCTTGACTGTGACTGTGGTGGGTCCATTTCCACAATGGTTTCCTCACATGGCGGTTGGGTAGAGGCCTGTTTCTTAACCATGCGGATCCCCTCGTAGGGCTGCCTGAGTGACTTCAGACATGGCAGTTAACCTCTGCCAGAGAAATTGACCTAAAAGAGAGGGAAGAAAAAGCCATGATACCTTTCATGACCTAGACTCACAAATCACATTGTCATTTCCAAAGTATCCCTATCTGTACGTTCTAGGCCAGAAACACACCTAAGGGTTATGTTCATATGACATCATTAATCTGAAAGTTTACTTACATTATTATTACCTTTCCATTTTAGAGAATATAACTATTTTCTCACTGGCCAGAATGGGGTTGGTTAATTCAAGCTTAGAGACTGTTGAATCAGAGATAGGTAAGATTCAGTGGTCTTCTATTTTGTTCTTCCTTTTCAGTAGACCATAGTGGGGCTCTTCCCATTGTTTCAGTGAAACAATGGTGAAATGTTTCACTCTCTTCTTTGGAGGCCACCATTAGGTTTTATTATTCCCAACTATGGCATAATATCCTGATAGGAAATCCTGATTTCCTATATCCTGATAGGAAATCAAACTTTCTGCTTCAAGCCTTGTAAATAATGTGTTAAAGTTATGCTGAAGCTCATCTTCCCACACTTTCTGTGACTTTCCACACTTTCCGTGATTTTCCACCTGCATCTGCAGTGGATTTTGAGCTAGTTTTGAGCCTGCTGCCCATATCCACTGTAGGCAGAATTGTATTGGAATGAAATCATTAATCGCAGTTATCTTGTCTATATGTTTCTGGAGTATTCCGTTTTTCTTACCCAGGTAGCTTCTGCAGTTTTTTAAGCAAGCAACTAATTTTAGCCACTTCTCAGTTATAGGCAGATGCAGTAATCTGTTGCTAAGTATCACATCTGACTTGGAAGTTGAAACCCACGTGCATGTGCTTTTTGTTTCTCTTGCTTTTTAAATTTCTATTTGTTTGGCTACAGACAGTAAACGTCACTTGGTTTATACATAATGTATGCATAATATACAGGTATTGGGTTTGACAAATGAAAGACTGTAACCAGCAGTATAATGAACATGTAAAATACAAAAATTTATTTGCACTGCCCTTGTATATTTAAGTCTTCCATTTTCAGTTCCTGGCAACTGCTGATCTGCTCTTCATTTGTATGTTTTGCCTTTTTCTTTTTCTTTTGTTTCCTTAACTAGAGATAGGGTCTCCCTATGTTGTCCAGGCTGGTCTCAAACTCCTGGGTTTAATCAGTCCTCCCATCTTCACCTCCCAAAATGCTGGTATTACGGATGTGAGCTACCATACCGCATAGTTTGTCTTTTCTAAATCATGCTGACTTAATCTTTCGAGATTTTGCATTATGCATTTAGTATTCTTCCATATTGTTACATGCAACAAAAGTTTTTTCCTGTCAATTGCTGAGTAGTATTTTATTGCATAAATGTACTAGTTTGTCCATTTGCCTGTTGAAGGACAGTTGGGTGACTGAAAGACTGAAAAAGAAATAAATAACTATAATTTCAGTTTCTGAGTACAGACTTGTAACCACCAGTATAATGGTTCTGAGTACAGAAACTGATATTACAGTTTTAAAATCTTGCAATAAAGAAAACATAGGAAAGTTCTATTAAACATTTAAGAAATGAGGTCAATTCTATACAGTCCTCTTCCAGACATACTTTTCAATTTCATCTTCCTAAAACATAATTGGTATTTGTAAGGAAGACATTTATGTGTTGCTTAAGTTAAATATTTTAATCTCTTTAATTATGAGGTGTTAATTCTTGATGTTTTGAGGAATCCAGCTTCATTGCCTTTTCTTATTTGTCTCTCTCAAGGGAAACTGAGGAAGAAGAAGAGTAACAGCAATAGGAACCTGTAATCCCTAGTTAGGAATTTTTGTGTCTAAACTATTGGTTATTATTAAGGAACGAAGAGTTTTTTTGGAACAGATTGTGAATCTATAATTATAATCTATAATCTAAGTTTAAAAAAGTAGGTTTGTACAGAATTTATGTAGTATATAGTCAAACTAAATTATTAGAACCTAAATTGATGAAGACACTGTAAACACAAAGGTGCATGTGAGGGTGAAGATTAGTGTTATCTTTGATAATGTAGTTTGGGAATATAGCCTTAAAAGGAATAGTTTATCTTGTTTAGTTAGTCATTACTTCAGTATCCTATCCTTAAGGAGATAATTCATAAGGTTTATTATGAATGTATTTATTAACAGTAAACATGACAAAAACATATCCTCTAATTTTTACTTAGTCAACTCATGCAGTAATGTGTTGCCATTAAATTTGTTTTTTTTTTTTTTTTTGAGACATAGTCTCACTCTTTCACCCAGGCTGGAGTGCAGTGGCGTGATCTCGGCTCACTGCAAGCTCCGCCTCCCGGGTTTAAGCCATTCTCCCGCCTCAGCCTCCGAAATAGTTGGGACTACAGGCGCCCGCCACCATATCCGTTTTTGTTTTTGTAATTTTAGTAGAGACAGGGTTTCACCATGTTAGCTAGGATGGTCTCAATCTCCTGACCTCATGATCTGCCCGCCTTGTCCTCCCAAAGAGCTGAAATTACAGGTGTGAGCCACCACACCCGGCCGCCATTAGTTAATTTTTAAGATTCTTAATTGGCCGGGTGCGGTGGCTCACGCCTGTAATCCCAGCACTTTGGGAAGCGGAGGTGGGTGGATCACCTGAGGTCAGGAGTTCCAGACCAGCCTGAACAATACGGTGAAACCCTGTCTCTACTAAAAATACAAAAAATTAGCCGGGTGTGGTGGCGGGTGCCTGTAATCACAGCTACTCAGGAGGCTGAGGCAGGAGAATTGCTTGAACCCAGGAGGCAGAGGTTAGTTACAGTGAGCCGAGATTGCACCACTGCACTCCAGCCCGGGTGAGACAGAGTGAGACTCCATCCCCCACCCCAAAAAAGATTCTTAATCATGAGGGAAAATACTTCTGTATTAACCAAATTAAATTTTAAAAAGATAAACATTGTGACCCTAGTTTTATTAAATATTTGGGCATATATATGGATACTTAAAAATAGATATTTTTCCTTAATCTGTGGTTTAAATTTGGAATATTTAATTTTTAATTAAGACTTCATCACCTGATTCTTCCAATGAGAATTCCGTAGCAACTCCTCCTCCAGAGGAACAAGGGCAAGGTGATGCCCCACCACAGCATGAAGATGAAGAGCCTGCATTTCCACATACTGAGCTGGCAAACCTGGATGACATGATCAACAGGTGCATTTGTTTGGATTTGTTTTATTAATGGATGCAGTAAACTAGAAAAGCAAAACTACTTCCAGCATTGCAACTAGTAGTAAATGAGAAAAAGAAAAGAGTAGATTGTAGTGTCTCAAGTCTTACTATTTTAATAGCCTGAACATTTTAGTCCTAGCTGAACACTTTGCAGCTCATTGTACTTAATGCAGGCATTTCTTATGGATTTTAAATATTGGAAGGTAATGACAATATGAATACAGTTTCAGATTAATGATGCTTTATGAACCCTTCCTGTGTTTCTAGCCTAGACAAATAGGTAGGTATTTTGTTTTGAATGTTTACAAACATTTCTCTTTGATAAGAACTTTATACCAGAGTTCTGGAGAACTTTTCTCACTTGTGGAATGTCCATTTGCTACAGCAGAGACCTTATTGCAGAAGGTTGTATTGCTTCTTTCTCTGTTTTGTTTAGCGGTTGCTGATTTCTGTTAGAGTGTATTTTTCATAAGGACTAGAGAACTGAAACTGTTAGTAAATCCTTAGTGGCAGACAGAAAAGATTTTTTTTTTTGTATATATAAAAGCAACAAAAAGGATAGAATCAGTTTACCTTTAATAGATTATATGTATTGAGGCATCTTTTTAAAAACGAAAAGAGATATTTGGGAATTTTGCTGTTTCTTAGTACAGGGATTAAGGGACAGGTGAAAGAAAGTTATTTCTGGGGAGTAGTGGGTTTGTCAGTAGACATAGTTGCAGAAAGCTGAACTTTTTACAAAAGTAAGGAATGTACCAGGTGAGTGTGTGGTGCCCTTTGCATCACTTTTTAATGTGGGAGTGTACTTAAGATGGCATAGTGGCTTTCTGTATTGCCTTTTGATATGGGAATGTACGTATGACAGTAGGTTTAGAGGCCCACACCTGAGACGTGATCTTTAGGAAAAGGTGAGATAAATGTTTTGTTGAGATCTAATTTCTTTTGTCTTTGTGAAGAGGAGTAAAACAAAACACTTGCCACAGTGTGTCCTTTCACTAATAAATATGAGCCCCCAAAGAGCGTTTTCCTACTAATAAAAGGTATACATTTAATTGATAATTGTATAGGTTAGTTTTAGTATTCTAGAGAAGCTATTAAAAGAATTCCCTGCCATTGCTATATCTCATTTGACAGTGCCTAAAAAAATTCAGTATATAGACACAATAGATGTCTCTTAGTTTTCCAATGTAGATAATTTGCCTACTTCTTTTTAGAAGTCTATATGGTGAATATAATATAGGCAGAATTTCTCACTTTTTCATAGTAACAGTAACTATGGTAGGTAACTTATTTATAGTGTTCCTTTACTATGAAACCAGTAAAGCCTCTTTTTGTTTTATAATAATCCTTAGGCCTCGATGGGTGGTTCCTGTTTTGCCAAAAGGGGAATTAGAAGTGCTTTTAGAAGCTGCTATTGATCTTAGTGTAAAAGGTGAGTGTGGATGTACATTTTCTATAATACGTGCTCCTATATATACTTACACCTTGTTCTTAAAGGCTTTTCATCCCTCTGTTATAAAGGTACTGTTTATTCCTAGTTTATAATGTGTCACAAACCTTCCTGGTAAGGATTATTTTACATATATACATGCATATTATATATACTTATTACACACACACACACACACATATATATATATACACACACACAGACAAATATACATACTTCCCTATAGTAAAGGTTCATAGAAATCTTTAGATAGCCTTTAGGGATACCTGGAGCCATTTAAGTATTATGTATAATTTTATGTGTACAACCATATTTCTAAGGTGAGAATATATATTTTTTAAATTTTTAAAAAGATTGTTATCCAGAAGTTAGAAAATATTTTCCAGAATATGAGGAGGGGATATAGCTCAGGGTTAGAGCATCAGACTGCGGACCAAGAAAATATTTTCCAGAATATGATAGTTCTAAAGTCTGCTATATGAAGTAATGTGCATTAAAGCATATTTTACAGTTTACAAAGTGCTGCATAGAGGGTTTATTGTATGACATCATATATATTTGGTGACCTTTTTACACTTAAGTCACATGTGATTGAGAAATATGTTAATTTGTGATTGAGAAGTATGTTAATTTGTAAATAATTTTGCCAATTATTTTTATTTATTTTATTTTATTTTTTTGAGATAGATTCTTACTTTGTCACCCAGGCTGGAGTCAGTGGCGTGATATCAGCTCACTGCAACCTCCGCCTCCTAGGTTCAAGTGATTCTCTAGCCTCAGCCCCCCAAGTAGCTGGGATTACAGCAATGAGCCACCACACCCGGCCAGCCCCATCTATTTGTTTTTTACATGCAAATCACTATTTCACTAATATTGAGTGTATATGTTTAGTAAACTGTCTAGCTTACATATTTAGCTTTTTTTTCTTCTTAACACAGAGTTGAAGCGTTTTTCTTAAAAAGAAAAACGTCTTAAAAGATGAAGCCTTAATATAAAAAAAAAAAGCAACCTATGAAGAAAATTTGATATTTTTACTCTCAGCCACAAGTAAAAGCTTTGGGTTTGAATGAAGCATTTTGGATGATTTTGTTGTAATAATAGGTGCAATAAAATTCATGGATGAGCCATTTTTGTA
Organism: Homo sapiens; assembly: GCF_000001405.40. NCBI lineage: Eukaryota > Metazoa > Chordata > Mammalia > Primates > Hominidae > Homo > Homo sapiens. Next base: position 12,723,341 of record NC_000024.10, read on the forward strand.
ATATTTTGTATTATTTTATTTTTATTTTATTTTATTATATTTTATTTTATTTTATTTTTTTTTTTTTTGAGACAGAGTTTCACTCTGTCTCCCAGGCTGGAGTGCAGTAGGGCGATCTTGGCTCACTGCAAGCTTCGCCTCCTGGTTCATGCCATTCTCCTGCCTCAGCCTCCCGGTAGCTGGGACTACAGGCGCCCACCACCATGCCTGGCTAATTTTTTGTATTTTTAGTAGAGACGGGGTTTCACAGTGTTAGCCAGGATGGTCTTTATCTCCTGACCTCATGATCCGCCCACCTCGGCCTCCCAAAGTGCTGGGATTACAGGCGTGAGCCAGCGCCCCCGGTGAATACTGTGTATTTTTTTAAGGACTTGAAAGCTGTAAGAAGGGTCAGAAGTATTTAATTTTTGTGTCATTCAGCAGGAACTTAACTGTCAGTGTTGTTAGACAAATTTTTAATTCCTTTGGTATCCTGTAAAGTGTTTCTGTTGCCGAGTCTGACTCTGTGGTGGTATTGATAATTTCATTTAACTAATAACTATCCTACTGTCATTTAACGACTGTTATGTTGTTTTACTGATCTTACCAATATGTGATCTAGTGACCTCTGAAAATATTTTACCAGATTGAAAATATTTCTCCTCATTTAAATTTCTTTTGTTAATTGCATATTTATTAATTGAGCAAATGTCAAGGACTTCTGTACTAGGTATGTTCTAGGGTCTAACACTACAAAATGAACAAAAACTGGAAATGGTATTTCATTTCATAGCATTGATATTCAGTGGATGTATGTCATTTGCAGGGACTTTTCCTCTGTTATTCTGAGATCGTGATTACTGTAAGATAAAACTAGTTTAAATGATAGAGTAGTATGTATATAATTCAAATCAAAATATATCTCCTTGTACATATTTAATATGTTTTGAGTTGCTTTAAGAGTTACAGGTTTTCTGGCTGGGTGCAGTGATCCTGTAATCCCTGTAATCCCAGCACTGTGGGAGGCCAAGGTGGGAAGATCACCTGAGGTCAGGTGTTTGAGACCAGCCTGGCCAATATGGCAAAACCCTGTCTGTACAAAAACTACAAAAAGTAGCCAGGCATGGTGGTGCATGCCTATAATCCCAGCTACTTGAAGGCTGAGGCAGGAGAATTTTTTAAACCTGGGAAGTGGAGATTGCAGTGAGCTGAGGTTGTGCCACTGTACTTCAGTCTGGGAAATAGAGCAAGACTCTTCAACAGAAAACACTTGTAAGTTTTATTTTTTGATAGAGGCACATGGATCTTGCTTTTCTTAAATCAGGTAAAGGTAAAAAGAAAAAAGAAACTTAAGATTTGCCTCTTAAATTTGATGATAAATGGGCAATTTACCGGGAAAAATCAGATTTTTTAATTGTCACTTTTTAATTTTCACAGATTTTTTACTGTATTTCAGTAATTAAAATTCTATGAAATGGTTCAATTCCCTGTCTACTAGTGAACATTCTTTTTCTGATGTCATATTTTCAAGCTGTTTCATTGAGTTACATTACTTGATTTGATGTAGTTTATACAACTGTTTCTAAAATTTCCTGAATATTATATTTCCTTCCTTTTTCTGAAATCCCATGTTTTTTCACCTTTTTAACATTTTATAATGTCATGTCTCATTTCAAAAGCCACAACACTATTTGTGAATTGGAGACCATAATAGTTTCTAGCAATTTACTATGTTTAATCATAATTGGCCAAATAATTTTTTTTAAACATTCTTTGTTTGGCTCGTTTTTTAGGCCTTGATGTTAAAAGTGAAGCATGCCAACGTTTTTTTCGAGATGGACTAACAATATCTTTCACTAAAATTCTTATGGATGAGGCTGTGAGTGGCTGGAAGTTTGAAATTCATGTGAGTCTTGTATTTCATTTCTGGGACTCAGATTTACATGGTGATTCCTGTGGATTTGTTTTTGAAAAATACTTCTGTGCGTAACATATTAACATATCAAGTCTGCTGATATATACTGCATAATTGAAGGTTAGCATGGTCTTTAAGAATGAGCTTGCGGTTTTGATTTAGTAAACCTTTGTTTAACCTGTCCCCTGAAATTTCAACAACCTTGTAACCTTACACACAACACAGTGTATTTCATCAAATGCAAGATAGTATTGATTGGAAGAGGCACTACTATTTTGTAGCACTTGAGGTCAAAAATACTTAAGCAGACTCTCAATGTAGCTGGGATAACAAAGGATATAATTTCAGTGCAAATGTAAATGGTAAAGAAACTCACTATGCACAAATGTAAAGCAAAGAAACTATTTTCCAGAGTATAATAGTTCTAAAGTCAGTTATGTAATGTGCAGAGAATGAAAGAAAGAAGATTGGTAGAGAAAGAAGACCCCCTGTCTTGGAAATTTAGACCAGAAACCAGTATTCACACAATTTTGTGATACGAATTCATACTTAGAGTTTTGATGCCAAAAAAGTCAAATAGAATTTAATACATTCTCAGATTAGCAGTATCTTCAAGTGACAGGTAAAAGGAAACACAAGTAATCTCAGGTAATATTGCAAATCTAGTACCTAGGTATATATTGCAGTCTGCCAACTATCTTGATTCTATTATAAGATACCTTCATATTTCAGAGATTTTAAAAATGACAAAAACTAAAGTATCTTTACTGAATTACTGTACATACTTCAGGCCTCTGGTTCTTTTTTAGAAAATGCAGTTAACCAAAAGTTATGAATCAAATATATACTTTTTGATGACCTCAACCTAAAAAATACAACTTAGACATTTTCCACAAATGACCATGGCATGCATATGCCAGCAGCTCTGAATTGACCTATAACTTTTTTGTAGGGGTGGAAATTGAAATTTTGAAAATATGTGACTTTTGAGTTGAGATGTTGATAACAAAACTTTAAAGGTTTCCTCTAAAGTACAAATTCCAGAGAGAAAAGTGGCAATTTGTGTGTCCTGTAGACATAAAGCAGAAATAGACAAACTGTGGTACCTACTTTATTTGTTACATTTCTCAAATAGCTTTTGAAATTAAGTGCAAATTTATGAAATAAATATTAATTTATCTTTACCAATGTATTACTTTGATCCCAATATTAGTGAAATTATGCAGAATTAAGATGACCAGTGCAGAAAAATGGAAAGAGATTATTAATAAAAATTAAATGTGTTTGAAATTGCAATGTGTTCTTATTATAAACTGTATCATATCCTATCCATGTAACAGAGATGTATTATTAACAATACTCATCGCCTAGTGGAGCTTTGTGTGGCCAAGTTGTCCCAAGATTGGTTTCCACTTCTAGAACTTCTCGCCATGGCCTTAAATCCTCACTGCAAGTTTCATATCTACAATGGTACACGTCCGTGTGAATTAATTTCCTCAAATGCTCAGTTGCCTGAAGATGAATTATTTGCTCGTTCTTCAGATCCTCGATCACCAAAAGTGCGTTGGTTTGTTATTTTCAAGATTAAATATTAATTTTTTTATTTGCATTTGCCACAGACCATTAGTGATGTGAACCTGTCTTTAAATAATGATCAAGTCAATACATAGTCTTGTTTTATGTGGATTTCTGTTTAAAGACCTATTATTTAATATGTATAACCTTGAACTCATGGTCAATAACCATATAACTCATGCCTGAACAGGGTTTATTATGTATTGATTGGTTGAATATGCTCCTTGGAGCATAGTGTTTGTGTTTCTGTGAGGAGAAGTCAGTATTTGCTAATTCATTGTTCACAGCTACTTCAGAGACTGTAATTACTGCAAATAAGCATGGGCTGTTCTTTGTTTGTACTGTGTGTATATATTTATTAAAGCAGCAGAATGCTTACATATATTTACAGACTGTATAACCTCAGTGAGATTTAAAAATTGTACCATTTTGCTTTCATGACATACCATTAGGCGTTTCCTGTAATGCCTAATTTTCTTAGGAGAAGATGGTTCAGTGTTCAACAGCTAAATCTTGGATCATGTAAGTAATCTTTGTAGTTGTACCTCAAAGGGAAGTTAGATCTGCTTTATACTTGCCAGAATTAACAATTTTTCTCAAGGAAGCGGGATAGAAGACAGCAAAATCTAATTACACATCAAAAAGCCAGAAAAGAAAAAAACAGCCAAAACCACTGCACTAGCAGTCAAAGCTATGGAAAAGTCACCCAATTTTGTATATTTTCACTTTAATGTGTCAGTATCTTTAATATTACTGTAGTGGCTATTTCATATCTCAAAGTCAGTTTGATCATATTAAATTCAATTAATATTTAGCGCATGAAAAAAAAACTTAACCAGCAACAGAAAAAGAAAATAGAACGTGGCTTTAGCAAGTATACTGCATATGCACATGTGCGTGTGCTCACACACACACACACACACACAAACTCGCAGAATCCAAAAAGATAAAATAATACAGAATTCCTTTAAATAGTATAAAATTTTTGTGAACAGACATAATTTACTTTTTTCTTTCCCATTGGTTCACATTGGATAAATCCTATTACTGCTTTTTCTTGTGTTACCTCCACAGGTAGGAGGACTTAATTAGTGTATTGAATAGAAATAGTGAAAGGAGGCATTCTTGATTGTTCCTGATCTTAGATAAACAGCTTTCAGTCTTTCATCATAGAGTATGATGTTAGCCAAGAGCTTTTTACATAAAGTCTTTATTATGTTAATGTCAATTATTTCTGTTCCTCATTTGTTTAGTGGTTTTATCATTGTGGTGGTAAATTTTGTCAAAGCTTTTTCGGCATTGATGGCCATGATCATGTGATTTTTTTCCTTTCATTCTCTTCAGATTGTGTGTCGTATTGATCAATATTTGTATGTTGAAGTGTCTTTCATTCCAGGAAAAAAATAACTTGGTCATGTATATAATCTCTTTAATATGTTTTAAATTTTGTTGCTATTATAGTATTGCAGAATTTTGCATCAATATTTATAAGGGAGATTAGTGTGTAGGGTTTTTTTTTTTTGTAATTTCTTTGTCTTGTTTTGATGTTCAGGGTAATGCTGTCTTCATAGATGAGTTTGGATATGTTCTTTCCTCCTCAGTTTTTTGGAAGACTGTGAGGATGATTGGTCTTAATTCTTCAAGTATTTGGTAGAATTCCCCCAGTGAAGTGATTGGGTTTTGTTTGGGCTTTTCTTTATGGGGGTATTTTTGATTGCTGATTCTGTCTGATTAGTTATGGGCCTATTCAGGTTTTCTATTTCTTCATGGTTGCGTCTTGGGTAGATTGTATATTTCTATAAAGTTGTCCTCCTATCTAGGTTATCCAGTTTTTTAGGATGCAGTGGTTCTTAGTACTCTCAGATGGTTTTTTATTTCTATAATATACATAGTAATGTCTCCTGTTTTGTTTCTGCTATTAGTTATTTGAGTCTTCTCTCTTTTTCTTAGTCAAACTGGCTAGAGGTCTGGCAATTTCTTTATTTTTTCAAGAACCAAATTTTGGTTTTGTTGTTTTTCTGCTCTGTTTGCTAATCTCTTGGCATTTATATTCTTCTGCTATCTTTGGGTTTATTTTGTTACCCTTTTTGTAGTTATTTTTTGTTTGTTTGTTTTTGTTTTTGAGACAGTCTTGCTCTGTCGCCCAAGCTGGAGTGCAGCGGCATGATCTCAGCTCATTGCAACCTCTGCCTCCCATCCTGTGCCTCAGCCTCCATAGCTGCTGGGGTTAACAGGTGCTCACCACAATACCCGGCTGATTTATGTATTTTTAGTAGAAAAGAGGTTTCACCATGGTGGTCAGGCTGGTCTCAAACTCCTGACCTCAGGTGATCTGCCCACCTCAGCCTCCCAAAGTGCTGGGATTACAGGCGTGGGCCATTGCTCCCAGCTTCTTTTTGTAGTTCTTTAAGGTATAAATTTTCGGTTGTTGATTGGAGATCTTTTTTAAAAAATCCTCTGTACTATGAAGTTCTCTCTTCGCACAGCTTTTGCCGCATCTCATAAGTTTGATATGTTTTCATTTTTATTTGCCTCAAATATTATACTTTCTGTTGGAGTTCTCCTCCTTGATCGATGGGTCGTTTAAGATGTGTTGTTTAATTTCTCCTTATTTATGGATTTTTCAGTTTTTATTTTTTTTTATTTTTTGAGATGGAGTTTCGCTTTTTCACCCAGGCTAGAGTGCAGTGGTGTGATCTAGGCTCACTGCAACCTCCACCTCCTGGGTTCAGGCAATTCTCATGCCTCAGCCTCCGGAGTAGCTAGGATTACAGGTGTGTGGCACCACGCCCAGCTAATTTTTTCTATTTTTAGTAGAGATGGGGTTTGACCATGTCGGCCAGGTTGGTCTTGAACTCCTGAGCTCAAGTGATCCACCTGCCTTGGCCTCCCAATGCACCTGGCTGATTTTTCAGTTTTTCTTCTGCTGTTGATTCCTAGTTTCCTTGCATCCTGATCTGGAAAGATAGTTTGTATGAGCTCAGTCTTAAATATGTTAAGATTTGTTTTGTTTGTTATGTAATGTATCCTGATGGATGTTCTAAGTGCACTTGACGAGAATGTTTATTCTGCTACTTTTGTGTAGAGTGTTCCATAAATGTTTATTAGGTCAACTTGTTCTCTAGTGTTGTGCAAGGCCTTTTTTTCCTTATTTTTTTTTTTGGAGACAGGGCTTTGCTTTGTCACCCAGGCTGGAGTATAGTGGTGCCATCTCAGCTCACTGCAATCTCTGCCTCCCAGGCTCAAGCTGTTCTCCTGCTGTGTAGCTGGGATTACAGGCACCCGCCACCATGCTTGGCTCAGTTTTGTATCTTTAGTGGAGACAGAGTTTCACCATGTTGGCCAGTCTGGTCTTGAACTTCTGATGACAAGTGATCCTCCCACCTCGGCTTATTGACATTTTGTCTGATTGTTTACTGATTATTGGAAATATGGTATTGAAGTGTCTGACTAATTTTGTATAACTTTCTCTCTAGGTCTCATAATGTTTGCTTCACACAGTCAGCAGTTCTGAAGTTTGGTGTATGCATATTTATAATTGCAGTGAATTCACCCTTTTATGATCATATAACATCCTTTTTTGCCTCTTGTGAGAGGATGCTACCTAAAATTTATTTTGCTTCATATTAGCAAAACGTTCTCTTTTAGTTACTGTTTGTGTGGATTTTTTTTTTTTTTTTTTTTTGAGACAGAGTCGCTCTGTTGCACAGGCTGGAGTGCAGTGGTGCAATCTTGGCTCACTGCAAACTCTGCTTCCCAGATTCAAGTGATTCTCATGTCTCGGCCTCCCAAGTAGCTGGGAGTGTGCACCACGATGTATGTACCACCATGCCCTGCTAATTTTTGTATTTTTAGTAGAGACGGGCTTTTGTCATGTTGGCCAGGCTGGTCTCAAACTCTTGACCTCAGGTAATCTACCCACGTCGGCCTCCCAGATGTTTTGTATTCTTAGCTTTCAAGTTGTGTGCATCCTTATATTTAAGTGAGTCTTTTGTAGACAGTTTATCTTGGATTCTGTTTTTGTTTTTTAAATCTATTCTGCCAATCTGTATCATTTGGTTGGGAAGTTGAACCTACTTTATATTCAGAGTAATTAGTGATAAAGAGGATTTACCACTGCCATTTTGTTGTTTTCTGATGTCTTACAGCTTTTTTTCTGTATAATTTTCTTACCTACTGACTTTATCTTCATAATTTCAATTCTTCAGATTGTCTTTTACAGACATGTTGTGATTCTTCTCATTTCCTTTTAGGCATATTCCATAAACATGTTTTTCCTGGTTACCATGGAGATTACATAGGGGCATACCTTGGAGATAGTATTGCAGGTTGAGTTCCAGACCACTGCAATAAAGCAATTACCACATTGAAGGGAGTTGCACAAGTTTTTTGTTTCTCAATATATATATAATTTTCACTATTCTTAGTCTGTTAAGTATGTGGTAACATTACATCTTTAAAAAATGTACTCACCTTAATTTTAAAATGCTTCATTGCTAAAAAATGTGACATTTTACAAATTTCACTTCTTAAAAAAAAACTATCTGCAAAATTCAGTAAAGCAAAGCGTAATAAAATGAAGTATGCCTGTATATTATTATAATAGCTGTAACAGTCTATTTTAAACCCATACCAACTTGATTTCAGTTGCATACATAATGTCCTTTACACCTCACCTGCTGCAATTTATGTTATTGATATCACAAATGATATATTTTTATATGTAATACAGACATAAGTTTTTTAATTCTTTGGCCTCTCAAATTCTGTAAGAGAATAAAAAGTGGAGTTATTAGACAATTACAGTAATACTGAGTTTTACAAATGTTTGTATGTTTTTCTTTACCACAGATTTGGTAATTTTTTTTTAATACATTGAATTATCACCTAGGGCCCTTGTATTTCAACTTGCACGCCATTTAGCATTTTTGTAGTCTAGTGGTAATAGACTCTAGCAGCTTTTGTTGGTCTAGAAATGTCTTAATTTCAAGGACTGTTTTGCCAAGTACCAAATTATTATTTGATAGTATTTTCCTCTCAGTACTTCCTAATGAGCACTCAGCTGTTAGCTATTTTTGAGGGTTTTGTTGTTGTTGTTGCTGCTGTTGTTTTGTTTTCATTATGTGAGGAGTTACTTTTCTTACTAATTTCTAGATTCTTTCTTTTTATAACGTTTTTTGGTGGTGGTCTTTGGGGGTGTGCCTTCCCTAGAGGTACTGAGCCTTTTCTATTTGTATATATCCATGTCTTTCCTCAAATATGGCACAGTTTTGGCCACTATTTTGGCCACTATTTCTGCATGTGAGACCTCTGTTTCTTTATCTTCTGCTTCTTGGACGTTCATAATGTTTGCATTTTTCCAAGTGGTGGTATTCCCTAAGTCTCTCAGGCTATTCACTTTTGACTTCTTTTTTTCTCCACTTACTCTGATTTTAAATGACCTTTTCTCAAGTCGTGATTGTCAGTCCTGCCTATTGATGTCTTCTGTTGAGCCCATCTTGTTTCCGTATTTTCATCTGCAGAATTTACGTTTGGTTTTTTTGTTTGTTTGAGACAGAGTTTTGCTCTTGTTGCCCAGGCTGGAGTGCAATGGCGCGATCTCGACTTACCACAACCTCCATCTCCTAGGTTTAAGTGATTCCCCCGCCTCAGGATTCCACGTAGCTGGGACTACAGACACGCACAACCATGCCTCACTAATTTTTTGTGTGTTTAGTAGAGATGGGGTTTCACCATGTTGGCCAGCATGGTGTCAGTCTCCTGACCTTGTGATCCGCCTGCCTCGACCTCCCAAAGTGCTGGGATTACAGGCATGAACCACCACACCTGGCCACCCGGCTACTTGTATTTTTAGTAGAGATGGGGTCTTCTTCTCCATGTTTGGTCAGGCTGGTCTTGAACTCCTGACCTCAGGTCATCTGCCTGCCTTGGCCTCCCAAAGTGCTGGGATGATAGGATTGAACCACCACACCTGGCCCTGTTTCTTTATTATTTTTTTTCTCTGTTGACATGTTCATTTTATTTGTATATCATTTTTCTAATTTTCTTTAGCCTCCTTTTTCATTAGTTCATTAGGCGTATTTGACTTTTTCTTAAATTATTTTATTTTATTTTATTTTTGAGACAGAGCCTTACTCTGTCTCTCAGGCTGGAGGGCAGTGGTGCGATCTTGGCTGACTGCAACCTCTGCCTCCCTGGTTCAAGCGATTCTCTTCCTCAGCTCCCCCTGGCCCCGAGTAGCTGGGATTACAGACGTGCACCACCATGCCCAGCTAGTTTTTGTATTTTTAGTAGAGATGGGGTTTCAGCATACTGGCCAGGCTGGTCTTGAACTCCTGATCTCAGGCGATCCGCCCGCCGCGGCCTCCCAAAGTGCTGTGATTAAAGGTGTGAGACACTGCGCTGATATTTTAAAATGTTTGTCAAGTGAGTCTGGCTGTGTTTCTCCAAGGACAGTTTCTGTCCTTGGACAGAAAAAAAAAAAGATTTATTTTATCTTGTCTACTTTTTGTAGGCTGTGTCATCTTTTTTTTTTTTTTTGAGACAAAGCCTTGCTCTGTCACCCAGCCTGGAGTGCAATGGCACCATGTCTGCCCACTGCAACCTCTGCCTCCTGGGTTCAAGCAATTCTCCTGTCTCACCCTCCCAAGTAGCTGGGATTACAGGCTCCCACCACTATGCCCAGTTAATTTTTTGTATTTTTATATTATTATTATTATTATTTTAAGACCAGATTTCCCTCTTGTTGCCCAGGCTGGAGTGTAATGGCGTGATCTTGGCTCACTGCAACTTCTGCCTCCCAGGTTCAAGCGATTCTCCTGCCTCAGCCTCCCGAGTAGCTGAGTTTACAGGCACCCACCACCATGCCAGCTAATTTTTGTATATTTAGCCAGGGGTTTCACCATGTTGACCAGGCATGTCTTGAACTTCTGACCTCAGGGGATCCACCCACCTCAGCCTCCCAAAGTGCTAGGATGACAGGCATGAGCCACCGTGACTGGCCTCCTGAGTCATTTTGAGCATTTGAAAAAGCACTTATATTCCCCAGTCTTTGTGAACTGGCTTGGTACAGGGGAATTCCCTTTATTAATCAGCTCAGCTTGCAGGCTTAAAGCCTGCTTTAACCTTTTCTAGGTATTTGTCTTTCTTGAGACTTTCCGTGAGTCTTTTTTACCCATGTATTTCACATGGTTCTGGTTATTCCATTCCATGATGGTTGCTGTAAAAATTTCCCAATTCCTCCATGAGCCTCACCTCTGTTTATTTTTGCTGCCTTACCTGTCATGTGCATTCTTCATTCAGTAGTTCGCCTCAGTAGTCTACAGGTTTGTAATTCCCTTGGAGACTTCACAAATTGTCTTCCCATGGCTTCTAGTCGGAGTTTTAAGCCACTGTTGGCCCCTTGCCCTTCAGGTTGAGTATGCAGAGACTAATCCCACAGGCAGCCTGCAGACAAATTTAGAATGTTGTAAATCTAGCCCTCTTGATTCCTCCAGTTCATACAGAACTGGTGACCAGATCACTGGTTCTGCAAACTGTACCTTGGTAGGAAGGGAGTGGGCAAGGATAAGTGAAATAACACAAAATTGCCTGTTCCCTTTGAATATGGCTTTTTCTTGAACTGGGCATTTTCTTGATAGCTGTATACTTTTGACTGATTTTCAGAATTGCAGTGAAGTTTTTTCTTTGAACAGAAACAAGGCTTTGGAGTGTTTTAGTCCACAATCTTGCTGATGTCACTCCATGAACTGATTTTTTAAATAATAAAAAGGTAGGAAAATATAATATTATAGTAAAATCATTCAGGAATATATTTACCAAAGCTTTTAAAATTCAGTTTTTCATCGTATCAAACGTAGGATTAGAGTTATACAAGTGTATTCTTTAAAAGTTATTTTTTATTTCACATTTTCCACATGTCCTGAATATGTTTTTCTGTTCAAACTGGAGAAATTATTTCTCTCAAGATTGGTAGTATGGTCAGACATGATGGCTCATGCCTATAATCCCAGCACTTTGGGAGTCCGAGGTGGGTGTATCACCTCAGGTCAGGAGTTCGAGACCAGCCTGGCCAACATGGTGAAACCCCATCTCTACTAAAAATACAAAAATTAGCTGGGTGTATTGGCAGGTGCCTGTAATCCCAGCTATTCAGGAGGCTGAGGCCAGAGGATTGCTTGAACCTGGGAGGCAAAGGTTGCAGTGAGCTGAGATCATGCCACTGTACTCCAGCCTGGGTGACAGAGCAAGACTCCGTCTCCAAAAAAAAAAAAAAAAAAAAGAGGAGGAAGAAAAGATTGGTAGTAAAACATCCTTTGTTCTCTACTCCCTCTTTTTGATTTTTCTCCTAAAACTTGACTCTAGAAAATGATATAAAAATCTTTCATTTTACCTTATTTCTTAATTCTTAGTTTATTCATTCTTTTCATAACTTCTGAAGTCGTTAATTCATATTGCATCTTAACGTTTAGAGATGTTTTTAGATATACAACCTTTACCTGATTCTTACTCGTACCAGATACATGAGATATAAACAATACCAGTTGTGTCCCCATGAACTATGATATAATTTCTGCCTGTGCTGTGTCCAGCTGAAAGATATAGAAAACAAAATACAATATAAAAGGTTTAAATCTCTGTAAGTATATATAGTAAACATGTCTTGTACTCTTTTTAAAGATAATTTAGTATAATTTTTTAATTAAATTTTCCATTTCTAGTATGCTTCACACAAATGCGTTTCAAATAGTAACTTTTTTTCTGAAAGGGGGGAATTAATTTTTATTATTAACTGTATTACAGGGTTGGCTAGTGGATCTCATCAATAAATTTGGCACATTAAATGGGTTCCAGATTTTGCATGATCGTTTTTTTAATGGATCAGCATTAAATATTCAAATAATTGCAGCTCTTATTAAGTAAGTTATGTTTTCATGTTTGTTAAATAATTTCATGTTTGTTCAAATAATTGCAGCTCTTATTAAGTTATGTTTTCATATTCTGTGCATTATACAAATTACTATTTTATTTACTTAAAAATCATTGTTCATTTTTTTCAGTGTGGGTTGTGTCTCACTGTAAAATGAGGACCTGTTTTTGTGTGGTCTTAAATGTTGAAAGTAATTGGCAAGTTTAGTTCTTTTAAAAAACATGAATGTTACAGAGGTTTTGTGTCCTTCGTATTTCAGACCATTTGGACAATGCTATGAGTTTCTCAGTCAACATACACTGAAAAAGTACTTCATTCCAGTTATAGAAATAGTTCCACATTTATTGGAAAACTTAACTGATGAAGAACTGAAAAAGGAGGCAAAGAATGAAGCCAAAAATGATGCCCTTTCAATGATTATTAAATCTTTGAAGAACTTAGCTTCAAGAATTTCAGGACAAGATGAGACTATAAAAAATTTGGAAATTTTTAGGTTAAAGATGATACTCAGGTAAGATATTTTCCACCTTAAATTATTTGTGTGAATTCTGATATAACATTTACTCCAAATTTCTCTCATTTATGGTTGTAAATTTCCTCTTTTAGTGGAAAGATGAATGCACTGAATGAAATAAATAAGGTTATAACATTTACTCCAAATTTTTCTCATAGATTGTTGCAAATTTCCTCTTTTAATGGAAAGATGAATGCACTGAATGAAATAAATAAGGTTATATCTAGTGTATCATATTATACTCATCGGCATAGTAATCCTGAGGAGGAAGAATGGCTGACAGCTGAGCGAATGGCAGTAAGCCTCTTAAATCTTTTATTGTGAATAAGACACTGCTTATGGAAAATTACATTATTACCAATTATTGTTAGAAGCAACAATAGCAAAACTAAAATTGAAAGATTTATGACTAATTGTAAGATCTTTTTATAATAATAATAAAAGGTTTAATAAATGATTAGTTGTTTGAAACTGTTGAGGTAACTTAATTGTTTCTCAGGTAAATTTATTATTTTTGAATGTAGCTTTGATGTAAATAGATGGCTTGGTTGAAATGAAATAGTAAGATGTGATTTTCGGAGGGGTTGAGTGGATCTGCAGTCTGGTGAATGAACTAACGTAGTGATCACTTCCTAATTCCATTTGAAGATTAATAAATAGGGATTATAACTAATGGGATAATTGAGTAGTGCTTTATCATGATTTTAAGAATATTAAGATTAATTTCTTTTTTTTTTTTTTGAGACAAAGTCTCACTCCATCACCCAGTCTGGAGTGCAGTGACACGATCTCCACTCACTGTAACGTCCGTATCCTGGGTTCAAGCAATTATCTGCCTCAGCCTCCCAGGTAGCAGGGATTACAGGCGCCTGCAACCACGCCTGGCTAATTTTTATGTTTTTAGTAGAGATGGGGTTTCACCATTTTGGCCAGGCTGGTCTTGAACTCATGACCTCATGATCCACCTGCCTCAGCCTCCCAAAGTGTAAGATTAATTTCTTAATAATTTCATTTTAAAATCACTATGTATGTCATTTTGACAGGTAATGAAACTGTTTACCATAGAAATTTTCATACATTTTAGTTTCAAAATAAATAGCAAATACTTCACCAAAGTATTAAAAAGTCTTTTTTTGAGTGTATGTGGTTTGCATAGTGGAGATCATTTCTGTAGAATAAGCTTTACCATAAAATAACCTTCAGGTTGCTAGTGGAAAGGATTAGAATGTGAAAAAAGATATGCTAAGGACATTTGGGTGGTCTTAATAGTGTTTACCTTAGACCCATGCTCATACTCAGTGCTGGTGGTCAGGTTTTATGTATGCAATTTGCCTGCTTTGTGGAATGTTAAACAGAATTACTCAGTATATTCACTAGTCCTTGAATTATTACTGGTTCTTGAGAGACACCAACATTGAAAGTATTTAGCAAAATTTGACATTGTTGTGGCACTTTTATTGTATTTTACAGAAGAATCTAAGATTGGGAATATAAAACTGGTTGTTTTCAATGGATAGTGTGAGAAGTGTACTGTTGTATCACATATGGGAATCTTTATTTGCAGAAGTAAAATTCTGTAAAATTATTTATGTTAATGTATACTAATTGCAGATTACAACACCAAGGTAATTCATTATATTAGTGAATTATAATTTGTGAATCTAGTACACCTATGGAAAGATTTTATATGCCAAATTTTGTGAAATAAGTTATTTTAGTGTTTAATTTTGAATTAACACAACACTTAAATGTTACACTACTGTGCTGTAATTTGTGAATGTATACATAATTTGGACTTTTGAATTCCTACTTAATATTATTTAGAAGTTGGAGACATGTTTTTATTTCGCTTTTTAAAAAAATTTCTTTTTAGTTTCAGCATTGAATTTTTGTATTACATTTAGGAATGGATACAGCAAAATAATATCTTATCCATAGTCTTGCAAGACAGTCTTCATCAACCACAATATGTAGAAAAGCTAGAGAAAATTCTTCGTTTTGTGATTAAAGAAAAGGCTCTTACATTACAGGACCTTGATAATATCTGGGCAGCACAGGTAAGAAAGTGAGATGATAGCTATTTTCTAAGAAAGATACCAAAAAGGAGAAAATTTTTGGTAACCCTTATATAATGGCCAGCAATTTAGTATTGCCTGACTTTTACTAATGCATGTGCTGTTCATGTAGAGAAATCTTACCAAGAATTTTTAAACAAAAAATAACATTTTTCTGTCTTTGTATATATATTCATGGTAGCAGCTTATAGGTAGTTTTTTTGGTTTTTTTTGTTTTGTTTTGTTTTGTTTTTAGATGGAATCTTGCTCTCCCTCCCAGACTCGGGTGCATTGGTGCAATCTCAGCTCACTGCAAGCTCTGCCTCCCAGGTTCACACCATTCTCTGCCTTACCCTCCCGAGTAGCTGGGACTACAAGCGCCCACCACCAGGCCTGGCTAATTTTTTGTACTTTTAGAAGAGACAGGGTTTCACCCTGTTAGCCAGGATGGTCTTGATCTCCTGACCTCGTGATCCATCCTCCTTAGCCCCCCAAAGTGCTGGGATTGCAGGTGTGAGCCACTGCGCTTGGCCATACATGGTTTTAAATGAAAGATCTATATAGCAAAATAATTATGATTAAAGGAACAATTATTGAAAGAGGATAAAGAATCTATATTTGGAGGTTTTCACCTATGTAATGCATAGAAGAAACAAATGTCACGAGTTCCATTACAGTGACTTTAAAAAACATACGATTATTATAGAAGATTATGACTTTCCATAATAAAAAACCCTGGTTTCAGATATACTAATGCATATGTTTTTATATTATCTTAATGGCAGGTTTCTACTCCTGGGTCACTTGGGGAGTATTGTTAGGCACTGGCTCATAAAGCTTGTTTTTTGCCTTTTTTTTAAGAGAAACAACAAAATACTTAATCTTGCTTTTATTGAGCACTTAAGCTTGGAGTTTTGAAACAATCTAATATTTTGACTTCTTTTTCTCTTAGTTTTATTTGTAAATACCTTCTAGTAAGTTTTCATATTAATTTCCGAAGTTTACTATTTGTACCCAAAAAAACTGAGTTGCCAGGTATTAAATGACAGTTCTAAAGCATTTCAAATATTAAGAATTCTGTTAATTACTCAAATGAAGTAGGAATGTTTATTAAGTAATGGAGATTCTTGTAGTAGAACTATTTTTTTGTTATTAAAATTTAAGTATACTATAATTTTTTTTTTGCTTTTATTTATTCTACTTTTGTTTTTTCAACAGGCAGGAAAACATGAAGCCATTGTGAAGAATGTACATGATCTGCTAGCAAAGTTGGCTTGGGATTTTTCTCCTGGACAACTTGATCATCTTTTTGATTGCTTTAAGGTAGTAGCTTGAATAGTAAAGTATTGCCAAATAGTAAATATTGCCAGTTAATTCTAAGTAAAGTTTAATTCGTTAGATTTCT
Source organism: Homo sapiens (assembly GCF_000001405.40). Taxonomy (NCBI): domain Eukaryota; kingdom Metazoa; phylum Chordata; class Mammalia; order Primates; family Hominidae; genus Homo; species Homo sapiens. The sequence goes on from NC_000024.10 coordinate 12,739,712, forward strand.
TTTGCTTATAGCTAGTGTGCTTAACTAACATTTTCATGGAAGAATCTCTGATGAAAAAGAATTGGTCATTGTTGTTTCTTCCAATCAGAGTTTAACAGTAATTTGTTGTAATAGTTTTCATCACAAATGCAGAATCTTAATGTTTTTTCACTTACATTATTTCTTTGAATTCATTTCCACTGGTAATTTTCATTTTGACTTTGGTTAAAATAACCTGTAGAAATGCAGAGAATAATTGGAAAATGAGGCATAAAACATTCTGGTTCTATGGAGTTATGTATATGGCATATAGAAATGAAATTCAAAAAACAAGAGGTTTCTAATATCATAATGTCACTTTTAAAGACATTTTGGCACAATGGTCTCGCTGGTTTTTAAGGTTGATGAATTTATGGATCAAGAATATAAATCCATATGTCATTATTCAGGAATAAATATTTCAGTAAATAGTAATTAGATTTTTGGTGGGAGCTTTACTTGCTAATTACAAGAGAGAATAGGTTGGCATTGTTCTTTTAAAATGTAGATTCTTACGTTCTATCACCCAACTATTCTATTTCTGAATCTATGCCCTGGGTAAACTCCTGAATATGTTCACTAAGGAATGTTTTCAACAGTATCTTAGCAGGATTGTTTTATTAGTCCCGAAATGAAGGAAACAACTTAAATGTCTATATATTATGAAAGGATAAGTAAACTGTGGACTCCTTTATATGGAACACTTTGTGACAATGAAAGTTAACACATTGTAACAGTTTGGCACATAGATGGATCTTGCCATTATGGAGAATATAGAAAAAAGGAAGAAAATGATGTACAAGAAGTCAGAAGTGACCTGGATAATAGTTTCACAACTGTTACACTTTGAATTCTGACTACACCCCAGATGTGTTAAATCAGAATTACCATGTAAAGGGACTAGACTTTTAATCATGTCAGCATAATAAGAATTTATTTGAGATGACTATATGTTTTAATCTGTTGGATGTATATCAGAGGTAGGCAAGGACATCAATATTGAGAAGTTATATTTGATACTCTTTATTTCCTATTGTTTTTAGTCCTGAGATAACTTCTGAAACAGTGATGCACCAAGACAGCCATAATAATAGATGGAGGATCTGGTGTCAATTTCTCTCTTTTTTTTTTCTCCCTCTCCTTTTTAATTCATAAATTCTCAAGATGACTTCAAGATAATTAAAATAAAAAATCTATTATCTGACTGGGAACGGTGTCTTAGGCCTGTAACCCCAGCACTTTGGGAGACTGAGGAGGGTGGCTCACATGAGGTCAGGAGTTCGAGACCACCTTGGACAACATGATGGAACCCCATCTCTATTAAAAATACAAACAGTTCTCTGGGCATGGTGGTGCATGCCTGTAATCCCAGTTACTCTGGAGAATGTCTTGGACCTCGGGGGCAGAGGTTGCAGTGAGTCAAGATCACACCACTGCACTCCAGCCTGGGTAACAGAGGGAGACTGTCACAAAAGAAAAAAAAAATCTGTCATTTCTGTATTGCTGTTTGGCTTACCTATTGTTTATCAAAAGTCTGTTATTCAGTGACTAGCATTGCATTTTTGAGGTGTTGGTAAATCTGGCAGTTCTTACACAGCATGCCAGTGTGTCTTCAAAGGTCTTTGTTAAGGTGCTTTTAAGGAGGCAATGAGTATACGCCAATTATCAGTTCTTCGTGGGCTGCAGCTGGATGATTCCAAGTTTATCTTTCTTCTCAGTTACATGTAGTTAATGTGCTTGCTCAAACTCTAGGTGATAAAGATTTGAATTCTAAGTAAGCCTTTGTCTTCTGAGGTGTTGGTACTAATTTTCAGTGCTTGCCAACGTTTATTTTTGGCATAATTTTTCATTTTTGAAAGTCCCATGGTTATGAGATTCTCTTTGTGGTCATCAATTTTAATATTTCTAGATACTGAGATTGAACATTGTTACAGGTCTTTGAGCTGTTCTCACTTCCTTCTTAGAATATGTCTATTTTTCCTGTCCAGTAGTTGTCCTAATTTGTTTCCTAGGAGTTTTTGTGTATCTAAATGCTTATTGTTCAAACCGTATCACAAATAGTTTCTCACAGGTTTTATTAACAGTTTGTTTGAATCAGGATCTAACTACATTCCTCACTGTCTAGTTTTCTATCTTTTAATCACTCCTCTTTGATTCTGTAGTTGCCTCCTTACATTTTTTTGTTCTTGTAATAATATTCATCATTTGCTATTTTGTTAGTAGTTTCTGTATTCCTTTTGTTATTTCAGTGGGAATTTTGTGGACACCAGAGGGAATTAAAAGCAGGTGTTACAGTTGTCTTCCTAAGAAATTCTGTATTTATCATTTTAAAGTGCTGTACAGTTACTAGGTTAAGGTGATGTAGTCCTTTCTCCTATTATTGGACATTTAAGTGGATTTCAGTTCTTTAGTTCTAGTGTGTCCAGAATTTATTCCTTCCTGTGGGTTCTTGGTCTTGCTGACTTGAAGAATGAAGCCACAGACCCTCCTGGTGAGTGTTACAGCTCATAAAGGTAGTGCAAACCCAAAGAGTGAGCAGCAGCAAGTGTTATTGTGAAGAGCGAAAGAACAAAGCTTCCACAGGGTGGAAGGGGACCCAAGCCAGTTGTGCTGCTGGCTTGAGTAGCCAGCTTTTATTCCTGTATTTGGTCCCACCCACATCCTGCTGATTGATCCATTTTACAGAGCACTGACTGGTGTGTTTACAGTCCTTTAGCTAGACAAAGAGTGCTGATTGGTATGATTTTACAGAGTGCTGATTGTTGTGTTTACAATCCTTTAGCTAGACACAGAGTGCAGATTGGTGCATTTGCAAACCTTTAGCTAGACACAAAAGTTCTCCAGGTCCCCATCTGAACTAGAAGCTCAGCTGACTTCACCTCTCACTAATAACTACTAATAAAATACTACATATAGCTTCCTCTGTATTGCTGGGCATTTAGAACACTTGTTTTACTTTAATAAATTAATTTTTTATACTAAGAAGATTGTAGATTCACGTACCATGTTAAGAAGTAATGCAGAAAATCCCATATATTCTTTACCCTGTTACTCTTAGTGTTAACATCTTTAAAAATCACTGCAACCAAGATTTTGATCACTACCAAGATTTTGACATTGTTTCCATCAAGATACTGAACATCTGTGTCATCACAAGGATTCCTCATGGTGCCCTTTTATTGCAACACCCGCTTGCCTTCTGCCCCAACTTCCTTCTTAACCCCTGGCAACTAACCAGACCGCCAGTCGGCTCAATTTCTAAAGGTCTTTTGCTTTTACTTTAAACATGTACTAACTGGAATTGAACATAATATGGACTTTTGAGGTTAGTTTTTTTTTCATTCTATTTAATTGTTTGCAGTCTCACTAGAATGATGTATGTATCTATCAGGTTGAGTATCCCTTATCTGAAATGCTTAGTACCAGAAGTATTTTGGAATTTTTTTTTTTGGAGCATTTGCCTCATACTGACTACTTGAGCATCTCTGCATTAAAAATCTGAAATCCAGAATGTTTTTATTGCTGTTGTTTTTTGAGATGGAGTCTCACTCTGTTGCCCAGGCTGGAGGGCAGTGGTGCGATATCAGCTCACTGCAAGCTCTGCCTCCTGAGTTCACACCGTTCATCTGCCTCAGCCTCCCAAGTAGCTGAGTAGCTGGGACTACAGGTGCCTGCCACCACACCCGGCTAACTTTTTTGTATTTTTTTTCAGTAAAGACAGGATTTCACTGTGTTAGCCAGGATGGTCTTGATCTCCTGACCTTGTCATCTGATCTGCCTGCCTCAGCCTCCCAAAGTGCTGGGATTACAGGTGTGAGCCACCATGCCTGGCCCAGACTGTTTTAAGGAGCATATCTTTTGAGCATCATGTCACCATGCAGAAAGTTTCAGATTTTGGAGTATTTAAATTTCAGATCTTCACATTAGGCATACTGTATCTGACATTTGCTTCCTTTATTGACGAGTAGTACTCATGGTATGAACTACTCACCATGAATGGACATCTGTATTATATCCAGGTTGGGGCTATTATAAACTGCTGTGAACCTTGGTGGGCAGGGTTTTTGGCTTTTTTATGTTTTTATTTTGTGTTTTAATGCAATGCTTATTTCTCTAGGTGAGATGAAATGTGGAAATGTTGCAGTCTTCCTAATGCTGTGAACCTTGGTGGGCAGGGTTTTTGGCTTTTTTATGTTTTTATTTTGTGTTTTAATGCAATGCTTATTTCTCTAGGTGAGATGAAATGTGGAAATGTTGCAGTCTTCCTAATGCACCTTATTGTAGCATTTTCTCATTTTCTGTATCAGTACCCCATGTTCTTTGTCCTGTGTCCAAGAAAATTAAGGAACGTGGACACAAAGGTGGGATTGGAGTGAAAATTTAATAAGTGAAAGAAAAAAGCTCTCTTCAGCAGAGAGGAGTCCGAGTGGATTGCTGGGTTATAGCTGAATTTAACAGCTTTTATAAGAAGCTCTTCTCATCTCTGTAGCAGTTTGAATAACTTCTATTATCAGTAAAGCTGTCTGTGCAACTCCTCTTATCTTAAGCAGTTGTGGATATGTCTCTAGGCAAGCACAGAGTGCCACTTCTCTTCTTGATATAACTGAGGGTTTGTTTTCGATAAGCCCCTCACCTCCCTGTGTAAGTTCTCACCATTTGTATGCCTGAAAAACTTTTTCCTGGGAGCTGACTAATTATACAAAGTTGCTTACCTATGTGCAGGTGCAGCCTGAGGTTTTCCAAACTGATTTTTCCTTTGCTTCTCCCTCATTCCCTGCTTCAGGAGTGGAAACCCTGACTGCTGTTGGGAAGATTGGGCATTGATCTTTCTGGTTAATTCCTGCTGGAGACAGGCATTGTGTGGGGAACAGAAGCTAGGATTCCTCCAGGAGATGGTTTAAGGCACTCAGATGAAAGAAGTGTTTATGCCTGGTTCCATTTGCATTACCATTTGGAGCTTGATAGCTTCTAAGTGAAATGAAACAATTTGGGTTACTAGTGGACATATGTTAAAATGAGACAAGAAGTGGGGAAAGACAGCATTAAAATCCTGAGGCTGTTGACATGCCCTGATAACTGGTGGCTATAACTATGCCTGTTAAGATTTTGGGTGCATGGGGCTAGGCTTTGTTGAGCTTCCTTGGTCTTACTTTCCCAAAATGGAAACGTCTGGATTATAGGTTACCTGGCAGCATTTGTAGGATAATCGCCCTGAACTAGAACATTGTTCCAGATTTTTACGTTACATATCCCTTTCTGTTTCCTGTGAGCTGCAGCCAGAGATGGCTGGTTAGTTTACAGGAATAAGCAATGTTAGTTTAAAATGTAGGCAGGAATGTAAAAACTACTAACGAAACTAGAAGTCAATGACAGATATGTGATAAGTTTGGAACATAATTTCCCTTTTTTCAGTGCTCATTTCTGTTAAAAACAAATTCCAGTCCTCATTTCTGTTAAAAACAAATAAGATTGAGTTGTTTGCAAAATAGACTTTAGTTTTAAAGTTGGTCTGAGATTTGCATAAAATGCAGGAAGAATAATTATTTTTACACAGGCCTTTTAGATAGGCTTTGATGGAACTTTCTTCCACAAGGACTCTCAGATGGGACTTTGAAGCTGAGCCCAGCCACGGGTTTGTACCCTCAGATACCTGTGACTTAGGTAAACTTTTCTTTTCTTGAGGTTCCAAGAGCATGGTGTTCCTAGGGCTGTGAGAAAGTGAAATTTGTTACTCACCGCAGGTTAGGAAGCTTATATGGAAGCTGTGTAGACAAGGTGTGAGGCCACTTTTCCCAAAGGGCTTTTATTGGCTCTGCAAGTCAAGACTGACTCCTTCAGTGGAAACAAACCCTCCAGTCAAAACCTTGGTAAAACAACCAGTTTTTCAAATTGTGTGCAAAATAAAATGGATTCTTACTGCACTGACGCAAACAACCATATTATAAGTCAAGAATACTTACAACAAGTATCTGAATTTTAAAGGAACCAGGCAGAAAGAAACAAACATGCTCTAAACCTTGTTCACAAGAGTATACCTTACTCAGTTGTTAGTCTGTAGCTAGCTCAAGACAAGTTTCCTTGACTCTGAAAAACAAAATAAGGATCAGCACTGTTGTAAGCATAAACCAAAAAGATTGCTTTAGTTTTCTATTAGTTCAGTCCATTCTGTTAACTATTGTTCTGCTTGATATTTGTAAACATTTCAGCTTTTCGTAAGTCCTGTACATTTTTCTGTTATGAGAAACCTGCATTTGAGAGCACCTGTTAAAGTTCCATAGCTGATTATAAACTATTTTTTTGAAGAAGATTCAAGCAAGACAACAATTGTCTGTAAAGACAAAATGTCCAAGGTGGTTACAGTCAAGAACATGATTGACAAATGTGATTATTTCCATGACTTAAAATAACTCAACATAACAACCTTAATTGCAATTAACAGCACATACTCTGGGCCTAGAATCTTGGATATCCCATACGGTTATCCCATCAGCCTTTATTATTATATGGAAATCCTGTTGAAGAGAGAAAGTTAAAATTTCACCCTTGCATTAGTTTACTATTAATTTATTTAGCCTCAGTTTTTAATGAAACATTGTAGGCACTCCTATTCAATTTTAACCAGTTTGACCATGAGGTGAGATTTTTGCAAACCTGTTATAACCCTTTACAAGTTTTGCTAAAGAGCAGATTGGGATCTTAGGAATACCTTGTTGTGCTTTTATTTCAATATTTAATTTACAGAAAAAAACAAATACCCTTTTTAATTTAGTTAATATGTTCATACACAGTTTCCTTTGTAAGATTAAGTTTTGCAATCTTTTTCAGTTTGCTTAAACCTTCCAGTTTATCTAATTTAAGACAGTCCTTTATTCTTAGGCACAATGTACATTTCCTTGCTTTCTTATAATCTTTTACTAAAAACATATTTTACTGTTTTTATATACCTTGCATGTAGATCTATTTCCAGAGTTTCAATTAGATGTCAAAACGGTAACTCTAGGAATTTTTTTTTTTTTTTTTTTGAGACAGAGTCTCGCTCTGTTGACCAGGCTGGAGTATAGTGGCCTGATCTTGGCTCACTGCAAGCTCCACCTCCCTGGTTCACATTATTCTTCTGCCTCGGCCTCCCGAGTAGCTGGGACTACAGGCGCCCACCACCACACCCGGCTAAGTTTTTGTATTTTTAGTAGAGACAGGGTTTCACCATGTTAGCCAGGATGGTCTTGATCTCCTGACCTCGTGATCCGCCTGCCTCAGCCTACCAAAGTGCTGGGATTACAGGCGTGAGCCACTGTGCCTGGCCCAGAATGTTTTTATTTTTAAAGATGAAAGTCATGTGAACTGAAAGGTACCACAAGCTTTTGCTTTTTCTTTAAAAGTATTTAAGTGCTTATTTACTTAGGCCAATTAATTAGAACTCTTTTTATAGACATCACATACATATCACATACATGACTACACAGACAGAAGAAGATCCAACAGCTTAGAGTGGAGCCCTTTTAAGAGCAGTCTAGGAATACAGTCTCCTGTGCCTAGTAAACAAGCATAGCTGGAAGACAAAGACAGATTAGAAGGACTTACCACCTCTAATTACAGGGGTTGTATGAAGAAAACAGAAATTTCTCCCCAAATGAGATGTGTTGCACCTTATCTGTTTTCTCAAGGAGTCCTGGGCCACCAGAAGTCATTCTAGGGTCTTTCATGCATGCACCAAGAGTGGCAAGACAGAGTGAAAAAAGTTGACTGAAGAAGAACCTTTTGCAGAAAAACAAGATCTATGAAAAGAAAAACACCAGGGCCTTTTAAATACACCCATAGCTTAGAGACCCACTTTCAATTAAGTTGAGTGCTCTTTAAAAAAATTCTTTTTCATTAATTAAAACTTTACAGAGAATGTAAATAGTGATTCTTACTTCTTTTACCAGTTTGCTTCACTTCCTGTTCACAGTCATATTCGGGTTCCCAGTTTTCTCTGGGAGAAAATGGCTGGACTTAGGCAAGGGCAGGTTTTCAACTGGACAGGAGATCCCTTTAGCAGCGAAGCTTGATATTTGAGGAGGCAATTTGTCTGTTAGCCAGAACCTTTCCTTGGAGGACAGCAGTTCTTCTATTTTGTGTGGGGTGGTAACAGTTAAATTAGGCTGGGCATGGTGGCTCACACCTGTAATTCCAGCACTTTGGGAGGCTGAGACAGGGGCAGATCACCTGAGGTTAGGAGTTCAAGACCAGCGTGGCCAATATAGTGAAACCTCATTTCTACTAAAAATACAAAAAAATGAGCCGGGCATGGTGGCACATGTCTGTAATCCCAGCTACTCGAGAAGCTGAGACATGAGAATGGCTTCAACCCTGCAGGCCGAGGTTGCAGTGAGCCGCACTGCGGCACTCCAGTCTGGGCGACAGAGCCAGACCATGCATCAAAAAAAAAAAACAGAAAGAAAAAAAAGTTACTCCCCATGGTTAACCCATTGACCTCTAGCACTAGCAAGGCCACACTGTAACTGCTTGCAGGTGGGCTGACCATCCTTTAGCCACCAAGTTAAGTTCCTTGCTTAAGTAACCCACTGGCTGTTGAGCCAGACCTCAAGCCTTAGTTAAAAATTCTAGGGCCATTCCTTTCTTTCCTGATACATAGAGACTGGATGCTTTCCCTGTGGGAAGACTGAGGGCTGGTGTTTTAAGTAAGGCTTATTTTAGCTGGTTAAAGGCTTTTTGAGTCTCAGGGTCCCAAGTTGTGGGGGTGAGTTTTAACTGTTTGAGTTTCTTTTATGAGGTAATATAAAGGGAGAGCCATTTCCCTGTACTCAGGTATTCACAGTCTACAAAATCTGGTAATACCTATGAATCCCCTTAACTAGTAAAGAAAATAGACTCAATCCTTTCCTTACCTACTTCTCTGGTCCTTTCTGTTGAGACTAGACCTAGTGACTTTACTGAAGTCTGACAGAGCTGAGTGTTAGATTTTTAGACCCTATATCCACTTTAAGCTAAGAGATTGAGGATAGCCTCAGTGCCTTCCTGAGACATCCTTAATTAGGGCACAGAGGAGAGGGTCATTTATACACTGCAAAGTTTTTACTTGAGGGTGAGAAAAACTAGATTTTTCAACAGAGTGTTTCATTAATTTCCTTCCCATTTTAGGAGCTGCCTGAGTAATAAACCAGCAGAGAAGGAGGTGTGTTTCACTAAAGCTTTTCTCATCCTTTCCAAAAATGCTGAAGGATTTTCATCTAGTTTTTGATCTATCTTGGAAACCTTAGAGCAGTTAATAGGTTTGGCTCTAATCCCCTGCAAGTCCTTCAGCATACACATTTGTAAAAGTTTCCATCTCCATTTTCTGATGTTATCATCATAGTCCCATTTAGAGTTCTTTAAGGTCACTGGTACTTTTCTCATGGCTTTCCCTTCCCTGGAACATCCTTCATGGAGAATTTAAATACTTGGCTTACATCCTGGAAGGCCTTTATATGTGAGTGAAATTGGGGCTTTCCCAGAGTGAACTTTAGGGTCTGAGGATTAAAGGAGAACCAGTCTGCAATCAAGGGGATTGCAGGTGTGAGGATGGGGTATTATATATCTAGAAAAGAGACAAGAGAAGAGGCATCCCTCAGTCTCTTCAGTGACCCAGAGTGGAGAGGAAGACAGTGAGAGCAGCACCCCCACCCACTGCCAACTGTTTTCCCTCTTTGGTTACTGTGTCCCAGCACCATGTTGAATGTGCCACCCCCAAACCGTGATACCAGAGGAGCATAGCAGTGGGGTTAGTCATGCTTACCCATGTGGCCTTAGTGCTCTGCTGGTGATAACCCTTTGACCTCCTAGACTTGTGTGGTCTGTGTGACTCCTTGATGGATGGGTGTGTATAGTATGCTGGTAAGAGTTTTAGATTTACTTTTTTCATGTGAATATTCAGTTGTCCAAGGAGCATTTGTTAAAAGATTGTTGGGAATATTGTTCAGCATCTTTGTCGAAAATAAGTCAATCATAGATGGAAGTGTTTACAAGCTTTATGTTCTGTTTCATTGTTTGGATATATCTGTCGTGAAACCAGAATTGCATTGCATTGATTTGCAGCTTTATAGAACATTTACAAATTATGAAGCGACAGTTCTTCAATTGTGTTATCTTTTAAGATTGTTTTGGCTATTCTAGGTCCCTTGAACTTCCATATTGGTTTTAGCATTAGCTTGTTGATTTTTGCAAAGACATTAGCTGGAATTTTGATAAACCTTATTCAGTTTGTATTGTACTACCATCTTAACAGCATTAGTCTTCCAATCAGGGAACATACAATGTCTTTCCATTTATTTAGGGATGTCTTTCCGTTTATTTGGGTCTATCTTACTTTTGTTCAGCAATTTTTTTTTTTTAGTTTTCAGTTCAACTGTGCTAAAGTGATACCAAAAGAATTTTTTGTTTTTGTTGTGAATATAAATGGAAGTTTTCCTAATTTCATTTTGGATTTTTTAACATCTAATGTAAAGAAACATGTATCTTGTATGTAGAAATACAGTTGATATTTGTTTATTGATCTTGCATACTGAAACTCTGTTACATTTCTTTCTTGTAGTAGTTTGTTATTGACTCTTAAATTTTTCTATGTATGGCATCATATTGTTTGCAATACAGTTAGTTTTACTTGTTCTTTTCCAATTATATAACTTCTCCTTCTGGCCTGATTTCCCTAACAAGAACTTCTAGTACAATGTTAAAAGTAATGGTGAGAACAGTCATTTTTGTCTTGTTTCTGATTGTAGTTGGCAAGCTTTCCATTTTTCAGCATAAAATACAATGTAAAAAGGAGGGCTTTTGTAGATGCCTTTTATTGGGTTTAGGAAGTTCTCTTCAAATCCTAGTTTATTGAGTATTTTTATCATGAAAGGATATTGGATTTTATTAACTGTCTTGGTATATGGAGATGTTACATGTGTTTATGTCCTATTTTACATTAGTTGATTTTTGTATGTTCAGCCAGGTTTATACTTCTCGAATAAATTATACTTGTCTTGGTGTATAATCTTTTTTTATATGTGTTGCTTCTTAAACTGCAATAAACGATACTTGTTATGATCTATAATCTTTTTATTTGTTGCTGGATTTTCTTTCTGTTTTGTTTAGGACATTTTTAGGTTTTTAAGAAACTGCCAAACTGTTTTCCAGAATGACTAACCTTATTCATTTCTACCCATAGTTTATGAATATGAATAATCCAGTTTCTCCACATTCTTTCTACATTTTGGTATTGACACTATTTTTTATTTTTTATTTTTTATTTATTTTTTTTTTTTGAGATCACAGGAGTCTCACTCACTCTTTCGCCCAAGCTGGAGTGTAGTGGCACAATCTTGGCTCATTGCAAGCTCTGCCTCCCAGGTTCATGCCATTCTCCTGCCTCAGCTTCCCAAGTAGCTGGGACTACAGGTGCCTGCAACCATGCCTGGCTAATTGTTTTATATTTTTTTAGTAGTGACGGGGTTTCGCCATGTTGGCCAGGGTGGTCTCAATCTCCTGACCTCGTGATCCGCCAGCCTCAGCCTCCCAAAGTGCTGGGATTACAGGCGTGAACCACCGTGCCCACCCCAGTGACACTATTTTTTAAACTTGTTTTATTCTGACAGGTGTGCAGTGAAATCCCATTAATGGTTTTAATTTACATTATCCTAATGACTAATGATGTTGAAGATCTTTCATATATTTAGTTTCTATGTGGAGTTTTTGGTGAAATGCCTTTTTATGTTTTTTGTTCATTTGCTAATTTAAGTTTGTTATTACTGAGTTCTTTATGTAATCTAGATGATAGTCATTTATTAGAAACACAGTTAGCAAATATTTTCAAACAGTCTATAGCATATCTTTTTGTCCGCTTTAACAGGTGTTTTACCAGTTGAGTTTGTATTCTGATGAGGTCCGACTTATTTTTTCTTAGAAATCATGCTTTTTTATGTCAAATTCTGAGCACTTATTGCCTACCCATAAATCCTATTTATTCTTATATTGTTTCTCTAAAAGTTTTACTTATGTCATTCAGGTCTGATCCAGTTGAGTGATGCTTTCTTGCATTCTTTAGGTGTGAGACTTAGATCTAAACTTCTTTTTCTTCTCCCAGGTATTCCAGAACCATTTTGTGAAAGGCTGTCTTTCATTTTTAATTTATTATGTTGCTCTTGTACCTTTTTCAGAAATCAGTTGGTCACATTTGTGTGGGTTTATTTATACATTTTTTGTTTTCTTCATTGATCTTTGTTCCTGTGCCTCAGAATTGTGATTACTGCAAGTACATAATGTAGTATTAAAATCAGGTAGACAGACTCATCCCAGTTTATCTTTTTTTCAAATTATTTAGTTGTTTTTAAATTTTGCTTACCGTAAAAATTTTAGATAATCTGATCTTCATTTTAGATATCTGCTTCCCAGTAATAGGAGATACACTGTTTTAAATAGTAGTACGTAAATTCTGTATATCGGTTTGGGGAGAATTTTGGCATGGATTTTTGAGCCCCAGAATACTATATACCTCTTCATTGATTCAGACCTTTGAATTATTTATTCACACATACAAACCTTATACATGTTTGGTTAAATTTACAGTTAAATGTTTATGTGTCTGGTTTTACTTTGAGTAATTGTGAATGTTTTTGATGCTGTGTTTATACATTTATTACTACTCCTGTATAGGTTTGATTTTTATATGTATATTCCATGTCCTGCAATCGTGTTAAAGTCCATGAGGCTTTTTTTTTCTCTTTGAGGATCCTTGCAATTTTCTTTTATATAGAAAATCATACCCCTGCACGTAGGAAGAATTTTGCATCTTCCTTCTCCTTGTGTGTGCCTGTTACTTCTTTTTCTTGCCTCATTATGTTGGTTAGAATTGCCAGTATAAAGCTCAATAGAAGTGGCTAGAGGGAGCAATTTAGTCTTGCTTTGATCTCATGGTAAGAAAACTATCAGTGTTTCATTGTTAATAACGTTAGCCTGGAGCAGTGGCTCACACCTGTAATCCCAACACTTTGTGAAGTTACGGCAGGAGGATTGCCTCAGCCCAAGAGTTAGAAGCTACAGTGAGCCAAGATCTCACCCTGTCTGTTTTAGAACAGAAAAGCAAGTACAGAGGGAATAATGTTATCTCCCCCTTTTTTGTAGATGCCATTAATTGGTTTAAGAAAATTGCATTCCATTTTTGTTCTGAGACTCTTTGTCATGAATGGATGTTTTGCCAAGTGTTTTTTTCTGTATCTGTTGCTGTGATAGTGAGTTTTTTTTTTTAGACATGGTCTCACTCCGTCACCCAGGTGAGAGGGCAGTGGCGTGATCACAGTTCACTGCAGCTTTGACTTCCCGGGCCCAAGCTATCCTCCTCCCTCAGCGTCCTGAGTAGCTAGGACTAAGGGCACACCCTACCACACGAAGCTAACTTTTTTTCTAATTTTTATTTTTACAGAAGTGGGGTTTCACTGTCATGCCCAGGCTTGTCCTCCCAAACTTTCGCCTCCTGTCACTGGGATTACAGGTGTGAACAGCCATGTACAGCCCAGTTTTTCTTTTCTACCCTTTTAATGTGGTGGATTACAGTGATTGTTTTTTGATTAGTTAGTTAGGCCTGTATCCCTGGAATAAACCATACTTAATCATATATCATTATTATTGTGTGTTTTTGACTTTCCTTTTCTAATAATTGTTAAGGAATTTTGCATTCGTATTTCTGAGGGATGCAGTCTGTAGTTTTCTTTGTAATGTTCAGGTTTTGCAGTCAGAACATTACTTACTTTATAAAATATTGGGAAGTGTTTCTTCTTTTTTTCCTCACTGAAACTATCTGGTCTGGTGATTATTTTGGGGAGTTTTAACATTACAAATTTAGTTTTTCATAATAATTGTTCTTTTAAAATTGTTTATATTGATTGAGTTCCTGTAATTTGTTTTTAAGAGATGTGATATATTTTGTCTAGGCTGTCAAATTATATATTATTTCTAGTGTTCCGTATTGTTTTTTGATGTCAGCACAGTCTGCAGTCATAGCTGTTTTATTACTGATGTTAGTAATTTGTGTATTACCTTTAATAAGATTTTGTTTTACTCACTGCGCTAGAAGTTTAATTATACATCCTTTTGAAAAGACAAGTCTTTGTTTAATTAATTTTCTCTGTTGTTTCTTTTAAAGTTTATGGATTTTTGTTAATTCTTTAGTGTGTCCTTTATTCTGCTTTCTTCAAGCTTGTATTGCTCTTTTTTTGTAGTTTCCTAAAGTAGGAGTTAAGATGATTCACTTCAGCATTTCCTCTTATCTGTGTGTTTGGTGTTAGGAACTCCCATCTTCCACTATGTTTAAATGTTGCATATTTTATCCAAATTTTGCTTTTTTTGACAAGCATATATATGCAAACAGGCTTATGTATATGTATATATATATATGCCTATATATATACATATATACCAGTATAATATACATATTATAAATATATAGATATACATGTTGCGTGTGTGTGTGTGTGTGTGTGTGTGTATGTATTCCTTCCAGACAGGGCCTCAATCTGTTCGCCCAGGCTGGAGTTTAGTGGTACAATCACACTCACTGCAGTCTCAGCCTCCCAGGTTCAAGCAATTCTCCCACCTCAGGCTTCCTGAGTAGCTCAGACTATAGGTATGAATCACTATGTCCAGCTAATTTTTAAATTTTTTTATAGAAATAAGTCTCACTGTGTTTTTTAGGCTGGGACTCAAACTTGCTTGGCCTTAAACTATTGGGCTCAAGTGATTCTCCTTCCTTGGCCTCTCAGAGTGGTGGATTACAGTCATGAGCCACCATGCTTAGCCTCAATTATATTAATTTCTGTGAAGATGACTCTTTGAGAACATAGAACTAGGACTTGAACAACAATTAATAGGAGGTTTTCATGTCATCGTAATGTAATTGATTTATACTTTGATTCCTGTGTAATTATATGATTTTCATTCTTAAATTTCCTGAGGTTGGTTTTGTCACTGAAGAGGTGGTCTATCTTGTGTGTTTTCTTTTGTAGGAACTTTGAAAATAAGGTTTATCCTGCTGTTGTGTGGAGTGTTCTATAAATGTCAGTTAAATCCTGTTGGTTGATACTTTCGTTGATATTTTTGCAAATTTTCTGTGTAGTTCTGTCGTTTGTTTAGAGAGGGTTGTTGATGTCTCTCTAATTATGATTTTGTCTCTTTTGCCTTTGATTATCTTAGTTTTTGCTTCATATATTTTGCAGTATACACATTTTGGTGTATACATGTTTAGAACTGCTGTGTCGTGTCTTGATGAAGTGATCCTTTTTCATTGTTTAGTGACCTATGACATTTTTTTCTTGTGCTGAAATCTATTTTAATCTCATTAAAATAGCTTTTCTACTTTCCTTTAATGTTTGCCGGTTTTATCTTTTTGCATTCTTTTGCTTTCAACCTGTTTTCTTTCTTTTTTTTTTTTTTTTTAAGAGAGGGAGTTTTGCTTTTGTTGCCTATGCTGGAGTGTAATGGCGCGGTCTCCGCTGACTGCAACCTCCGCCTCCCAGGTTCAAGCGATTTTCCTGCCTCAGCCTACGAAGCAGCTGGGATTACAGACGCCTGCCACCATGCCCGGCTGATGTTTCTTTATTTTTAGTAGAGACAGGATTTCTATATTGGTCAGGCTGGTCTCTAACTCCCAACCTCAGGTGATTCACCCACCTCAGCCTCCCAAAGTGCTGAGATTACAGCCATGAGCCACCGCGCCCAGCCTCACCTGCCTATTTTGTTACACTTAATAATACAAAGAATCCCTGCTACCCCTTGCTATCATATTTTTATGTTCTGCTTATTCTCTTCTGTTTTTCATTTCTCTGTGTTTATTTTCCTGCCTTCTGGAGGGTTATTGGAATATTTTTTAAATTTCTGTAGCACATTACTGTGTCTGTTTATGTAACTTTAAAATCTTTGATAATTCTAACATCTGTCGTTTTTGTGTTGGCACCAGTCAATTCTTTTTTCATTCATGTTGATGTCTTCCTGATTCTTGATATGTCAAGTAATACTCAGTGGAAACCCAGAGATATTCATATGTTGTTTGACTCAAGGAATATTGAAACTTCTGTTTTCCTTGATTTTTGTCTGGCAACACTCAGGCAAGGGAAGGGAGGGATACCCTTGGTTGTTACCACTTGGAAGTAGAACTCCAAGTTCCCTATACTGTCTTCCTTAACACTCGAAGGGGGTGTTCCTTATTACTGCTATGTGGGGGGGAATTTCTGACCCCCTGTGTGGTCCACACTTCTAACTTCTACCATGGTGGGAGTGATGTTTTTTGCAACGGGCAGTGATGAAAGTTCTGATTCTCTTTTAGGCACCACTCCAGCAGAATCAGGCAGGTGCTGGCTCTTTGTTATTGTCAAGTGGAGTTAGAAATCCCAGCTCACTACTTGGCCTTCTTTATCTTCCATAGAAACCCCAGCTCACTAGTTGGCCTTCTTTATCTTCCCACAGATTTTGGCATGCTTGGTTACAGCCTTAAGAACTTTAGGGTTTTCACTCAACTTTTTGTGGTATGCATGGGGAGTGAGTCATAGTTCTTTCTATAGTTTTTGCTTGGAGTAGGACATTTATTTTCTAAGTTTTCAATTTGCATGTTTCCTGATCCATAGGCTATAGGGGTGGCTGTGGGGAGGGAGGGTGCTTTTCTTATCTGCACCTACTAATGTTGGCAGGTTGCTAGATCTTTTAGCTTCAAATCTGGAATATATGAAATAAAAGAAAATTCTGGGAATTCACTACCTTCTTGTTCCTTATATTTAGAAGTCTCTGTGAGGTCTACATTCTTCTCTTTACTTTTCAGGGACTATTTTCTTCCCTATTCTTTTCAGACTCCAAAGTTCGTGTTATGTATAATGTCCAGGAGTTTTGGTTGTATTTAATGGGAAGAATAATGAAACATCTGTTTTACCTTCACAAATCAAAATGATCTTAATTCTTTTCAGTGAGCATTTTATCTCCTACATGTAGACAGCATTTGTTCATCATTTCTTTGTAAGTTGGAGGTTTTTGTTGTTTGGATTTTTTGGTCTGTAACATAATTTCTAATAAACATTTTTCACCTCTTATGTTTGCTTTTTGTTGTAAAATGTTTAATGAGGATTACTTAATCATCTGCTCTCTTTATGTATAACAGCATTTTTGTGTCAGGTATCCTTTGTTATTTTTTAATTACGTAATTTTCAAGTTAAAAGTAACAAAGTTTATATTGGAAATAGAGGCTCTTTTTCCTGGAGTTGCAATTACTTTGTCTCGCGAGTACTATTTTGTTTCCTCTACTAACACCTTTGTTCAGATATGCTCTTGGGGTGTGTGTGTGTGCGCACACGCCCCTGTGTGTATGTGATGAATGTAGTTTATTCAAAGACTTAAAGCAGTGGTTAATGTAAACAAACGTAATAAATTATGTGGTATTTATATCATTTAAATACTTTCTTTAGGCAAGTTGGACAAATGCAAGTAAAAAGCAACGTGAAAAGCTCCTTGAGTTGATACGCCGTCTTGCAGAAGATGATAAAGATGGTGTGATGGCACACAAAGTGTTGAACCTTCTTTGGAACCTGGCTCAGAGTGATGATGTGCCTGTAGACATCATGGACCTTGCTCTTAGTGCCCACATAAAAATACTAGATTATAGTTGTTCCCAGGTATGGGAGTGTTTCTTTGTTCAGTTTTCTGACTTTCCTTCACAAGTAGGATAACTTAGTTACAAGATGATTCCAGTTTTTTCTATCATTTTATTTATTTATTTTTGAGACAGAGTCTCGCTCTGTGTCCCAGGCTGGAGTGCAGTGGCGCGATCTCGGCTTACTGCAAGCTCCGCCTCTCGGGTTCATGCCATTCTCCTGCCTCAGCCTCCCCAGTAGCTGGGACTACAGGCGCCCGCCACCACGCCTGGCTAATTTTTTGTATTTTTAGTAGAGACGGGCTTTCACCGTGTTAGCCAGGATTGTATCGACCTCCTGACTTCATGATCCACCCACCTCAGCCCCACAAAGTGCTGGGATTACAGGCGTCAGCCACCGCACCCAGCCTGCCATTTTTTATTTCTAAAGTAATCTCGAGGAATTGGCATACTATTGTCGTATAAGCCTGGCTACCCGTTCTCCACCCTTGGGTTTTCCAGCCAGATTTTATATATCATTCACTAAGCATTTTTGCCTCACTGAGACAAAGATGTTAATAGGTAGAACATATTACATTCATATTGTAACTAAATATGTAGTGCTAATACAGATCATAAAGATTTAAAAGCACTAAGTGACTTTAGATGTATAAGGGTAATTACATTTTATTTGCTAGTAAGAAGTTAGTAAGATTAACAGAACATATTGGCTTCCCTATCAGCAAATCACAACAGCTTCCCAATGTTTAACCGATGTGCCTTATGCTACAAATTTTAAGTATTAAAACTTCACAAAACTCAATGAAATGCAGTAGCCACCATTCAGACAAATGTTTTAAAATCATACTAACTGTAAATGTGCTGGTATTTGGGAACTGTGTCTTGGTACAGGTATTTCTGAATCATGGAACATTAAATTTATAGAAGCGCCTTACATTTTGGTGTTTTCTTTATAACTTCAAAATAATATATTTAGAGCATTTTGTTTGAACTCTTTTACAATTACATCATAAATTTGGTGATGCTAGGTTTAGAAGGTTTCCTATTTTATAAGTCTCAAAATAATTTTGAAGGTAGAATTACATTGAGTATTGATCCACTTACAGTATAAATTTTTTTCATGTATAAGGATCGAGATGCACAGAAGATCCAGTGGATAGATCACTTTATAGAAGAACTTCGCACAAATGACAAGTGGGTAATTCCTGCTCTGAAACAAATAAGAGAAATTTGTAGTTTGTTTGGTGAAGCATCTCAAAATTTGAGGTAAGACTTTTTTAATAGAGAATTTTCTTATTTTTATCTGTATATTATGTTGGAAATGGTGTATGAAAGCAAATTTTAAAGAAAGAAAACCATGGTGGGAAAACAAGAAATTTCTAAGAGTTTGTTTACAACAAAATAAGGATACTTGATGATATTCAACTTTTTTGTATTTTATGACACAGATAGGTAAGTGATATATCCAATACTAAATAGCAATTAAGTATCATAGCGACATTACCGCCTTTCAGGTCTTAGTTCAGAATTGTCTCTGACTTCCAGCAGATGTATCAGATATTATGCCATGTGTTGTATTTATCTTACTCCTCATTTTACTCTATCCTTTCCACGGTTAACTCTGTCTTGGCTCAATATTCCTTGTAGTTACAAATAGTATTATTTGTTATTTATTTAATTGATTTAATCTAACATTTTTAACATTTGTAGGGGGGAACACCTCTTTCTTGAGTTTTAAAAATTAGACTACAAAGTGATTTAAATTATAAAACATGACAAGACTGTTTAAAGATTTTTTTACTCATAATTTATTTTAGCTAGATTTTCTTTAATTTTAAATGTTTGGTGTTATATGTTAAATTGTGGTTATTTAAATAATTTATTTTATTTTATTGTAACATATTGAAAATTAATGAAATAAAAGGAAAAATAACATGGAGAAACCTGTGTTAGTTGAAGAAAATTCTCAGTGCAGTTAGGATTCCCAGTGATGAACTCCAGGCTTATCTAACTAGCTGTAATCTTAGAAAGATTCTCTCATGGGTGCTGCGGCTCATGCCTGTAATCCTAGCACTTTGCGAGGCTGAGGCAGGTGGATCACTTGAGGTCAGGAGTTCAAGACCAGCCTCACCAACATGGTGAAACCCCGTCTCTACTAAAAATACAAGAAATTAGCTGGGCGTGGTGACGGGCACTTATAATCCCAGCTACTTGGGAGGCTGAGGCAGGAGAATTGCTTGAACCTGGGAGGCTGAGGTTGCAGTGAGCCGAAATTGCACCCTTGTATTCCAGCCTGGGCAACATGGGCAAAACTCTGTCTCAAAAAAAAAAAAAGATTGTCTCATGGTGTATGGACATTTGTCTTGTGTATCAGATGACGATTAATCAAGATGCTTTATAGCTTAGATTGATATAATTATGCCCCAAAGAGAGTTTTTGTGTTGATAGAAGCTTAAAATGCTATTTATGTTTTGTGATTTTTTTTCAAGTTGACTTTTGACTCTATTTTTCTAACGTTGGAAATATTACAGGAAATTTGAAAGTTTCATGGGAATAAACACTGGAAAAAATACTTATGAAGGACACATTTTGATTATTTCTCTATCTATATCGTTTGTCTTTTATCAGACTTATCTATTTACTATAGATAGATGCAGTACATACACTTTCTTAAGACTGGTGACCTCATTACCAGTAGATTAGTAACGATTGTGAGTTGATTGGTTTCGTCAATAATGACAAACTAGGAAGGAAAAGAGAACTATGTATTTTTTGTGATAACCCCAGGTAGAAGGGTGTGAACTCATTGTTCCAGAATGTACCTGGATGTCTGATATTCTTCATCATGCAACACATGTGCTTTGATACTAATAGATACTTTTTATTTTTAAATAAGAATACTGAAATGGATATTTGGTTGGAGGCATGGATTATATTTTTTACAGGGTTTGATATTTTGTTAAGGGGAGGATATTGACCACATTTTGTTAAGAATGTATAGCATTAAAAATTTTTAAAGTAGTAGCTAGAATTTAGCTTCTGTAAACTCTCTTAATTATAGCAATTTTCATGTGCCTTATTATACTGTTAAGTTCTTCTTATTTCAGTCAAACTCAGCGAAGTCCCCACATATTTTATCGCCATGATTTAATCAACCAGCTTCAACAAAATCATGCTTTAGTTACTTTGGTAGCAGAAAACCTTGCAACCTACATGAATAGCATCAGATTGTATGCTGGAGGTATGTATGATAAGCTAAAATTAACTATGGGGAATCAACTTTGTTTTGCTCTAAATGTTAATAACCTAAGAAATAACAACATTTATTTTTGAATGAGAAAAAATAGAAGTGGATTTATACTTCATATTGCATTCACTTAAGGAATATGATCTACTTGGTATCCCAAATCTTAGGCAACCTAAACTCTAGGCCACCTTTCCCAGTGTCTTTATTAAATGCATGTCTACTTACTCATCCTTCTTCTTGGTATCTTTTCTTTCATACCTGGGAGCTCTGCCTGTTAGTATCTATGGTAGGTTATAATTCTCTTGGGTCTCTTTGGTGTGTACTCAAGTCATTACGCTTTTGCTCTTTTTTTGAGGGGAACGGAGTCTCACTCTGTGGCCCAGGCCAAAGTGCAGTGGTACAGTCTAAGTTCATTGCAGCATCTGCTTCTCCGGCCCAAGTGATCCTCCCACCTCAGTCTCCTGAGTAGCTAGGACCACAGGCACCCACCACTATGCCCTGCTGTTTCATATTTTTAGCAGAGACAGGGTTTCGCCATGTTGACCGGGCTGATCTTGAACTCCTGGGCTCAAGTGTTCCTCCTGCCTTGGCCTCCCAGAGTGCTGGGATTACAGGCTGAGCCACCATGCCCAGCTTAATTTGTTATTAATTTTGCCTGATTCTGTTATTACATATATTATAGTTCTTAATAATTCTGAAATATTGTTATCCATTGTTTAAAGAGCTTATTAGAAATTCATTGGATTTGTTATCACTAGATGTGTCGTTGGTTCTTAGACTATGAAATATTTTAAAACTGTTTCTTGTATTATACTTCTCAACAGTCTTTTCGTATATGCTATGTGGAGATCTATCTTGGCATGTTGAAGGTTAATTTGAATGTTATTTGTACTCTTAACAGTTTTAATACATTTTGTGTGCTGGAGCACACAGTAGGCTTTCTACATGTATAGTTGTATGCCCCTTTCCCCAAAAGTTCATAAAACATCTGCGTCCCAAATCAACCACTTCACAGGCCCAATTTTTATGATTATAGAGGAGACAAACTTTTATTGTCCCATGTTGAAGCCAAGATTTACCATAATGTTGGACTGAAATTGCTGCTTAATTGATACGCTACATTAGTATCTGTGGAATTCAATCATATATGTTGAAAATGTGGATATTTGTATTATTAACTGTTTGAAAAGCATAGTAGAGTCTTGGTATGGTTGAGTTTGTAAAATTCCTCAAGTTTTTGCTTAATGCTTCCTTTTAAAGTCACATAAAATAATAGAAAACTTAAGTAACTTCCAGTTACCTCTAATTATTTCATTGGCTTCTGTTCCTCTCACATTTTACCCACTCTTTTTACCCTTGTTGTAGAACTATAAAAGCAATCTGAGCATCAGGTGCTGCCTGCATTTCAATCCTGCCAGTCAGGTTCAGAAGCTCGAAGACAAAAGTGGTATGACAGGCAAGCCCATATAGGCATGTAACCAAGCTTGCTGGCCCCTTTCTTTATCAAGAGCAGCTAAAACCAGTGAAAGCAACATAAAATTTGCATATCGTTCTCTTAAATTCTGTATCACCTCAAGCCTTGCTTGTACCTTCTTGAAGGTACAAAGGCTCTCCCAGATGCCAATGAAGACCCTCCCCAAAAGTGATCACAACTAGATACTTAACTCCAATGATAATTTTATTCATTTTGGGTGGTTTTGTCTGTAATTGTAATGTTATCGTCAACAATTGAAGACCTAATTTCCAATTCAGTCAAGAGGAAAGGCATAGGTGCATTCCAGCCTCACTAGGGTGCTCTGTTTATTTGTTCAAATTCTAGTTGAGTTCTTGACTGATGTCTTATGATCATGAGTCAAGAAATGAAGAAATTCCACATTCTCATGTTCATATTATTTGTTTATAAAGTTGAAGTTGGAATGTAGGCTTTATAGTTAAACTGCTATAAAGTTTATATAGTTAAATACACAATTAGATTTATATAGTTTATATAGTTGAACCTACCTCCAACTGAGTGACTTGCAAAGTACTTAAGTCTTCTGTGATTAAGATTTACCAAATTTGTAAAACAAGAATAACAGTAGTATATACCTACTTTATAAATGAGTTAATACTTTCTAGAACATAGTATTTGCCAGAATGTTACCTGTATACAGCACATGCTTGAACACTTTCTGTAATTATACAGTCCCCTGAATTCATTGATTATGTTTTCTAGAACTAATCATTTACCTTTAATATTTTCCATTTCTGAGTAATGTTGCTCATTCTGAGTAATGTTGCTGAATAATGTCAGTTTGTTCTTAAATATAGGGACACAATTTCTCTCACTAAAACTTTTATATGATTAGGATTATATAAACCAATACCAACAAAAACTATGGTGATTGCATCTTAGAAATTTCTTCAAGCATAGGATGTAATATGCAAATAGATTTGAAGTTCTTACAGTTCACTAATGTTTTCTTAGTTTCTGATAATCATTTCATTAGTCTGTATTCTGACTATATACGATACTACTAGTTGTTTATTTTTGTAAAAACATTTCACCAGTGGCATGGTCAGCTAATTTCATGTTATTTTAGATAACAAAGTAACATTAAAATTTTACTTATGGCAAAAATGAGTACCCTTGTCTCACTACTTGAATTTAGCCAGGAATACTTCCTGAATGACATTTTTCAAAAACCTTTATGTGCATCAACAAACTATCAACCACTTTGTTTATCTCATTGAAAGGATGGTATTTGTGATGATTTACTTACAAGAGTATTATATGTCATTTTTCCTGATTTCTGAATAAAATTTGTAGGATTTACACTAGTTACAGGGCACATTACTGTTCAAGAAAATGTCTTTTTCTAAGAATTGTCATTTAAATGTCTTCTGTTCTTTCTACTTTCATTATGACACTTGATTCTTTTGGGGACAAGTTGCCGCAGGAAAAAAGTCTCTTCACAAGTGTCACTCAGCAACAATGTCAGTGCTAAATGCAGAATCTGGCTTTGATTCAGTCACTAATTCTACCTCATTTTCTTTGTGTTTTTTTTTTTTTTTTTTTTTTTTTTTTGAGGCAGGTTCCTACTGTCTGACCCAGGCTGCAGTGCAGCAGTATGATCTCTGCTCACTACAGCTTCTGCCTCCCAGGTTCAAGTGATTCTCCTGTCTCAGCCTCCCAAGTAGCTGAAATTAGAGGCATGAGCCACCATGCCTGGCTAATTTTTGTATTTTTATTAGAGACAAAGTTTCATCCTGTTGGTAAGGCTGGTCTTGAACTCCTGGCCTCAAGTAATCTGCCTGCCTTGGCCTCCCAAAGTGCTGGGATTACAGATGTGAGCTACTGTGCCTGTCCTTACCTCATTTTTGCATGCCAGCTATGAAGTACTATTAAATCTTCAGTGTGGGTTTTTCTGATCTA
Organism: Homo sapiens; assembly: GCF_000001405.40. Taxonomy (NCBI): domain Eukaryota; kingdom Metazoa; phylum Chordata; class Mammalia; order Primates; family Hominidae; genus Homo; species Homo sapiens. Next base: position 12,764,039 of record NC_000024.10, read on the forward strand.
AAAAATATTTTGAACTGAAGTGATTAATTTCATGAAGTTTGTATCTCTTTGACAATGTAGGCTTTGTACTGGAAAGTACAGGATGAACTTTAAACATCCTACTGTGCCAGAAATTGTAAAAAGTTTTTAGAAAATCATATTGACATATCAAAAAGACATAGGATTTGCCTCTCAGTAGTCAAATCTGTGACAATTTGGGCATCAAAATAATTATACTTATGACATAACTGCTTTACAATATGAGTCCTTTATGTTGATTAAAATAAATGGAGAACAATGCCAACGAAACATAGGAAAAAAACAATAGATGATAAAAGAAGTAGCTGAAAGTCTAATAAGAAACAGATTACTGACTCAGTGTCAAAGTATCCTCCCAGAAGTTTATACAAAGAGAAAAATACTAACTTTTCAGTGGAGAAACGTGGCAGAAACACCTTAAATAAGTGATCTAAGTTAAAACATAATTAATAAAGGACACACTGACATGGCTTCTGATAATATGTGAAATGAACATAGGATATTTTTGGGGTATTTTGTTCAAATCATTGCAAAACCTGAATCTATGGAAAATACAGAATGCAAATTGAGTGGTGTAAGTGGCTTTATTCTTAAAATGGTTAAAATAAAGAAACACAGAAAAGATAAAAGGAAACTTTAGGTAAAAGAAAGCTACTTGTAGTATATGAGCCAGAGTTTTATTCTAGACTTGCAGAAAAGAAAGCATAAAGTGATGACATTATTGGTACACTTCATTAAGTTTCTAAATGCACCATGGATCTGATAGCAGTCTTATTTGGAGTCTTAAAACCTGGTAAATATACTGTGGTTATGAAAAATGTTACGTGATTGATCCTTGAACAACACAGGGTTAGGGGCCACCCTACAAAGTCAGACACCCCACAAAGTCAGAAAATCCATGTGTAACTTTTGTAGGGGACACCCTACAAAGTCAGAAAATCCATGTGTAACTTTTGACTCCCTCAGAATTTAATTACTAATAGCATACTGTTAACTGGAAAGTATTAATGATAACCAAAACAGCTGATTAAAACATATTTTATATATTCATGCATATTGTACACTATATTACAATTAAGTAAGCTAGAAAAACAAGATGTCACTGAGAATATTGTAAGAAAGAAAATAACCTCTACTGTTTATTAAGTGGTAGTGCATCACCCTGAAGGCCTTCATCCTGGTTGTCTTCACATTGAGCAGGCTGAGGACAAGGAGGAAGAGGAAGTGTTGGTCTTGCTGTCTCAGGGGTGTCAGTTGAGGAAGAAATGGAATGCGAGGCAGGAAAGGCAGGCACACTCGTGTAACTTTAGGGAAATATTATTTCTGGCTGATGTTTTTGCTTTGTCATGTTTCAAAAAATGTTTCTATACAACAGGGGTCCCAAACCCCTAGGCCAAGGACCATGATTGGTCCCTGGCCTGTTAAGAACTGGGCCACACAGCAGGAAGTGAACAGCAGGTGAGAGAGCATTAGCTCCTGAGTCTTGCCTCCTGTCAGATCAGTGGTGGCATTAGATTCTGATAGGAGCGGGAACCCTATTGTAAACTGCACATGCGAGCTCTCTAGGTTGAGTGGTCATTGCACTTGATGCCTGATGATCTTATGTGGAACGGTTTCATCCCAAAACCATCCCCACCCAGTCTGTGGAAAAATTTCTTCCAAGAAACTTGTCCCTGGTGCCAAAAAGGTTGGGGACTGCTGCGGTATAGTACTAATCCATCCTGCACCATTTGCTGTAGTTTCAGCACCTGTATTATGGAAGTCCATGTCATAAAAGAAGGCAAAAGCAGTCTTTAGTGATCAGAATCCTCTGCCAGCTTGTTTAATGTCAGTTTGTTTTCTGTCAGTGCTTCTACTACTTCCTCATTGTCTGCCACTGGTTCAGAAGCATTCATTTCCATTAAGTTGTCTTGTGTCTTAATTCCTTGGTGTAGTGTCTATTAGCTCTTGAATTTGTCCAAGATTCATATCATTAAACCGTTAACCCATCCGGTTTTTGCTGTTTGCATGATCTCTTTCATGCGATTACCTTAATGAGCTCTGTTGTAAATCCTGGGAAGTCATGTACAACATCTGGACATAGTTTTGAATGTGTTGTTTCCAGCCTGAGGGCTTTCATCATCTTTTCTGTTAAAATGATGGCATCTGCAGTGGTGTAATCCTTCCACATTTTCATGATCTTCTCTCTGTTAGGGTTCTGTTACACAGTATTCACAGTCCTTTCTAGAGAGTACCATGTGTAATGAGCCTTAAAGTTCCTTATGACTTGCTGATCTAGAGGCTGAATTAGAGACGTGTTTGGAGGCAAGCAGACCACATTGATGCCTTTGCCCAGAGGCATTGTCTAATTTCAAAAAGAACATTAAAAGGCACCCATTACTGGCAAGGTACTTCCTGACTTCAGGGACAAAGCTCTGATGGAACCAACCCAGAGAAAGGGTTCTTCTACTTGTCAAGCCTTCTTGTTGTGCAACCACAAGACTGGCAGCTGGTGTTTATCTTTTCCTTTCAAGGTGGAGCATTAACACTTTATAGGAAAAGAGCCATCCTGATCATTAGCCTGACTGCATCTACAGTTAGCATACTCTTTCCTGCCTTAAATCTTAGTACTTGCCTGTTTCTTACTAACAAATGTCCTCTGTGCCTTTTTTTTCTTCCAGAATAGGGCACTTTCATCTGCATTAAAAGTCTGTTGAGGCAGAGATCTTTTCTCAATAGTTTTTACGAATGCCATCTGGGAACTCAACTGCTGCCTCTTGCTTGGCAAAAGCTGCTTCTCCTGTTATCTTGATATTTTTAAAGACAAACCACTTTCTGAAATTATCACATCATCCTAAGCTGGCAGTTCTTCAGTTTCAAATCCTTCACCTTCCTTTTTGCTGGGTCTGACCCGCAGACTCTGGCCAAGCGACGGATGAGAAAATGTACGCAGACACAGGTTTTTTTTGCCTGGGCACACGGCTAGGGGACTGACCGCTCACAGACACCCAGGAAGGTGCTGTAAAGAGTCACAGCAGTTGCAGCCCTGAGAAGTGGGCATTTATTTAATACACATTTAATGACAAAGGCTTTCAGTCAACACAACTTGTGGGTATTTACCTGGAGAGAGCAGTCCTGCACGCACATGATTAAAGGCCAGGTTCTGAGGCCTAAGTAAACTTAACTTACCTAGATCAATTCCTTTACACTTCCTTGTTATCTACCTTTTGCTCTCAGGCTCTGGATAAGAGAATTTGGCTGCCTTCAGCCAAATTATCTTTCAAAGCTTTTGCAAAACCTCCCAGCCTTCCAAGAAGGTTTGCATCTTTTCCTATAATTTCTTCTTATAATTTCTCCCACTACCCTGACCGAACTCCTACACCTTTTGCTTTAAGTTGTCATATGACTTTGATTTTTCCCGTTAGATTAGTCTATAAGTGTGCCTTTTTTATAGCAGTCTTACTCAAAAAAACTGCATTTTCAATACAAAATTGAAGATATTTCACAAAAGTGCAAAGTTTGTTTCTATTGTCATAGATGCAATGACAGCTTCATGAAGAGTGTGTGTATCTGTGTGTGTGTGTGTGTGTGTGTGTGTGTGTGTTTACAATCGTCCTTACACTGAATTCATTTATCGTGAAATGGTGGGCAGTCATGGTTGCAGAACTCAGTCTGCAATGCATATCAAACAATTCAGCTTTTTCTTGTGATATCATGATTTTCACTATTTTGGGGGAAGCACATCATTTAGGTCCTCTGGTGTCATTCATTGTTTCCATTATTGCACTAAACACAAAAAATACATGAGAACTGCAAGAGATTTTTTTTTTTGAGACAGAGTCTCACTCTGTCGCTTAGGCTGGAGTGCAGTGGCACAATCTCAGCTCAGTGCCACCTCTACCATCTGGGTTCAAGTGATTCTCCTGCGTCAGCCTTCTGAGTATCTGGGATTACAGGCATGCTGCACCATGCCCAGCTAATTTTTGTATTTTTAGTAGAGACACGGTTTCACCATGTTGGTCAGGCTGGTCTCAAACTCCTGACCTCATGATCCTCCCTTCTTGGCCTCCCAAAGTGCTGGGATTATGGGATTACAGGCATGAGCCACCATGCCCAGCCAAGAGATTACTTTTTACCATGATACATAATTTACTGAAGAGACTAACTGCTCACTCAGGAGTTTAGAATCACACAGCATTTTAAGTATACTCAGCAACACTGGAGCTCACTGAAATAAACATATTTTAAGTATTCATGACATTTCATTTTTTCTAAATTTTTTTTTTTTTTTTTGAGACTGAGTCTCACTGTCACCCAAGCTGGAGTGCAGTGGCACCATGTCAGCTCACTGCAACCTTCATCTGCTGGGTTCAAGCAGTTCTCCTGCCTCAGCCTTGTGAGTAGCTGGGATTAGGTGCCCACCACCATGCCCAGCTAATTCTTATATTTTTAATAGAGATGGGCTTTCACTGTGTTGACCAGGCTTGTCTTGAACTCCTAACCTCAGGTGATGTGTCTGCCTTGGCCTTGCAAAGTGCTGGGATTACAGGCGTTAGCCACTGTACCCGGCCTTTTCTTATTTTTTTTTTCAATATTTCTAAGCTATGTTGTTCATCTGTTTTCTCTAATTGTCACAAATTTTCTAAAAATTTTCCAATACTCATCATTTATGTTAAAAGATCCATATATATTAATGAGTAGACCAGTGCAGTTCAAGCCCATGTTGTTCAGGGGTCAACTGTACTTGTTACTGGGAAATAAACATAACTTTAAGGAATAAAATTAGGTGATGTGTCCAGCTTACCTTCAAATGGTTCATTAAAATGACATATACATATAAACAGAGATACCTGTAAAAACAAATAGGCAACATCTAAACAGTTGATATATCTGGATAAACAGTAGTTCATTGTATTATTTTTGCACCTCGTCTATAAATTTGAAATTACATTAAAATGTAAAGTCATACACATAAACCAACCCCATGCCACACACTCCCCCTCAAGAAAAAAAAAATAGCTTTTAGTTCAAAGTGTATAGGGGATGAAAAAGTACCTCGAGTGCCAGTCTGATGTTTAAACAGATGTTTCAGTATCAGTGGTCGGAAAAACAAGAAAACATATATGCAACTGAAAGTCTTTTTATATTATTGTGCCAGATTTTTAAAGAAAACTTGAGGTTCTGAGATTTGGTGCAATCTGTCAGTCTCATGGAAGTAAGCTGTACGTTTCTACAACAGTTAGCAGGTGTTCCTGTATATAGAAGTAAAAAGCCACGAGTCAAAATATGTGAGATTTCTTTCTTCACTAAATAGTGCACATTCTAAACATTCTATTCCATCTTTATTGCAAGTCAAGATTTTGCTTCTAATTGAAGAACGTTTTTTGGCACCAAGTGTGAACGTTACAAGGTCCAAGAGATGTATACCTGAGAAATACCTGTGTCTGTTGCAGAAGAAAAACAACATATTTCCTCCCATACTATGTTTAAAAGTTTCGGGATAAAGGTCTTTCATTCCTGACAACACTTGGTATTGGCATGTATTTCAACTGTCTTCTGTTTAATCTCGCAAACAGTCATTTTCAGGCATATGGTTTTTATCGTATTCTTCTAATGCTTTTCTTCTGTTACTTTTATTTTGCTAGGTATTGGGATAAGCCACCTTAGGGCACTTTTCTTTAAAAGCATGGCTTTTGTGTTGGAGTAAATTCATATTTTAGTTGAGTGTTACCTTTTGAATAAGTGTGTGTGTGTGTGTGTGTGTGTATGTGTGTTTGAGATGGAATCTTGCTCTATCACCTAGGCTGGAGTGCAGTGGAGCAATCTTGGCTCACTGCAACCTCTGCCTCCCATGTTCAAGTGATTTCCCTGCCTCAGCCTCCTGAGTAGCTGGGACTACAGGCGTGTGCCACCACACCCGGCTAATGTTATATATTTTAGTAGAGACCATGTTGGCTAGGATGGTCTCGATCTTCTGACCTTGTGATCTGCCTGCCTCTGCCTAGCAAAGTGCTAGGATTACAGGCGTGAGCCACCGTGCCTAGCCAGGACAGTAGCTTTGAACTTAATCTTTGCTGTTTAAAATGTATTTACAGGTCAGGCATGGTATCTCACGCCTATAATCCCAGCACTTTGGGAGGCCAAGGCAGGAAGATCATGAGGTCAAGAGATCAAGACCATCCTGGCCAACATGATGAAACCCCGTCTTTACTAAAAATACAAAAATTATCTGGGCATGGTGGTGTGCACCTGTAGCTCCAGCTACTTGAGAGGCTGAGGCAGGAGAATCACTTGAATCCGGGAGACAAAGGTTGCAGTGAGTCAAGATCGCACCACTGCACTCCATCCTGGCAACAGAGCGAGACTCCATCTCAAAAAAAAAAATTCTTTACAAACACTGAGATTTTCACCCAGTAGATGATGTTAATAAAGTAAATAAAAAGCATTTACCAATTTTATATTAAAAAATAAAGATTTCTGACATAGGCTAGGCCTGGTTTCCAACACAAGTATTTATAATCATAATGACAAGGTAGGTTTTTCAGAGTATCTGAGACTGTTTGAGCCAGTTCATACCCTGGTGATTGAGATACTCATATGATAACTTTATAAAATACAGCATTTTCTCTCATCTTAATTTTTTTGAGTGAATAAAGAAGTGATATTTTTAATGTTGAAATACTTTGCCTACAAAGAAGGAAGGAAATATTTTGCCTACAAAGAAGGAAGGAAAATGGAAACATGATGGTAAAAAAATCGTAGGCTGTACTCACAAATTGCGCCAGTGTGTGTGATGAATGAAGGGGGAATTAAGACTAAAAAAATATTTTTGATAACGTGTTCAGCAAGTTATATTTTTCTTTGTGTAAAAAGTGACTGTATTTTTGTGGGAGTAAAGGGTTTAAATAAACATACCATAATTACAAGTTTCCGTTAATGAGAATGATTATTAACTTAATAATTTCTTTTTACCTAAGTCAATAATGTTGTGGATATACATGTGTATAATGCATAATTTTGGTTTATTTGCAGATCATGAAGACTATGATCCACAAACAGTGAGGCTTGGAAGTCGATACAGTCATGTTCAAGAAGTTCAAGAACGACTAAACTTCCTTAGGTTTGTTTTAAACCATCAGTGCTATTCTTTTAAGGCACTGCAGTGATAAGGAATGCAGGGTTATTCTGTATTTATTTTTTCTTTTTGAGACAGGATCTCATTCTGTCATTCAGGCTCAAGTGCAGTGGGGCAATCTAGGCTCACTGAAGCCTCAACCTCTCCAGGAGGTGATCTTCCCACTTCAGCCTCCTGAGTGGCTTGTGAATATTTTAACAATGATAGAGACAAAAGCAACCTCTAACTATGTATAATAACATTACTTTAAATGGGATAAGTAAAGTTGTCTGTCCTTTAAGCCAAACCTATGTTCCAAACTGAATTTACTCAGTAATACATAGCTTTTAATGACATGTATTTTTTTATGTATGTATAGCTTGAGTATTGAGAGATCTCTTAGAAATGCAGTTTACCATACTATTGCAAGAAAAGTATTTGAATAAGTATACTAAGAAAAGTTGCCAGAACTATTTATCAGTGTTTTATAAAATTTACTGAATTCATTGTTTCTCTCTATTAATTCTGGGATTAGTTTTCTTTTTACAGAGCATGTAATTCTGTTTGCTGATCAATCAGATAATTTATGGGACAATATTTATTTGACATAAAGTCTGTTTTTTTTTTTATTCAGTCAGTTCATAACTATTGAGGATTTTACGGTCTGCCAGATAGATCTCATCTTTATTATAGGATTTCAGTTTGCAAAATATTCTAGTATCAGGTTTTCTGACACTTGTAGTACCTTTTTTTTAACCACATAGAAAAACAATCTGCCTCTTAATATTGAGTATCTCTTCCAAAGTGAGCCATTGTTTTTGGTAAATGTGTTCCTTAGGTTTATTGGGTTGGAAAAATTAGTTAGAATTTATTCATTCTATTAGTAAAGTTTAGAATCAGATGACCTTCCAGAGTTCATATTACAGTACTACAGTTAATCAAAGGGGGAAGCTATAAGAGCTAATGCCGGCTGTATATATTTGGCCTTGTGCTAATCACTTTACTCATCATGACAGCCTTGTGAGGCAGGTGTTAACTCCTCATTGGGATTCCATTTGGGGAAAACAAAGTGCTTTGAAATCACACAGCTGGTATGTGATAGAGACCAGATTACCCATATAGAAGTTTTTAAAAGTGTCTGCCCTATGACACCAGTGAATTTTCAGACATTTACACTGAAACGTTAGTTTACAAACTGCTGTGTTTCATCTTGCTGGATCTCTTGTTGCTCATTTATAAATTAGGATGAGAGAGATTAGGTAGATTTAATCTAGGTGGTCCCTTCATGCTCAGCACTCTTACAGAGATATTAACAACTTAAAATTAAGATCCAGGCCAGGCGTGGTGGCTCACACCTGTAATCCCAGCACTTTGGGAGGCCGAGGTGGGCGGATTACCTGAGGTCAGGAGTTCAAGATCAGCCAGGCCAACATGGTGAAACTGGGTCTCTACTAAAAATACAAAAATTAGCTGGGTGTGGTGGCACACGCCTGTAATCCCAGCTACTCAGGAGGCTGAGGCAGGAGAATTGCTTGAGCCCGGGAGGCAGAGGTTGCTGTGAGCCAAGATTGTGCCACTACACTCCAGACTGGCCAACAGAGTGAGAGTCTGTCTGAAAAAAAAAAAAAAAAAAAAAAAAAAGATCCAGAAGAAGAAACCTTCTGCTATTAAATAAAAACACCACACTCTTTTTGGAATAAAGCCACTGTCATTTTGTTAACTAAGTGTGAAGTTATTATTCAAATTAAAATAAACTTATTTTTCCTTTCATTGTCATTCACAGAAATAGTAGACAGAGTGGGTGGAAGAGTGCTAAGAGAAAGTGGAAGCCAACCAAATAAAGAGACTGCTTAAAGCAGACTAATCATTGTTTTATTGTAGTGAACTAATAAATAGTGAAACAACTAAAAAGCTCGAGGACATCACTGAGGACACACTAATGATTACAGAGATAGACATAATTTTTAATTACTGGTGGATTTTTTGTTTCATATGGCTAGTTATGAGTGCAATATTTTCAGAAATGTAAGCAGTTTAAGCCGCTTTAAATTCATGGTGATATTTAGTTATCTCTGAAAGTCATTTAGTGTAATAACCTTATTTTGCAATGATATAATTTAAGGGAGAGCTAAATCAGTATTGGGTTTCAGAAGGAGAGCTGAAAATGAGGAGAAGTCTTCTTACTTAGGGCACATCACCCAGCAAAGTTGCTGGCATTTTGTAGCTGCCTCATATATATTTGTTAAACAAATGTGAATACCTGACACATTTTAAATTCCAGATATGTGTTTAACAAATTATTTTGAAAGAATTCATATTTTTAAAGCTGTAATTAAAATATAATTGTGGTGAAGTATTATGTTGTGCCTGTCAAAACTTGCTTTGCAGGAAAAAACTATGTTGACCCTAATTACTGATTTATGTTTCTCCAAGATTTTTACTGAAGGATGGCCAACTGTGGCTCTGTGCTCCTCAGGCAAAACAAATATGGAAGTGCTTAGCAGAAAATGCAGTTTATCTTTGTGATCGTGAAGCCTGTTTTAAGTGGTATTCCAAGTTAATGGGGGATGAACCAGACTTGGATCCTGATATTAATAAGGACTTCTTTGAAAGTAATGTACTTCAGCTTGATCCTTCCCTTTTAACTGAAAATGGAATGAAATGCTTTGAAAGATTTTTCAAAGCTGTCAATTGTCGAGAAAGGAAACTAATAGCAAAAAGAAGATCCTATATGATGGATGATTTGGAATTAATTGGACTAGACTACCTTTGGAGGGTAAGTGAGTAGTAAGAACTTTCATATGCCAACATTGTACCTGAGGTTACTTTTTAAAAATAATTCAAGAGTCATAATTTTGCCTGAGAATTTCATGGCTATATTCTGTTTTGATGCTTGTCCTAGAAATCTAGGTGTGCAAGGATAATTGCTCTTCTTTACCTTCTTATATTTTATTCATTACTGGTTTTTTCTCTCACCCTGTTGTACTAACTTAGAATCTGTCACCCTTTTCAGATGTATAGAATTATAGTAGGCTGGGTGCGGTGTCTCATGCCTGTAATCCCAGCACTTTGGGAGGCCGAGGCAGGCAGATCACAAGGTCAGGAGACGGAGACCATCCTGGCTAACACGGTGAAACCCCGTCTCTGCTAAACATACAAAAACAAAATTATCCGGGCGTGGTGGTAGGTTCCTTTAGTCCCAGCTACTTGAGAGGCTGAGGCCAGGAGAATGATGTGAACCTGGGAGGCAGAGCTTGCAGTGAGTTGAGATTGCGCCACTGTACTCCAGCCTGAGGACAGAGCGAGACTCCGTCTCAAAAAAAAAAAAAAAAAAAAAGAATTATAGTAACCCTCTACATGCTGACTACATCTTCTATTCTCCCCTCCTTTGTGAAAGTTATTCTCTCTTTTTTATATAAGATAGATCTTGAAGTTTATATGTATTTGATGCTGACATGAACGATGGACAGAAGACTATTACTAGGATATCATTATGAATCAATACCTTTATTGATATTGTTCACTTTGTATATATTTAAATAGCTGGAATAAATGTTGCATGCTCATAAAGCTAACTTTCCCATATTAATAGTGTAATATATCTTGTTGCCATCTTGATATATCTAATCTGTTGTGTCACAGCTTATATTTGGGTTTTATTATTTACTTATTCTCTGGACAAACTTTATGTAAACTGAGAAGTTGCTACGGTGTTCCATTAAAACCAGTGGTTTTTGAAACATTTTAACTAGTAGTAACTCCTATCAATTAAAAAACTATATACAGGTAGTGGAAGTAAGAGAGGAAAGCTTGCATTTCTTTGCTTAGTTTCCCATTATTCATTTCCTTTCTGTCTTCAAACTCCCCAAATTTTCATTCCTGAAATACTCTAAGGTGCAAGGATTCTAAACTTAGTTTGAAAAACACTGATTTATTAAATGATTGGTAAAGATTTACAAAAATTGCTGGGGCCAGCAGGACAGCTCTATGTTAAATAGTATTTCTCGCACCTTTTTTTTTTTAGCATACTTGAATTAACCCTTGAAAACCTATCAGCTTGACTAACAAGTTGACAAGTTAAATATTATCACTTGAAGTATTTGTGTCTTTCATTCTTAAGCAAACGGCTTTGTTCAGAAAACTTGTATTTTTTATTAATCTTTGAATTCTTAAGATCCCTTATTGTATATTAAGTATCAATCAACTTATCTTTAAGTTATTGAAGATTATATTAAAAATAATTAAGGATATGATTTAAATTTAAATACCAAATTAAACTGTATCTTGAATGGTTTTAATACTGTAATATTTTTGGAACCAGGTTGTGATTCAGAGTAGTGACGAGATTGCTAACAGAGCTATAGATCTTCTTAAAGAGATATACACAAACCTTGGCCCAAGATTAAAAGCCAATCAGGTGAGAATTGAAGTGCTTAAAAAGATCCACAACAATTGGGTTAAGTTGTTGGGTAGTATCTTTTTTAACCTGAAAATAACTAGAAAATAATCTTTAACTCTTGTCAAAAATATTTTTTCAGTGTTTAATCCACTTTTCTCCCTTGCCCAATGCTGACTAAAGAAATGTTTCTTTGATAATTATCCTTAGGTGATTGAAATAATTTTAAATGTAATTATTCATTATCGTACGTTGAGATGGCCAGAACTTTGTCTTAGATTGGCCTTTTGTCTAGGCATTTGTTTTTTTTTGTCTTTTTGAGATTCCTGTCTGTCACCCAGGCTGGAATGCAGTGGTGCAGCCACAACTCAGCTACAGCCTGGAACTCCCAGGCTCAAGCTATCTCCCTGCCTCTGATTATAGGCGCACACCACCGCACCAGCTAATTTTTTTTTTCATTCTTCTTGTTAGAGATGAGACCTCACTATGTTGCCAGAGCTAGTGTCTAACTCCTGGGCTCATGCTATCGTCCCTCTTCAGCCTCCCAAAGTGCTGGGTTTACAGGCATGAGCCACATGTGCCCGACTGGACATTCACTTTTTTTTTTTTTTTTTGAGATGGAGTTTCACTCTTCTTGCCCAGGTTAGAGTTCAATGGCGGGATCTTGGCTGTCTGAACCTCCGCCTCCCAGGTTCAAGCAATTCTCCTGCCTCAGCTTTCCGAGTAGCTGGGATTACAGGCGCCTGCCACAACACCTGGCTAATTTTGTATTTTTTTAGTAGAGACGGTTTCACCATGTTGGTGAGGCTGATCTTGAACACCTGACCTCAGGTGATCCACCTGCCTCGGCCTCCCAAAGAGCTGGGATTACAGGCGTGAGCCACCACACCTGGCCAACATTCACTTTTTAAAAACAAAATTGGTTTATACTTGCTAGTTTCACGTAATCAGTTTCCTTTTCAGGAAACTTGTGTTTTACTACTGGGTAAATATGACTATGATTGAGTTACCTTTAAATTGACATTTTACTGCTTTTTATTAGATTGATGTCACATTTCATTTGTAAACAACCTGGATTATCTGTATTTGTCCATTATTTATAGGTGGTTATCCATGAAGACTTCATTCAGTCTTGCTTTGATCGTTTAAAAGCATCATATGATACACTGTGTGTTTTTGATGGTGACAAAAACAGCATTAATTGTGCAAGACAAGAAGCCATTCGAATGGTTAGAGTATTAACTGTTATAAAAGAGTACATTAATGAATGTGACAGTGATTATCACAAGGAAAGAATGATTCTACCTATGTCGAGGTTTGTGTGAAGTTGATCTCTAGTGTTAATTTACAATTACTTAATATTTTCTTAGAAATTTACTTAGGAAAGTAATAATAGGTTAAAAGGAAAGTGGGGGATATTCTTATTTCTGAATTCCAATATTCTCACCTTTAAAAACAGCTATATCTTTTTTAAAAAAGATGCTTTTTGATAGGGTACATTTTTATTTTGATTTATATTTTGGTAAGGTATTTCACTCCTTAGTTAACAGTGTCTCTTTTATTTTTCCAAGTTGTTATCATTCCTTAAGTGTGATAGAGTTATTTTGCATTTGATGGTTTTTTTATTTGAACGTTCTTAAAAATAAAATTAAGAACTGCTTATTAAGCCAGTATGAGAAGGAATATTTTTAAATGGTGTTTGCTAAAATTCCTTTAAATTTAAAAACTAATTACCATAAAATAATTAGATGATCTAATAGTCAGATATTAATATAATCATAAATTATATCCAAATTCTATAGCATGTGATACGAATAATAATCATATAACTAAATCATATAAGTATAACTAAAGTCAGTTACTTATTAACAATTTAATGGCAATTACAGTTTTGGGGAAAGTTTACAGAATGAGCACAATCACGTTTTTTAAAAGTCTGATTCCACTTTCTTAACTGAAAAAATGTAAAATTGCTTTTTAATACTGTTTATTTTGCATCTTACCTATCAGAAGAGAATAAAGTAAGCAAGATTATACCAAGATAAATATTTTGGGGTATATTTTGACAGAAATGTGCATTTTAGCATTTTTGTTGATATGTTCAAGCCGAAACTCATATTCCGTGTTTGAAAATAGTCTTAGTGAGTTGAGTTTTGTGGCATGAAAATAACTGAAGCATTATTCATGTCTGTTGTGATCTATCATAAGTAGGAAGCTTTTTTTCAGCCTTCACAGAGATAAGATTAACAACAGAATTTGATTATTGCATTTCCAAGATTGTGATGTTTGTTCACTGTTTAAAAGAAGCATGGTGTTCTAAAGATCCTAAATACAAAATAAGTTGTTTTAACTGTCATCCTCTGACTTAATAATAAAATATTAAATTTTCAGGGTTTTTTTTAGCAGTCTGCTGAATATCATTGTGGTTTTTTCTTTTTTTAAAATTCTTTTTATTTACTTATTTATTTTTCAGAGCATTTCGTGGCAAACACCTCTCTCTTATAGTTCGGTTTCCAAACCAGGGCAGACAGGTTGATGAGTTGGATATATGGTCTCATACGAATGACACAATTGGTTCAGTACGGCGATGTATTGTTAATCGTATTAAAGCCAATGTAGCCCACAAAAAAATTGAACTTTTTGTGGGTGGTGAGCTGATAGATTCTGAAGATGACAGAAAGCTAATTGGACAATTAAACTTAAAAGATAAATCTGTAAGTAAATACAGCTTTTAAATAAGTCATGAAACTTAAATGTTGAGGCTATATTAGTAAGCCTCAACATTTATTATTAACGTATTATTTAGTAAATGTCTGTTGGGCATCTAACTATTATGTACAAACTTCTGTGTTGGTATCTAGATTATAATCACCTTGAATAAGATAGATGTCACAGAACTTAAAGGAAATACAATTAAATGGTTATGTTAGACAGTAATTTTTAAATGTATTTCTAAAATTAAAGCCTAAGGTGTATTTTAACCTTTCAATGTATCTAGTTCCCATTACTTGTAGAAATGTTTTGCCTTGTCTTTGCTAATAAACACACTGTTATTTTCAGCTAATTACAGCCAAACTTACACAAATAAATTTCAATATGCCATCAAGTCCTGATAGCTCTTCCGATTCCTCAACTGCATCTCCTGGAAACCACCGTAATCATTACAATGATGGTCCCAATCTAGAGGTGGAAAGTTGTTTGCCTGGGGTGGTGAGTAATTCTCTATTCAAAATATGAAGAAATGTGTAGAATAGTTCTTTTTCTGAGGAGCTTCATAGATTTATAGAGATTCATAAATGGGTCAAAATGTCAACGGTATAGTCAACTGTTAACTTCTGAGTGAATTTCTTAGTTGTAGGAATTTATAATAAAATTATGTAGGTAGAATTAATCTGTTATAGCTTACGTATGGTATTAAATATATAGCTCTAGAAGGTACTACTATATTTTCAGTCTTTTAGGATAGTTTTAAAGAAAAATAGGATGTATTATTTTCTATGATTCTTAGAAATACATCTCATATGTAAAGGAACAACAGCTTCTACCTTTCTTAGCCTTTCCCTCAGCCTCTTAAAAATTATGCCTACAATTATACCAGTCACTTCAGCATTAGGGAGGTTTAAGTCTCTGAAAAAATTGGATTAGGAATTTAATTCCTGAGGGAGTGAGGTGCCTTTTGTATAATCAGCATCTGAGTACTATGTGAAACTACAGTTTACAAAAAAATCGAAAAACTGTTGCAATGAAATTACTCAAAGTATATTAGAAAGCTTAATATGTAATGTATAAATTTGCATGTTGAATCAATGGATTTATCAATGTAAAAATAGTCATTTGGGGTGGTATAAATGGTATATCCAGAAATGTGATTGACCAATAGAAACCTTATTTGAAGGATAGAGAGTGGATAAATTTTCATTAACAAAAAACTTTTTGTAGCACAATTTGCAGGTAAATATTTTGTATATTCTGTATTCTAGATAATGTCAGTGCATCCCAGATACATCTCTTTCCTTTGGCAAGTTGCAGACTTAGGTAGCAACCTGAATATGCCACCTCTTAGAGATGGAGCAAGAGTACTTATGAAACTTATGCCACCAGGTAAGAAAATGGTCCATCCCCCTATTCCACAGAAAGGATGCTCATAACTACATGATGGATGAAAAAGAAAATATTAACAAATTCTGTTTGCAAATCTAATATACTTTGTGGAATAGTCTCTAATGTTGAACATGTGTCTTTCATAGTGTTGCTGATGAAAATATTTTCATGGATGGGAAAATATTTAGGAGCATGTAATTTTCATGAAATACTTCTAGAAAACTAATACTTCAGAAAGTCAGGGTTCTTTCAAGGCTCCCAGTGATGAACAACAGTCTCCTACCTCATCCATCTATCAAAGAAAACTCACCCTCAAGGTTTACCTTTCATTACTGGATATACCACTTTTTTTCTAAGCACTATGCCCATGCTATTTTTGTGTGTCAGGTTTTAGACATTAAGTATTGACTTGTGAAAATGTATTTCTTATGCGTTACCGCATCCTTACTCTCTGGTCATGTCACAGTTTTTGTTTAAATCTATATGCATTGTTCACATTTTTAACACAATGTGAAAATACTACAATCTCCTAAGTTACTCACACATGATTATACTAGATTTTAATATTGCCTTTATCATTTGCTTGGTTTTCTTGGTGTTAATTACTAAATTTTCTCATACTCCTTCCAGTAATTTCCTACAACAATTGTTCATGTGGTCAGATCTGTTATATCATGTTTTCTTGGAGCATTTCATCTTCCTGCTGCCTTGTGCTTTGTTCTCTTTGACACAGCTATCATTCTGGGACTTCTGTATACAGCCTTTCCTTTGGTGGTCTTCTGGTGCTCCTTGGTCTTGCATCTTTCTTGAGTTAATCTTCATTTTGCCGAAGCACACCCTCCTAAAAATCGATACATGGAAAACAAGATTTTTTTGTTAAGACATTACTTTTCTGAATGCACCTAAACTCTCCCACATGCAGTAGTTTATTATTTGGTTGTTTTGTTTTTTTCTATTTTTTTACTTGGAGTTGGTTGAACATAGAGCTGAAAGTAGAACATCTGCAGTTTCATGGCAATATTGGCTGCTGGGAGGACTGAACCTGTTGTGTCTTAACTTTCTGTCTAGAAGCTTTGTTTTTAACTCTTTAGTTCTGAAATCTAATGATGAAGTGCCTTGGAATGGTAGTTTTACTTTGATTTTTTTGTTGTTTGTTGTGTGTACTAAGTAATCAACAGATCTTGTTAGTTGAAAGAGTAGTTTCTTCAGCTGTGAGAAATTGGTATTTTTGTATAAATAGCATCTGATTTTGAACTTACTGTCATTAAATGGCTTGTATTTCTTGGCCTACAAATGAGCCATTTTCCAGCTCCAAGACTAAATTGGCCATTTACCTGATCACTGATTTCTTTTAGTGTAACATGTTCCATAGAAGATAAAATATGGGCTCTCTAACATATAAATAAAATCTACCATATGTATATGTCTATAGATGTGCCTTGGAGATACTGTGGTTTCCATTACCATACCACCACAATAAAGTGTACCTCTCAATAAATCAAGTCAGACAAGTTTCTTTGTATCCCGGTGCGCATAAAAGTTTTTTACACTAGTATAAAACTAAAAGTTTTATACACTATACACATAAAAGTTTTTTACACTATAAATGTGCAATGGCATTATATCTTTTTTAAAAGGTATACAGCAATTAAAAATACATTATTGCTAAAAAATAGTAACTATCTTGTGAGCCTTCAGCGAATTGTAACTTTTTGCCATTGAAGGGTCTTGCTTCAACATCAACTGCTGCTAACTGATCAGGGTGATGGTTGCTGAAGCTGGGGACATCTGTGTTGATTTCTTAAAAGGAGACAACAGTGAACTTTTCTGCTATTGACTCTCCTTTCTGGATAGATTCCCATGTAGCTTGGGATAGTATTTTATAGCATCTGACCCCAAGTAAAACTTATTTCAAAACTTGAGTCAGTCCTCTCAAACTCTGCTCCTGCGTTATCAACTAAGCTTATGTAGTGTAATATTCTAAATCCTTTGTTGTCATCTCAACAGTATTCATATAATCTTTTCCAGGTGTAGATTTTGTCTCAAGAAACCACTTCGTTTGCTCAGCCATGTGAAGCAAGTTCATCTCTGTTAAAGTTTTATTGTGATATTGGCAGCAATTCAGTCACATCTTTAGGCTTCACTTCTAATTCTAGTTCTCTTGCTGTTTCCACTGTATCTGTAGTTCCTTCCCCGACTGATGTCTCAAAGTCATCCAACTTCTTCCAAACTCCCAGTAACGTTGTTATATTGACCTTTTCCCATGAATCGTGAATGTTCTTAGTGGCATCTAGAAGGGAAAATACTTTCCAGAAGGCTTTCAACATAGTTTGCCCAGATTCAACAGAGGAATCACTGTCTATGGCAGCAACAGCCATACAAAATGTAATCCTTTTTTTTTTTGAGACAGTTTCACTATGTCACCCAGGCTGGATTGCAGTGGTACCCTCTTGGCTTACTGCAATCTCCGCCTTTTAGGTTCAAGTGATTGTCCTGCCTTAGCCTCCAGAGTGGCTGGGATTACAGGTGTGTGCCACGACGTGCAGCTAATTTATCGTATCTTTTGTAGGAATGGGGTTTCACTGTTTTGACCAGGCTGGGTCTTAAGCTCCTGGCCTCAAGTGATCTGCCTGCCTTGGCCTACCCAAGTTCTGAGATTATGGGTGTAAGCTACCACACCCAGCTATTCTTAAGTGATAAAGTGAAACTCACAATTACTCCATGGGCTGCATAATGGACATTGTGTCAGCAAGCAATGAAAACACCATTCATTTCCACATACATCTCCGTGAGAGCTCTTGGGTTGCCAGATACATTGTCAATCAGCAGTAATACATTCAAAAAATCTTTTTTTCTGCATAGTAGGTCTCAACAGTGGCTTACACTATTCAATAGGCTATCCTGTAAACAGATGTGGTGTCATCCAGCCTTTGTTATTTTGCTTGTAGGGCACAGACGAAGTAGATTTCGCGTAATTCTTAAGGACCCTAGGATTTTCGGGAATGGTAAATAAATATTGGCTTCAAATTAAATTTACCCATGACATTAGCCCCTAACAACAGAGTCAGCCTGTTTTATAAAGCCTGGAAGCCAGGCATTAATCTCTCCTTTACAGTTAAGAAAGGTCTAGATGGAATCCTCTTCTACTACAAGGCTGTTTTGTCTGTACTGAAAATCCATTTACTGTAGACACCATCGTCAATTATCTTAGCTCCATGTTCTAGGTAACTTGCTATAGCTTCACTTGGTGCTTCAACTTGTACTTTTATGTTTTAGAGATCGCTTCTTCCCTTAAACCTCATGAACTAACCTCTGCTAGTTTTAAGCTTTTCTTCTGCAGCTTTCTTTTCTCTCAGCCTTTATAGAATTGGAGAAAGTTAGAGCTTCACTCTGGTTTAGGCTTTGGCTTTTAATGGAAGGCGTGGCTGTTATTGATATATCCAGACAGCTAAAGCTTTCTTCTTCTTTTCAATAATTCTGTTTCATTTTCTAATCTTTCCTATGTGTAGTGGAGCAACACTTCATTTTCTTCAAGAACTTTTCCTTTGCATTCACAACTTGGCTAACTGGTGTAAGAGATCCAGCTCTCAGCCCATTTCAGCTTTTGGCATGCTTTTCTTACTAAGCTTAATCACTAGCTTTTAATTTAAAGTGAGAGATATGTGACTTCCTTTCACAAGAACACTTAGAACATTGTAGGGTTATTAATTGGCCTAATTTAAGCATTATTGTATATCAGGGATAGGGCGGCCTGAGAAGGAGGACAGATGGGGAAAGACCAGTCAGTGGAGCAGTCAGAATGCACACAGCATTTATTAAGTTTGCTGTGATATACTGGTGCAATTTATTGTGCCCTGAAACAGTTACAATAGGAACATCAAAGACTGCTGGTTACAGATCACCTAACAGATATGATAATAATGAAAAACTTTGAAATACTGTGAGAATTACCAAAATGTGACACAAGACACAAAATGACCACATTCTATTGAAAAAATGGTGCTGATAGACTTGGATGCAGGGTTACCATAAGCCTTCAATTTGTATAAAACACAGTATCTGCAAAGGATAGTGAAGTAGAGCACAATAAAGCCAGGCTTATCTATCTATCTATCTATCTATGAATGAGATCACACCATTACCTCCAATTTTAGTTCAGTTCCACAAGCTTCTTTTTGTTTCTTTTCTCTTTCCCTATACGAAAGTTTTGTCTCCAGGAGTGAGAAACCTGGCTGAGTATTATTCTTTAATATATTTACTTGTTTGATTAATCCTATAGTTACCAATTATTTATCTTCTCTACCAACCTTTTCCTTGCCTAGATAACCTCCTCTTCACTTAGCTCTGGCTTCAGCCTCTAATGCCAGGCTGCCATGCAACATACAATTTAAGCAGAGTACTACTAGAAATAAGAGTTACTGACTTTGTGTATAATTTGGATGGCCCAGGTAGATGCCTCACTGTGACCAGCTCCTGTTTTGGAAGATATTAAGTATGCACAAAATGAAAAGAGAAATTGTTGGCTTAACAGCATTGAGATAAAGCAAGTGAATGATAGAATATTCTGAAACAGAGGGACTGCCATATAGGTGGAACATAAAAAGCATCAGCAGGTGATGTGGTCTGAGAGCATTACAAGGATGGGAATAGGTGTTCCCTTTTTATTTCTTAAGGTAGAGCTGAAAGCTTTTATGTATGTAGCACTCAAGCTAATGGTTTCTTTCTTTCTATCTGAAGGTTATACTTCTACTCTCTGGCTCTTCTTGCCTATGAGGGATCCCATCTGCCAAGCTTAGCTTACACATTATACTAATATTATGACCCTCTTTGCCGATTGGAAATGAGCTAATTGGTATTATAGAAATGTGTTGTTATACAACAAGCAAGCTTATTTCTCCAGCGCCTGTACCGAGTTTTGCTTGGTTTCTTCTGTTTTGCATGGTCGCCCCTGTCCACTGAATCTTTTTTTTCTTCTATTAAAATATAACCAACTTTTGACATTGTAATAGTTTTAAAGTCATCATGAATAATACAGAGTGCTTCCATATACACTTCCAGATTCAGCAACTGTTAAAATGTTGTCACACCTGCTGTATCATTCTTTCCTCCATATAATTCTTCTAACATTTGGAGAGGAAGTTACACATAACCTGTGTTTTTACCTAACTGTCTCAGTGTGTTTCCTTAGAACAAGAACATTCTCTTATATAACCACAGAAGAATTTATCAATATCAGGAATTACAACACCTTTGATGATATTGACATTGTTGAAAAAGACCAGTTTTGTACAATATTTCTCAAATTGGGCTTGCATGCCTTCTGACTATTACCATCAGGCAATTCACTTTTTAAAAGAAATTGTGGAAAAGTTACCATACAGTTTATCATCTTAACCATTTTAAATTGTATAGTTCATTAGTAATAAGTGTTTTCACATTGTTGTGCAACCAGTCTCCAGAATTTTTTTCTTCTTACAAAGCTGAAACTCAGTACCCACTAAAAACAACTCTTCTATTTCTTCCTGCTCCCCTACCCTCAAAGTCATCATTCTACTTTCTCTTTCTGAGTTTTACTGCTCTACGTAGCTCATGCCAATGAAATAATACAGTATTTTTCTTTTTGTGACCAGCTTGTTTCGCTCAGTAATGTCCTCACAGTTCATCATGTTTTAGCATGTGGCAGAATTGTTTTGTTTTTAAGGCTGAATAATATAGTGCGGTTTGTGTATACTAGATTTTGTTGATCCCCTCATCTGTTGATGGACAGTAAAGTTGTTTTCAGCTTTTGACTACCATGAACCATACTTCCTTGAATATTTGTGTAGAAGTTTTGTTGGGGGCTTATGTTTGCATTCTCTAGGTTTTATATCTGGGACTCAAATGGCTGGATGACAGTAAGTCTATGTTTAACTTATTGAGAGCTACCAAGTTTTTCCAAAGTGGCTGTACCACTTTACAATCCTCCCAGTAAGGTAGGAGTGTTACAGTTTCTCCTCGTCTTCACCAATACTACTTAAATGTTTTTTTGATTTGGTTATCCATTCTACTGATGTTGAAGTGGGATGTTAATATGGTTTTGTTTGCATTTCTTTGATGGCTAATGATGCTGAGCAATTTTTCATTTGCTTCCTAGCCATTTATCTATTTTTGAAGAAATGTCTGTTAACATCCTTTGCTCATTTTTAATTGATAATTTGTCATTTTATTATTCAATTATATGTGGTCAATGCTTGTATTATTTCTCTTTCCAGTTTTTGGTTTTGGGTTTTTTTTTTCCTTTCTGTCTGCAGTGGATGAAGGAGGATTTATTGATCTGAACTCTCTGGATAGGAAACCCTTCCCTTCATATTTTGTGTTGGCAGTTAAGGAGTCCTGATTGATCACTAATCAGTCAGTTCAGTTCTAGTTATATATTGTAACATTTGATCTCAGCTTAATGAGATTTGTGGATATAATTTTTATTTATTTAAGATAATACTCTTCAAAATGGCAAATGTGAAACATTAATAACACGTGAGTTACACTTTATTTTAGTCTGTGTCTTTTTCCTTTGCAGATAGAACAGCTGTAGAAAAATTACGAGCTGTTTGTTTGGACCATGCAAAACTTGGAGAAGGCAAACTTAGTCCACCCCTTGACTCTCTTTTCTTTGGTCCTTCTGCCTCCCAAGTTCTATACCTAACAGAGGTTGGTTTTTGCCTTTGCAAAAATGTAATTTTTATATTATACGGTAATGTGAAGAACACTGATAAGACTGTAAAGAAAGTTTTTTAAATAGTCGAATTTCTTAGCAATGATCAGAGGAGAAATAGATGTTACTAAGTTTTTTTTTAAATCCCTTTTAATATACTCTCCTTTTTTTTTTTTTTTTCCAGGTAGTTTATGCCTTGTTAATGCCTGCTGGTGTGCCTCTAACTGATGGGTCCTCTGACTTTCAAGTTCACTTCTTGAAAAGTGGTGGCTTACCTCTTGTACTGAGTATGCTAATAAGAAATAACTTCTTGCCAAATACAGATATGGAAACTCGAAGGGGTGCTTATTTAAATGCTCTTAAAATAGCCAAACTGTTGTTAACTGCGATTGGCTATGGCCATGTTCGAGCTGTAGCAGAAGCTTGTCAGCCAGTTGTAGATGGTACAGACCCCATAACACAGGTAATAAATGTTAAGAAACTTTTAAAAATATTTAGTCCTTACTATTTAATAAATGTAAACTCTGTAATAATTATTAATTATTACTATTTAATAAATGTAAACTTTTAAGTAGATGATGGAAATAATTCAACAGATAGCATATTATCTTAGGGATTTTTTTGATTAAGTTGTATTTATATTAAAAATGTAAAGATTGACTGTTGCCTATCCTACTTTGAGTGAACTTCCCAGTCTCTTTAAATCATTTTTTACTTTCAGTTGTTTAAAGTGTAATGAAAACTTCACCTGAATCTTTTGTTAAGTCATACCAAAAAGATACATAAAGACAGTTCGTCATAAAGGAGAATATATAATTGCCATGCAGCAAACCTCTCTTCCCACAACTGTGAATCTCTTTCTCCTTTGCTGTTAGCCTTGAGCAGCATCACCAACAGTTCTCAAGAAGTGCTTAGATTGGATGCAAAAGATGAATTCAGTTCTAACTAAATTGAGTTCACTCACTTATGTTATAAAGGATGGTTTTACTAATTACTGCTTGAAGATAAAATGGTTCAGGGATACAGATTATTACATTTAGATATATGTGAGGTGTTAATTAGGGAAATTTGGATAGTGACTGGATTATCTGTATATTCTAGACTGATTAATTTTATTTTGGGTATGAGTCATGCTGTCATTATTGACCTAAGATAAAATGTCTCAGGTTTGCTTCAAAATAATTCTGGGGTAATATAATTCTGGGTTTGTTTCTTGGGGAGTCAGTGAAACAAGTTTAAACATTTGTTAATAATTATTGAAGCTAGATAATGGGTATTTGAGGATGTATTATATTCTTTTATCTGCTTTTATATATTTTTTGAAATGTTTCATTCAAAAAAAGGACAAAAAGAAGAAAGTGGTCTTGTACATGTCAATTTAGATATTAATTTACAAAGCTCTGTCTCCATCCTGAGTAAGTTTTATTGCTTTATATTGTGGGCTTCATGCATATTTACATAAAAAAAGGTAGGGTTCTTATTATGGTCCTTGTTATGGGAGTTTACTGAAATACAAACAAGATATTTTTTGTATCTTTTTACATATTTCTTTCTGTATGCATGTTTAAGAAGTGTGCTACCAAAGGACACAGAGATACATAATAATCTCTAATCATATTCTGGTAAGGAGCTTAAGGAAAATTAGTCTTTAAAATATGTTTAATGTACGACTGTCTACAATACGTACAAGAGGTTACCTTTTGAGAAATTGGAAAACGCAAAGAAAATTCTGAGGGGTTTCTCTCATAGATTTAAAAGCTTTTTATGCTATTAAGTAAGATGTTGTAGTACTTTCTACACATTCCACACTTATTAATCCTTGATTACTATAATTCCTTTCCATGGAGAAGTTATGAATAGAGAATATTTGGTTCTGCCAGTATTAGAGTAAACACAGTTATTTTTGCATTTTGGAGCACTCCTAATCCTTCTTTTGCTACTGAGTTGAATTAGAGAGTTAATATATTACCAGTAATGTTAACAAGACAATTTTGGTGTAAGAACAAGTGACACAAGACTTTGCTGACATGAAAAACTCTAGTTGGATTAGCAAAATTCAATTTGCAGTTTTAAAGCATTGTGTAACTTTTTATTCAACAAGTAATTGATATTATGTATGTACTTAGTACCTAGTATAAAACAGATAATTGCTAGAGATGCATGTAGACCTCACATAATTTCTAAATTTATTGGATATTAATGGTCAAAATATATTGAGCTGTTTCTTGTATGCCAGTCACTATGCTTTATCTCCTTTAATCACGAAGACAGCTATATTTGTTGAGCCTCTGCTATTACTTTCTATTTAGTAAGTGAAAATTGAGACCTGGAGCCATGAAGTAGCTTGGTCCAAAATGATAACCGTCAGCTGAGATTTTTTTTTTTTTTTTTTTTTTTTTTTGAGACGGAGTCTCACTCTGTCACCCAGGCTGGAGTGCAGGGGCGCCATCTTGGCTCACTGCAAGCTCTGCCTCTTGGGTTCAAGTGATGCTCCTGCCCCAGCCTCCCAAGTAGCTGGGACTCCCGGCGCGTGCCACCAAACGCGGCTAATTTTTGTATTTTCACTAGAGACAGGTTTCACTATGCTGGGCAGGCTGGTCTCAAACTCCTAACCTCAGGTGATCCACCCACCTCGGCCTTCCAAAGTGCTGGGATTACAGGCATGAGCCACCACGCCCGGCCAGCTGAAATTTTTAATTCCATGAGGCCACTGACTTGGAAACTATATTTTTACCACCTTTGCAATACTAGTTTTTTTGTGTGTGAAATTTTATGTAGTATCACTTGGCAAATTGTTTGTGAAAACTTTATTGAAAAATGAAAATAATATGTACATAACAGTTAAATTTTAAAATTCGTTGGTTGAAGTTGGAAACAGTGGCTGGAAGTATTTGATTTGTTCAGTCTTAACGCTTTGACCGCCTGACAGTTGCAGTAACATCTCCCCCAGGCTCTCGAATCTCTTAAAATATCTGTTTTAATATGGTCTTTTTAAACTTTTTTTAAACTTTAGGCCAGGTGTGGTGGCTGATGCCTATAATCCCAGCATTTTGGGAGGCCTAGGGGTGAAGATCACTTGAGGTCAAGAGTCCAAGACCAGCCTGGTCAGCATGGCGAAACCCTGTCTCTCCTAAAAATACAAAAATTAGCCGGGCGTGGTGATGTGTGCCTGTATTCCCAGTTACTGGGGAGGCTGAGGCAGGAGAATTGCTTGAACCCAGGAGGGAGAGGTTGTAGTGAGTCGAGATTTCACCACTGCACTCCAGCCTGGGTGACAGATTGAGACTCTGTCTCAAATTTTAAGAAAATAAAATAAAACTTTACTGTGTAAATAACAGCGGTAGAGAGGATAATAGGTTAAGCTGCGAGAAGCTTTAGCCTGTCTGTGAAATGAGCATTAGAATGCAGGTGGCATAATCAGCCTTGGGCAAAATAAGTAGCTTCCTAAAGACTAAGTCTGTAGATTTTAAAGGACTGTTTAATGGTATCCTCAGTTTTCTCCATTGTATTATGGTAGGCCTAGTCACCTGTGGCAAAGGGGGACCAGGAGAAGTTTCTACCCAGAGACATGTTGTATCATTTATCCCCTGCAAATGAGCCCAAGTGCAGAAATAATAGAATTCATCTCAAATTGGAGTTTCCAGGGTGTTACTACGTGTGTAGTTTATTTCACTTTGAGTAATATTCGATATTCAAGGCATGGTAATTCCACATTTTGTTAATTCGTTTGTTGATGGGCATTTGGATTGTTTCTAGTTTTGGCTGATGATGGGAGTAAAACTGTTAGGAAACTCATCAACATATCATAGAGCTTCTGTGGATATATGGTTTTATATCTCTTGGGTAAACACCTCCGTACGTCTATCACTTTGAAAGACAGCTCCATAATGTTGGCAATGTGAAATAATTTTTATGCAAACCCCCATAAACTCCACAGGGGTAAGTGAAGGAATAACATGCCGAGGAAGTGGTGATGGATGAGGAGTAAAAATTTTTTTAATGTAAAAATTTTAGGGATTATGGTATATACAGTTTTTTCATTTGACGTAAAATGATTCACTTTTTTCAGATTAACCAAGTTACTCATGATCAAGCAGTGGTGCTACAAAGTGCCCTTCAGAGCATTCCTAATCCCTCATCCGAGTGCGTACTTAGAAATGAGTCCATACTTCTTGCTCAGGAAATATCTAATGAGGTTAGTATGAAAGTTAGACAGTTCTGGGATCTTGAATGATCTCTACTTAACACGTAAATAAATTAAGCTATGAGAATTTGAGGCTAAATATTGTAGACCCAAAACACTTTAGTCTCTATCTCAATTTATTTAAAATTTCATAAAGTTATGTTTGACCTGATAGCTGCTGATAATATTAATATTAGAGCTTTAGAAATTTTGAAATTTTTAAATAAGCTTTCTGAGTTATAATTTACATTGCACAAACTAGATCAAATAAGTTTTAGTATATGTTTAAACTGCTCACACAAGCAAGGAATAGGACGTTTATAATGGCTCCAGAAGTTTTCTTGTGATGTTTATTCTCTTAAATTTTACATAAATGGAATCATATACGTTGTACTCTTTTGGGTCTGGCTTATATCCATCAGCAAAATTTTGAAAGTTATTCATGTTGTTATATATGTGTGTAGTTTATTTCACTTTGGGTAATAGTCCATGTATGGTTACTCCACATGTTGCTAATTCATTCGTGTGTTGATGGACATTTGGATTATTCACAACAGTCTAGTTTTGACTGTTGTGAATAAAATTTTTGGGTAACTCATCAAGTCATAGTGCTTCTGTGGACATACATTTTTATATCTCTTGGGTGAACACCTCTGCATAGCATGGCTAAGTAATTTGACTGTTGTTATTTTTAAAATTTTATGAAAAATAGGATAAAGCCATATCAGACTTGAACCTGAAGCATACTTGGTGGGTATTGCTGTGTCTTCCGTTCATATGGGAAGCCATATTTTTTGACTTAATGTTAAGATATTAAAAAAATGAGAACAAGGGAACTTTGGTCCTTAAAGGCAGGTCTGATGCATGTTTACTTTTACTTCCATTTCCACTTCTTTCACTAAGAGAAATATTTTGTTTTCCTGATTATTCACTTTAATGTTCTGCCAGCACTTTTAATTATTTATTTCTTTTCTGCAGGCTTCAAGATATATGCCTGATATTTGTGTAATTAGGGCTATACAGAAAATTATCTGGGCATCAGCATGTGGGGCATTAGGACTAGTTTTTAGCCCAAATGAAGAAATAACTAAAATTTATCAGATGGTAAGAATTATTACAGAAATAGATTTTTAAGAAAATGTTGCTTCATTGTACATGTGATTAAATTTTCATCATTTCTGTCACCTTATAGACCAAGTCGCTTGTATCTAATGGTTTAAAATTTATTGCTACCTATAAATAAAATGAGAATATATTGTTTTATTTTGGAAATAAAATACTCTAGAAGCCTGCTATGAGGCAGCTTTCTTTTCCTACTTTTTTAAAAAGACTTCTCATTGACTCAAATATAGTTATACTGTAATGAATCCACCTCTCCCTATTTTCTTTAGTTCTTCTTGATTTTGTCCTGTGTAAATTTTTGGTAATTGTCTCTTTGGGAATTATGGCATTTAAATTTTACCTGGCGTCGGGCACAGTGGCTCACACCTGTTAATCCCAGCATTCTAGGAGGCCAAGGTGGGCGGATCGCCTGAGGTCAGTAGTTCAAAACCAGCCTGGTCAACATGGTGAAACCACATCTCTCCGGCAGGTGGGGGGCGGGGGAAGGGGGCAAATTAGCCACACATGGTGGCGCATGCCTGTCATCCCAGCTACATGGGTGGCTGAGGCATGAGAATCACTTGAACCTGGGAGGCAGATGTTGCAGTGAGTGGAAATCCTCTGCACTCAAGCCTGGTGACAGAGCAAGACTCTGTCTCAATCAATCAATCAATCCATTTTACGTGGTTCTTTTAGAACACTCAACAGCAGGAAGAGTGTCTAACATTTAGGTATTATCACCAGCCTTGTGGTACATTAAGCAAGCTATTTACAGAAATAAGACTGTTTAGCTCTTTGTTGTCTGTGGTGTTTACCTACCCATATAGAACCCTGATGGTCTCCATTAAAATATACATTAGTGTATTTAAATATACATTAGTATAGTTAAAATGAGAAAGTGTGTCATGGCATTATACAACTTCCGTTTTAGGAATAGTTGAATGGTTATTCTGTTCCAAACGTACAAGTCTTAGTTACATTTTGATGGATAGTGACAGATTAAAAATTATTAGCTACCTAGTTATATTTTAGGTTGCAGAAGTCTTCCATAGGCTTCCTGAACATTTGTATTATGATCAATTTTTGAATGAAATGACTTGTAGGTAGGCTCTACAATAGAACTACTCAAAGACCCAAACTGCAGTGCCAAAGTGATTCTGTAGTAGCAGTTATGATTGAGGCAGATCAGTCACATCCAGAAGAACATGAAAAGTGAGGAGTACCTATCACTGAATGTGCTTCTTAAATCCCCCTTGGAGTATATCCCAAAGAGCCTCTCTAGCCGCAAGTGAAGAGTCTGAGGCCGCATGGTCTTTACCAAGTAGGCAATTGTAAATGTTAACCAGAGGGTTTGTGAATTTCTTCTTGAATATGTCTCTAGGTAACTTGCTCCTGATTCTAATTTTGCAGACCACCAATGGAAGCAATAAGCTGGAGGTGGAAGATGAACAAGTTTGCTGTGAAGCACTGGAAGTGATGACCTTATGTTTTGCTTTACTTCCAACAGCGTTGGATGCACTTAGTAAAGAAAAAGCCTGGCAGACCTTCATCATTGACTTATTATTGCACTGTCCAAGCAAGTATGTGATTTTTATGTGTAATTTGAAGGAAGGCTTACCTTACCGTTCCAAGCAGAAATGAATGACTTCTGAAGAAAATTTTTTTCCAGAAGTGAAGGAAGGAACCCTTTTACTTGCCCATGTAATACCTTGAAGTGTAGAAGCATTTTTTTAAAAACATTTCCAGTTAACCTGAATTTTTTTCTCTGCAAGATGCCAGCATTGATTTTTTTCTTTTACTTTTTTTTATTGTAGTAAATCATGTAATTATATACATAACACAAAATTAGCCATTTTAACCTCTTTTTTAAGTTAGCTTTATTCAGTGGCATTAATTGCACAATATTGTGCAGTTATGACTGGTGTATATTGAATGATTGCAATATTGTGCAGTCACTCCTGCTTTATCTCAAAAATATTTTATCACCCTCAAAATATTTTATCACCCTCAACAAATTCTTTTTAACTAATGACTCCCATTTTCACTACCCTCCAATCTCTGATAACTTAAAATATTCATTTAGTTTCTATGCATTTCCTATTTTAGGTATGTCACATAAGTGAAATCACACAAATTTGTGCCTTTGTGTCTAGTTTGTTAGCTTAGCATAATGTTTTAAAGGTTCATCTATGTTGTAGCATGGTCAGAACTTGATTCATTTTCAGGGGATACTCTCTCATATGTGTATACTAGATGTTGTTTATACATCGGTCTGTTGATAGACACCTGGATTATTTCTACCTTTTAGCTCTTGATTACTGTTATTGTGAATATTACTATGAGCACAGATCTCTGAGTTCTTATTCTCAGAGCTATTGAGTATATTTGTAGAAATGGATGTGCTGGGTCATAGGGTAAGTTGTGTTTAACTTTTTGAAGATCTGCTGAACTTTTTTAACATTGGCTTCACCACTTTACACTCCCAACCTCACCTTACACAGGCTTTAGTTTCTCCAAATCCTCTCCCACACTATTTTCACTTTTGTTAATGGCCATCCTAACGTATGTAAGATGTAACCTCATTGTGGTTTGTATTTACATTTCCTTATGACTATTGTAGTGATATTGAGCATTGGCTCTTGTGATATTACTGGCCACTTGTATATCTGCTTTAGAGAAATGTATCTTCCAGTTTTTATAGCATTATTGAATTTGATTATTTTTGTAGTGAGTTTCTGTATATATTCTGGATATTAATTCCTTTCCAGACTAATGATTTACAAACATTTTCTCCTATTCTTCAGGATTTATTTCCACTCTGCTGATAATGTTATTTTATGCACAGAAGTTTTTAATTTTCATGAAGTTTAATTTATGTCTTTTTTGGTTTCCTGTGTTTCCATCATCCTCAGTATAGAAATCATTGGCAAATCCAGAGCAAAAGCTATTTTCTCCTACATTGTTTTCTAAGAATTTTTTATTTTTATAGTTCTTAATTTTAGATCTTTCATCCAATTGGAGTTGATTTTTGTGAATGATGTGAAACTAAGTGTCCAACTCCATTCTTTTGAATGTGGATATCCAGCTTTCCCATCATGATGAACATGGTCTTACCCCATTGAGTGGTCTAGGCACCTTGTTGAAGATACAAGGGGTTGTTTCTAGGCTCTAAATTATATTCCTTTGGTCTATATGCCTGTCCTTAGGCCAATGCCACACTCCTGATTAGTACATCAGGGAATATAAGTCCTTCAGCTTTGTTGGGGTTTTTAGTTTGTTTGTGTTTTGGTTTTGCCTAGGTTTTTATTTGTTTTTGAGGTTATTTGGACCTTCTAGGTTCTATAAAAATCCATATAAATTTTAAGCTGGATATTGCATTGAATCTCTCTCAAAAGAGTGATTGCCTCTTAACAGTATTAAGTCTTCCAAGACATGAACATGGGATGTCTTTTCATTTACTTAGATTCTGTTTACTTCTTCAACACTCTTATTTCTTCTCTGCGAAATTATTTCTAAGTACTGTAGTGCTAACTCTTTTTGCTGCTCTTGTGGATGGAATTGTTTTCTTAATTTTGTTTTGGGATATTCATTGCTAGTATATCAAAACAACTAATTTTTTTATATTGATTTTATTTATCCTGCAATTTTGTTAAATTTCTTTATGAATTAGAGGTTTTTTTACAGTAAGATCATGCCACTTGCAAATAACATAGTTTTACTTTTTCTTTCCTTTTTGGACCAAATTTATCTCTTCCCTTTTTTGCCTATATGCTCTACTGCCTTGATTAGTAGTAGTAAGAGCAGGCGTACTTATCTTGTTCCTGATTGAGGAAAAGCTTTTAGTCTTTCACGATTTAGTGATGTTGTTATTCCTGATCCAGACCCCTAGAGAGGGTTCCTGGACCTGGGTCAAGTCCACAGAGTAAAATAAGAGCAAGTTTATAGAGAAGTAAGGAACCAAAAGCACGGCTACTCCATAGGCAGAGCAGCCCTGAGAGTTGCTAGTTGGTTATTTTTGTGGTGATTTCTTGATTACATGCGAAACAAAGTTTATTTGTGCTAAACAAGTGGATTATTCATGGGTTTTCTGGGAAAGGGGTGGGAATCTGCTGCTCCCCACTCCCAACCCACCTGATGGTTTCTCCCTTTTTTGAACTATATAGGATAAAGTCTGGATGGTTGCCACGGTATTTGTAAAGTGATATGACGCTGGTGGGAGTGTCTTTTCGCAAGCTAATGCATTATATTTAGCGTACAAAGAGCCAGCTTCTTTACTGCATCCTGTTTTATCAGCAGGGTCTTTGTGACCTGCATTTTGTGTGGACTTCCTGTGGGAGTCGCTCTGGTTCGAATACCTGTGACCATGTTAGCTATTAGTTTTTCATATACGGCCTTTATGCTGTTGAGAAACTTCTCTTGTATTCCAAGTTTTCAAAATCAGTTTTATTATGAAAAGGTGTTTACATTAGTTTGGATAATTTTTTTGACTCAATTGAGATAGCCTTAAGCCTTATTTTCTTTATTGTATTTCTGATGATACTGTTACTGGAAAAGATTCCTGATCCAGATCCTAAGAGAGGACTCTTCGGTCTCATGTAAGAAAGAATTCAGG
Organism: Homo sapiens; assembly: GCF_000001405.40. Taxonomy (NCBI): domain Eukaryota; kingdom Metazoa; phylum Chordata; class Mammalia; order Primates; family Hominidae; genus Homo; species Homo sapiens. The sequence goes on from NC_000024.10 coordinate 12,796,234, forward strand.
GTGAGACCATAAAGTAAAGGCAAGTTTATTAAGAAAGTAGAGGAATAGGCCGGGCACAGTGGCTCACACCTGTAATCCTAGCACTCTGGGAGGCCGAGGCAGGCAGATCACCAGAGGTCAGGAGTTCAAGACCAGCCTGACCAACCTGGTGAAACCCCATCTCTAGTAAAATAGAAAAATTAGCCAGGCATGATGGCAGGTGCCTGTAATCCCAGCTACTTGGGAGGCTGAGACGGGAGATTGTTTGAAACCTGGAAGACGGTGGTGCAGTGAGCTGAGATTGCACCACTGCACTCCAGCCTGGGCGGCTAAGTGAGACTCTGTCAGGAAGGGGTGGGGGAGGGGCAGGGGAAAAGAAAGTAGAGGAATAAGAAAATGGCTACTCCAAAGGCAGAGCAGCCCTGAGGGCTGCTGGTTACCCATTTATGTGGTTATTTGTTGATTATATGCAAAACAAGGGTTGGGTTATTCATGCTTTCCATTTTTATACCATATAGGGTAAACTTCCTGACATTGCCATGGCATTTGTAAACTGTCATGGCGCTGGTGAGACTGCAGCAGTGAGGATGACCAGAAGTCACTCTCATTGCCGTATTGGTTTTGGTGGGGTTTAGCTGGCTTTCTTACTGCAACCTGTTTCATCAGCAAGGTCTTTATGATCTGTATCTTGTACCAACCTCTGTCTCGTCCTTTGACTTAGAATGCCTAACCCTCTGGGAATGCAGCCCAGTAGATCTCAGCCTTATTTTACCTAGCCCCTATTCAAGATGGAATTGTTCTGGTTCAGAGGCTTCTGACAATATATTAGGAATCAATTCATATGTTTAAACACCCTTACGTTCTTGATAAATCCCACACTTCATCGTGGTACCTTGTACTTTTAATATGCTGCTGGATTTCTTGCTAGTATTTTATTGAGGATTTTTGCATGTATATTGTTGTCAATGAAAAGAATCAAACTCTATAGAATATTTGAAGAGATTTATTCTGAGCCAAATATGAGTGCCCATGGCCCGTGACACAGCCCTCAGGAGGTCCTGAGAACATGTGCCCAAGGTGGTCGGGGTGCAGCTTGGTTTTACACATTTTAGGGAGGCATTAGACATCAATCAGATACATGTACAAAATACACTGGTTTGGTCCAGAAAGGCGGGACAACTCAAAAGCGGGTGATGGGGGCTTCCAGGGTATAGGTAAATTTAAACATTTTCTGGTTGACAATTGGTTTTATGCAAAGACCTGGGATCATAGAAAGCACATGTTCAGGTTAAGATAAAAGATTGTGGAGACCAAGGTTCTTGTGAAGTCTTTTTACAGTGGCTGCCCTTAGAGACAATAAATGACAAATGTTTTTTATTCAGATCTTGAAAAGGTGCTGGACCTTCAGTTAATCTCTTTAGGATTGACAGGGCTTGGAAGAAAAACACTTGGCTATATTAATAGAGATTCTTAACAGATGCAGGTTTTCTCCCACAAAGGAAAGCTTTGCAGAGCTGTTTCAAGATATGGCTAAGAAACATGTTTTGGGGTAAAATATTTTGATTTTCTTCCTTGTATCGTAATGTTATGCCAGAGTCAGACTGAAAAGTAAGTCACGATATATAGGGTTAAATAAAAGCCATCTGATGAGGATTTATGATTTGTAGGGAATGACTCCCCAGACCCTTTAGACAGGAATTTGGGCAACATAAAAAGTCAGATCTTCGTCCTCATTGTTAAAAGGTATTGTGTTGGTCTCTACTTTCCCCTTCCCTCCTTCCCTTCCTTTCTCCTTCCCTTTTTCTTCCCTTTTGCTTCCCTTCTCCTTCCCTTCCCCTTCCCTTCCCCTTTCCCTTCCCTCCCCCTTCCCCTCCCTCTCTCCCTCCCTCCTTCCTTCCTTCCGTCCTTCCTTCTTTCGAAAAAATATTTGTCTAGCTTTGTTAGGTGAATAGTATTGGTCTTATAAGTTAAGAAGTACAGGTTGAGTATCCTTTATTTGAAATGCTTGGGACTTAGAAGTGTTTTGGATTTTAGAATGTTTGCATATCTTGGTGATGAGAAACCAGTCTAAACAGGAAATTCATTTATTTTTCATCTATCTTCATGAAGGTAATTTTGTGTATTCGTTTTGTGCGTGAAACAAAGATTGCGTTAAGACTGAGGGATGGAGTTTTTCACTTGTGTCAGCCCTCAAGTTTCAGGTTAGAGAACACCTCTAATTTTTGTTATTAGCGATGGTCAACCTGTACTGTCTTGTTTTAAAATAAATGATTTTGGAAAAGGGAAAAATTTGTTTTAATTTGAACATTTGGTAGATTTCAACAGTTGAACACTCTGGTCCTGGTGAAACAGCTACATTGTCTGGTGTATACACCCTGGAGGTCATGGTCATACACCAGGAAGATATAAGACATGGACACACCCAAGGTGTTCAGGAGCGGAGGTTTAATAGACAGAAGAGGAGAGAAAGAGAAGCAGCTGTCTCTATAGACAGAGGGGTCTCCAAGGGGAAAGGACTGGCTGGCAGCCGATGTGCTGGATTTTCTAGCCCAGTTTGAGGAGGCTGTGTCTGATTTACATAGGGTTCACAGATTGGTTTGATCAGCTATGACATTTACATAGTGTGTGAGGAAGGTTGGTTGCCCCACCCTAATTTTTTTTTTTTTTTTTTTTTGAGAAGGGGCGTTGCTCTGTCCCCCAGGCTGGAGTGCAGTGGTGGGATCTCGGCTCACTGCAACCTCCACCTCTCAGGTTCAAGGAATTCTGCCTCAGCCTCCTGAGTAACTGGGAATACAGGCGCGTGCCACCACACCAAACTAATTTTGTATTTTTAGTAGAAATGGGGTTTCACCATGTTGGTCAGGCCATTATGGAACTCCTGACCTAGTGATCCTCCCGCCTCCCAAAGTTGCTGGGATTACAGGGGTGAGCCACGACATCCAGAGGCCCCACCCTAAGGTTATTTTGCATATTGGGCTGTGCCAGTTGATCGGAGCCATCTTGTCTGCTCATTATTGTACACATGGCTGGCAGAGAAGGGACAATGGAGCTGCCATCTTGAACATGTCTAGTCCCTGTTCCTGCCGGCCTTCACCTGTGCAAGCTTCCAGCTTGCTTGTCTATGTCTGCAACTCGACTTTACAGGCCGCCATTTGTTGGTAAATGATTTGGGGCTGCTAGTCATGAAAAAGAGCCTTATGGAGGACTCCCACACCCTTACTCTCTGCCTGAGTAATTTCTTCTTAACTCCTGTATCACTGGGGTTTTCTTTTTAATAGATGTGAGCTTGTGAAATGAGTTTGGTGTTTGTCCCTTTTTCTTGGAGTAGAACTTCTAAAATCTTTGGAATCTCCAAAGTGTTGTCTCTTTATATGCTAGTGTTGACTGGAAAGAGGAAGACATGATTATGAGAGACAGGACTAGCTGGATTTCCTAGGCTGACTAAGAATTCCTAAGTCTATCTGGGGAAGGTGACTGCGCCCACCTTTAAACATGGGGCTTGTAACTCAGCTCACACCTGACCAATCAGGTAATAAAGAGAAGTCATTAAAATACCAATTAGGCTAAAAGCAGGAGGTAAAGAAATAGTCAAGTCATCTATCGCCTGAGAGTACACTGGGGAGGGACAATGATCGGGATATAAACTCAGGCATTTGAATCGGCAGTGGCAAACCCCTTTGAGTCCCCTCCCGTTGTATAGGAGCTCTGTTTTCACTCTGTTAAATAATCTTGCAACTGCACACCTTTCTGGTCTGTGTTTGTTCTGGCTCAAGCTGAGGTTTCCCTCGCCTTCCACCACTGCTGAATGCCGCCATTGCAGACCCACCATTGACTTCCACCCCTCCAGATCTGGCAGGGTATCCACTGCACTTCTGATCCAGGGAGGCGCCCATTGCCGCTCCCGATCAGGCTAGAGGCTTGCTACTGTTCCTGCGTGGCTAAGTGCCTGGGTTTGTCCTAATCGAGCTGAAAACTAGTGGCTGGGTTCCACGGTTCTCTTCTGTGACCCATGGCTTCTAATAGACTTATAACACTCACTGCATGGCCCAAGGTTCCATTCCTTAGAAACTGTGAAGCCAAGAACCCCAGGTGAGAGAATGGAAGGCTTGCTGCCATCTTTGGAGCAGCCTGCCACCATCTTGGCAGCTCTAAGAACAAAGACCCACCGCTAACAGAGAGTTGGGATGCTCAGCCCCACGGGGCAGTTTCTAGGAAAGAAGAGTGAGTGGCTGAAGGTCAAGTTGACCGCCGGTGACCAGAATATTATTTAATCATGCCTATTTAATGACGTGTCCTTAGACAGACAAGAAGACAGGCTTCAGAGAGCTTCTAGATAGCTGAACATGTAGTTTCCTGGAGGGTGGTGTGCACATAAAAGCAGACATCAAGAAACTTTAATGCCAAATGTAAGGTAGTTTGTTTTGTTTTGAAAGGAGTTTCTGCATTTAAGTGTGTCAAGAATTTTCACATATTAAAAATACTCCAACTGAACCTAAAAACTAGACTTTATAAACATTATAACTTAGATGTTTATACTGGAACAGGAATTAAAAGAAATTAAAGAGTGTGTAAGCAAAAACTCAGTTGTATGTAAGAAAACCCAATTTCCCCTGAGGAAGAGAAAGAGCTGGAGTACTTTAAAAAGTAACTGCCTGTTTTTCTGTGGCTAGTGAGCCTTATTTCTTCTCCTTTTCAAGGCATTGTGAAGACCCTGGTTCTCTAGCTGTGCAGCTGCAAGGTCACTAGACAGATAAACTTAAATCGCAAAACATGTTTTTCCTTGGAAAGTAAGAAATGATGTAATGCATGTCTCAGTTAATTGAAAAACTGCCTTTGTTTCTCACTTCTGTAATGCTTCCCCATGCACAGATCTCCCCCCACCCCAAGAAATGCTTAAAAGGTAACTTAACTCTTTGTTCAAGGCTCAGTCCTTTGGATGTCAATCCGACTGGGCCGGAGTACCTAAGTAATAAATATCCTCCTGAACCCCATTGGTTTCTCTGATTCCTTACAAAATCCCGCAACAATACCTAAACGATTCCATGATTCATTAATATTGCACAAGAAGTTTTATTCTAGAGTGATAATGGTTTCTTCATGTTAACTGGGTAAGAACAAGGTATTTAAAAACAAAGGAAAATCGATATGTCAGCATGAATCCTAAGTGTATGTTTGGTTTGCGGGAATGATCTTCAGTGGAATTTTTGTCAGAAATATTTATTCTAAAAAATAAGTCTTTTGATTTAGAATTTTCTGTCTCTGAGGTATTTTGTATCTTCATAAAGACAAAGGCAGTATCTCAGTTTCTGTGTATCTATTTGAGGGAGGCTGCTTCATACCCTTTTAGACTCGGCATTCTAGGAGGAAGAAATAAGAAAAACAAACATCATTTCAGACTTTTCTGTCATCCAAAAGTAATAAAACACAATTGTGGTCTTTTATATATCACTGGCTGTAGATAAAAATTAGAGCTTCCAAGAACAGTCTAGTGCTCACCAGTATGCTTTTATATTTGGGTGTATATGTGCATAAAATAATGACATTTGGGCAAAGAAGCTTTGTCGTTACTTATTTTAAAGTTACAGTGCTTAAAAATGCCTTGTAATATTAAATAAGGAGCTTGGATATTTCTAGTCCTGCTTCCAAGTGTTAGCTATGGGTGAACTTGTTTCAGGCTATGAGGCTGGATTAGGGCGTCTTGTAGCTAATGATGTATTCTGCTCAGCCCAGTACTAGTGTCATGAGCAGACAGACTGACAATCAAAACTGATAGATTTTCTTCTGCACATACTTTTAACACAGATTCTATCCCTTGTGCGAAGCCCCAGATTTTCTTCAGCTGTTCACACTCTCATTGGCCTGTTCCAACTCAATCTTCACATTACAGTGCACAAGGGCTTTGGATTCCTCAAGCACAACAGGATTGTAGGAGGCAAGCTCCTTAATTTGAACCATAACCTTCTGAGTGAAAGGTGTCGTCCAAAACGCCTGAGAGACCAGGCATTTGGTACACGCCTCCAAACACCAAAGGTATTGGAAGCCACGCCTTTTCATTAGCCCAAACCACATCACAAAGAGGCAGTATGGATGTGACGAGTCCAATGGCTGGGCCATTGACTGATGAAATAATAGGCTTCTTACCCTAAATGAGAGTATTCACAAAGTTTTCGCTAGTGTCCACTCTTTTAATGCTTTCCCTTTTTCTATCATTTCTTAAATGCTTCACAAAGAACACAAAATCAAGGCCACAGCAAAGACACTGTCAGCTACGCTGAGTAGCAGGAGCTTGCTGTCATTGGCAGCAGCCCTATTCAGAGTACCCTGAATTTCTTTCATTACTTCTGTATTTAGGGAGTTATTCTCTGTTGATCTAGTTAATAGCAGGATCTGAGTGAAGCCATCTTTCTTCCTCACCACAGTATCTCAGTATCTGTCGGCACTTTGTTAGCTTTGTGCTGAAACGCACCCTCTTGACAAAAGGCTGGTTTCTTCTGTCATCAATAAGCTTTCTTTTTTTCTTTTTTTTCTTTTTTTTTTTTTTTTTGAGATGGAGTTTCTGGAGTTTCACTCTTGTTTCCCAGGATGGAGTGCAATGGTGCAATCTTGGCTCACCGCAATCTCTGCCTCACGGGTTCCAGCTATTCTCCTCCCTCAGCCTCCCGGGTAGTTGGGATTACAGGCATGTGACACCATGCCCAGCTAATTTTGTATTTTTAGTAGAGACGGAGTTTCTGCATGTTGGTCAGGAGGGTCTTGAACTCCCGACCTCAGGTGATCTACCTGCCTCAGTCTCCCAAAGTGCTGGGATTACAGGAGAGAGCCACCACACCCAGCCTGTCATCAACAACCTTTCTTTTCCCACCTCTCACTCTTGGTACGGATGTTTGCATGTTTGTTGCTCCATGGGCTATTAATGGATCGATTAATAGCAATGTACTTTCTTCCTTGTTAGCTGAGCCTGTGGCCCTGGCAGCAGTCACTGGGCCAGACATCTGAGGCATTAGTGGGTAGATCTGGGGTCTGTTCTCCATCCCAGCCTTTTTTTCCCTGGGGTCTGATAAAGCTCTGCCTGGCTTCTCTGCTGCCACCTTGAGCACCACTGTGTCCTGCTGATGTGGCTCAACAGGGTCCAGTTTTTCAGGTTCCTGAAAGCCACCCACTGTGTTCCTGGTGTTACTGGGGCTCTGAGGTGCAAGCAAATTCAACTGATAGTTGAATTTACTAGCTCCATATTCTTTGGATTGGAGAGAGATTAAGCTGTGTTTCTCCCCAAAGTTCTGGCTGGCAGCAGACAACTGGCTGTTTTTGGACTTGTGGTCTTTGCTAATCGCTAGCATCTTAAAAGAGCTCTTAGAAAAGTTGGTTTTGGTAAGGCTGGAGATTTCTTTTTTGGCATTGTTTGAAGAAGTTCTACCTATTCTGGCCAGTATGTTGTCTTTCTGTTTTTCAGTGTGGGATGTGTTAAAATCGTGAATATATTGCCCACAGTTCATGAGGTGTGGCCCTGGTTCCCAAGTGTCATCCTTGTTGTCATAGCCTTTCCACCAAACCAAATAATCTGTCTTCCCTTTCTTGTCTTGTCAACAGTCGTTTCAACCTCAAACTCCTGGGAAACCATGGATGGGTGGACAGGGTTGGGGCAGGTGCTGTGCCAGGTGGCCAACACTTTGTTTCAGTTGTGTCCCCACATAGCCACCACTTCTGCCTCCACTGCTCCACCAGGCGCTGGGCACGTATGAGCCTCTCCTGCTTTTGTGGCCACTGGTGGGGAAGAAGTTGTGTGGAGAAACTGCCTTTGGCTCTCCACACTTACTCCCTGGTGGGCCAGCTCGGGCTTGGGGCCATGGTCCCATGATGCAGGGCTAGGCAGATGCCTCAGGTAAGAGCAGCTGGATCCCCAGCTCCTGGTCTCGGGTGTCATGCAGAAAGCGTCCTACCTGCTTGTTACTATTCCCTTTTGTGGTTGCTGTGACAATTACATTTAAGAAAGTTATAACACTTTTAAAGTCACACTAGTTTACCTTCAGTAGCATACAAAAGCCCCACTCCTTAATAGCTCAGACCCCGTCATGTCAGTTATTAAGTTCACAGAATTACACCTTGATGCATTTTATGTCCAAAAACATAAGCTGGTGATAGCCTTTTAATATAATACTGTTGTAAATCATGTAGAGAACAAATAGTGGAGTTGCACATTGTTAAAAGCTTTGATAGCTTTCATAATTGGCCATATATTTATCTTTACCTTAATCTTTATTCAGACAGCTGTATAGTGTCCTTTCATTTCACCCTGAAGTACTCCATAAAGCATTTCTCGAAGGGTAATCTAGTGGTAACAAACTTCTCCAGCTTTTATCTGGGAATGTCATAATTTCTCCCTCACACTGATGCAGCTTGTTTGGACATAAGATTTCTGTTTGACAGTTTATCATTACAGCACTTGCAATATGTTAGCCCACTGCTTTCTGGCCTCTGAGGTGTCTGATAAGAAACGTGCTGGTGATTGGGAGGCCGGGGCGGGTGGATCACAATGTCAGGAGTTCGAGGCCAGTCTGGCCAACATGGTGTAACCCTGGTCTCTACTAAGAATACAAAAATTGCCAGGCTTAGTGGCAGGCACCTGTAATCCCAGCTACTCGGGAGGCTGAGGCAGGAGAATCACTTGAAACCGGAAGGCGAAGGTTGCAGTGAGCCAAGATCGCACCACTGCACTCTAGCCTGGGAGAAAGAGCATAACTCCATCTCAAAAAAAAAAAAAAAGAAATCCTCTGATTATCAATGCGGGTCTTTAGTTCATGACTAGTGACTTCTCTTGCTGCTTTCAAGATTCTCCTTGTCTTTGTTTTAGACAGTTTAATTAGCATGTATCTTTGTGTGTGTTTGAGTTTATCTTACTTGGAATTTCTTGAGCTTCTTGGTGTTTATTTATTTCCTAAAATTTGTGACATTCTTGACAACTGTTTCGTTAGATACTCTGTTTCTTTCTCTCTTCTCTTTGAACTTCCAAAATGTGTAAGTTTGTCTGCTTGATGGTGTCCCACAGGTTCCTGGGCTGTGTTCACTTTTCTTTATTATTTTTTCTTTCTCTTACTGACTTGATAATTTTAACTGCCTTTTCTTTAGGTATGCTTTTTCCCCCCTTCTGTCTGCTCAAATCTGAATAGAAAAATGAGAAAGGAAAATGCTCTGGCCCTTTTAATCCCTGGAAAGTTGCTTCAGCAGGAGGAGGAAGCTCCTGCAAAATGGTTGGGGAATGTAACAATGACTGCCCACCTTTGTCGGGACCATCTTAATCAGAAGCGGCAATCAGTGCACAAGTCCTCCTGAGATTTGGAGGACAGGGTTCTTTCTGTCCATCCTGGCTCTTGCAGGCTGCTCCAGAAGTGTTTGCAAGGCAGCATATCACAGTGGTAGTTGATGGAGCGTAGGTGGCTGCTGTTGAGCCAAGCTATGAAATTGATCAAATTTAATTGTAGTTTACTATCCAAGTCTTCTTTTGAAAGCTGTAAACCTTGAGATAGACTGTAGGGTTCCAAAATAATTGTATCACACAATTCTGCCAACTGCACCTATTGTCTAGTTGGAGAGACAGATTCATGGTGCTCTGTAGTTCATTGTTGCCCTCTTCCCAGAACCCTGTATCCTCTTCCTTCTAACCTCTGTGTCTTTACACCTAAAGTGAGACTTGCATAAATTTCATATAGGTGAATCCATTTTTTAAAAATGCATTTTGCCAGTCTGTGCCTTTTCACACAGAGCATACATTTCAAGTTATTACAAGCAAGTAATGGTTTACTCCGACATTTACCTACTTATTTTCTGCCTGTTCTCTATATTATTTGATCCTCATTATATACTTGATCCTCACTATATATTTGATCCTCACTATATATTTGATCCTCACTATATTATTACTTGATGCTCATTTTAAAAATTTGTTTTTTAAAAAAAAATGTGCTTATTCCCTTTTCTGTATATTTTATATTTTTTATTAATTATATTTGGGACTTCAGTTAATATTCTAAACTTAAAATAGCCTACTTTGAGTAATACTAACTTGTTTGAATAATATGAAGTTTAGTTTCAACAGTATATAAATATGCTGCTTTTGTACTTTTCCATCCTTCCTAATCTATGTTATTGTCTCAGATTATATCTGTACACAGTGTCCATTAAAATGGATTTGTAATTGTTTTATGTAATAGCTGCCTACCAGAAGTACAATAGTAATAGTTACTTTTCCCAGTTGTTATAATAGTAATAGCAGCTTTCTTTACAATGTTAATTCTTCCTGTGGCTTAAAATTACTGTCCAATGTCCTTTCATTTTAACTTGATGGCTTCCTTCTAGCAATCCTTGTAGAGCAGGGGTAGTAACGCATTCCGTTAGCTTTTCTGTATCTAGGCATTTTTGCTTGAAGTATTTTTGCTTGAAGTATCATTTTGCCAGATTCAGATTTCGTGTTTGATAGCTTTTTTCTATTAACATTTTGTTATCGCTTTCTGGCTTCTGTATTTTCCATGCTTTCTGAGCTGTTTGTTGTTAATCAGTACACCCTTCTACATAACAAATGGCTTCCATTCTGAGGTGTCTGTTGTCAGTCAAGACTCCCTTCTGCATGACAAATTGCTTCTCCCTTTCTGTTTTTACAGTTGTCTTGGTTCTTGACTGACTATAATTTTCTTGGTGTGGCTGGCTGTTTTTGACTATGTTCTTGTTGGAGATTTTTACCCTTCTTGAGTTTGGACATTCAGATATTTCATCAAGTTTGGGAATTTTCAGCTATTTATGTCTTCAGATATTCTTTCTGCCTCTTCTCCTTCTGCACTTATGGGACACCCATATTGCATGCATTGGTCTGCTTCATGGCGTTCTGTGTACTTGTTAGGTTTTTCCCACTTTTTCAAATTCTTCTTTTTTTCTGTTCTCACACTGGGTTATTTCAATTTTCATTTCTTCAGACTTAATCTTTACCTGCTGTTATATACTCCTTTAATGAACTGTTCATTTGCATCATTGTGCTTTTTTATCTCTAGATATTCCATATTTTCTTCTATAATTTGTCTCATTGATACTCTCGTGTTCTTTTATCATTTGTCTGCTGTTTTTTTCTTTAGGCTTAACTCTTTTTTTTTTTTTTTTTTTTTTTTTTTTTTTTTTTTTTTTTTTGAGACAGAGTCTCTCTCTGTCACCCAGGCTGGAGTGCAAGGGCGCGGTCTCTGCTCACTGCAAGCTATTCCTCCCGTGTTCAAGCGATTCTCCTGCCTCAGCCTCTTGAGTAGGTGGGATTACAGGCATACACCACCACGCCTTGCTAATTTTTGTATTTTTTGTAGAGACGGGGTTTCACTGTGTTACCCAGGATGGTCTCGATCTCCTGACCTCGTGATCCACCTGCTTCGGCCTACCAAACTGCTGGGATTATAGGCATGAGCCACCATGCCCAGCCAAAACTTTGGTTTTTTTATAGTCTTTGTGTATAAAGTTCAGGACATTTTCAGTTTCTGTTTTTCACTTCACATTGGTCATATTTTCCTGTTTGTTTTTGTGTGTTTTGTTGTTTTTTTGTAGAAAACTATATTTGAAATGTTGCAGTGTGTTAACTCTGGAAGTCTTCATTTCTCCAAGGTGTCCTCTTAGTTATTGAAGGCTTAGCTTGCATTGCAACAGTGTTTTAATTGAGTGTAATATAAAAACTATCAGTTTTTACAACTGGATCTGTATTAACACACCCCTTTAATACTTAGGGAGACTGTTTACAATTCTGCCTCAGCCTTCAGTTTTTTCTCACATTGAAGCTATAGTTAAGCCTGAGGGCTAACACTTAGAGTTTTACATGTTTTTTGAGAATGTTTCCTGTCATGAGCATGTGCATGATTTTCTAAATTCTTTAGTATATTTAACTGCTTTCAAATATTCTGATTTCTCCAAAAGAAAGATCTCTCCAGCTTTTGCCCTCTTTTTCAGGTTGTCTGTTTTATGGGTTAATCATATACTTTGCTCCCAGCAACTTAAATATTTGTGACTAATGCCTGGCATTTTCAACCATGAGTGAGTTCTGAGTTAGGCAAAACAGAGATATGTGTGTTTCACCAATTCTTTATGTAACTCCTAGACAGACTAGAAATAAAACACAATAAATTAGCACCTAAGGTCTTCTTTACTCCTTCTAGAATCAGGGGTCAGGGCCTCACATTGAGAATGTGGATTGCATTTTCGAAGGCTTCAGCTGTGCCTGGGAGGTGGTATGGTAACACCACAAGACTTTCCTACCATTTTAAAAATTATCTCTCTTGGCTCAGTGTTTGCTTGGTTGATATAAATTGTTGATTTCCAGGGTCCTGTCAGTTTTGGGTTGATGTGCTGTTTCTTTGGAGGGTTTGAAAGTGTCTGTCCTGTAGCTTTGCTTTCAGTTTAATTTATGAAGCACTGATTGTTTTCCGATCTCAGAGTTCATTTTTATTTAGGAGATTTACACTTTTGTGCCTTAAAAATTTTCCTTAAAATAATTAAGTAGTATATTAACCTCCTAATTTGGGTTCCTAGATGTTAGGTTTTTGTTTTAGTGGATATGGTATGAAACTTTTTCTTTGCTTTGTTTTTAAGTAAGATTATCGATTCCATATAAAATGCATGAGGCAGGATTTGTTTGTTATAAAGTACAGTTTGGTTTTATATAGGAGAGTCACAAAATACTTCGTTGCCAGGGTGACTTTCAAGTAAATGTCTAAATGAACAAACAAGGGAATAATCATGTAAGTATGCAGCAGGATCAACAAGTATGAAGATCCCTGGCATAAGCCTACTTAGCTTGTTAGAAAAATAGCAAGGTCGGTGTGGCTGAGGCAGGATGAAAAAGGAGAACAATTATAGATGAAGAGCTCGTAGAGATAACGGACAGTCCATGTGATAGCTTTATATAGGTCATGTTTTATATAGGTCAATAGATATTACTTTAGATTTTACTCTAAGCCTGGTTCATAACTGGAAGTGGGATTGGTAAGGTTGTTACTGGCATCTAGTGGTGAGAGGCTGGAAGTCTGCTAAATATCCTTAAATCTAGAGTCTCAGACACCTTTAGGAATTTAACACAGTTGGACTGTCTCTCCAGAAAATTGTGAAGAAAAGGCATACATGTGGAATTCTTTGATACTATAGTTTGAAGATTTCTGAGCCCAACCTGTGGGTTTCATAAATAGGAGGGACTTTTATAAGCCCTTGAAAAGTTCAGTTGATTAAAGTTTGAGTGGGGTGGAGGAGAGAGAGAGAGAGGGGAGAGAGAAGAGAAGACAGAAGAGAGAGAGAAAAAGAGATTCTGGGTTTGTCTTCCAAAATTAATGACTCAGTAAGTATGGAATGGAATCTGAGGATCTGTATGTCTTCGAGGTTCTCAAATGATGTTAATGCTGTTGGTCTGATAATCACGTTTGAGAATCATTGATACAATCAGACATATCTTTAGCCATGTTGCATTTCCATGAGTTGCTTGCTCCAATGCACGGTTCATTGAAAGTGATTCTGGGGAGGCTAAAAAAGATATACAGAAGCTTAATTCATAGCACCTTTGTATAGTATCTAGAGGGTGTTTCCAGGCATTTCCGAGAGAGGTTGTTAAAAATATGTCCTGCAAAATAAGAGGCTTATATTTTATTGATTGATGCTTACCTTTGACATGATCCACCCCGACCCCTGATTCACAGTAAATATTAGAAGATCTAAGAAATCATACATTAACAAACTTGAACAATAAATAGTAAGTAGTAATATTCCTAGCCTACTAGGTAACAATTTGAGGATTAGCTCCCTGACAAGTATTTTAAACTCATTCATTCTGTGTTGCTAGCCAAATGCTAAAATGGGGGTTACCTTGTATTTTACTATTGATGTATATACCTCCTATTAAAGATAGATCAGTGTTGGAATTATTTTGTTGTTGTTCATAAGATACATTTTGTTTTTATTTCAGAACTGTTCGTCAGTTGGCACAGGAGCAGTTCTTTTTAATGTGCACCAGATGTTGCATGGGACACAGGCCTCTGCTTTTCTTCATTACTTTACTCTTTACCATACTGGGGGTGAGAAGTTTTCAAATGAACTTATCAATATAATGCATTCTTAACATGAGAGACATTCAGAAAGTTACTACGATAGCTTTTATTGTATTTAGAACAGGCATAATTAATAAATGCAGTATTATAATTTTTTACTATTTGTAGATTGGCTTTTTGTTTTTTTACAGTTCTTGGGAAAAATACACTACGTCTTGGAAAAATATATAGTAGGTCTATAGATGTACTATATATTTATTTTATGTATATAGTACGTCTGTAGGAAAAATATAGTACATCTTTGTCATTGATATGAAATATTGCCAATTTTAATTTTTCTGGGTTTAAAAAAATTATATGGACTCTGAGTGTAGACTTGTGAATTCATGTTGTTTTAATTTAATATTTCAGAGCACAGCAAGAGAGAAGGGTAAATATTCAGGTGATTATTTCACACTTTTACGGCACCTTCTCAATTATGCTTACAATGGCAATATTAACATACCCAATGCTGAAGTTCTTCTTGTCAGTGAAATTGATTGGCTCAAAAGGATTAGGGTAAGTTGAATAGTATTTAGTTTATTATGTCATGACCAAATCAGCTGTCTTATTAAAAGGAGGTTTGTAGTCTTTTATTTAGTCTCTATTTTTATTTGACAACTTAGGAGAATAAATTCTCAAAATGCCTCTGAGAATAAATACAAACAAAATGTGTACTTTTCACTAGTGAATTGGTAACTTAGATTCATAGAAACAAACATAGCTAGTTTTGTTCAATGTGTTTTACTTTTCTTGAAACTTGGAATGCTGATAATTCTGTTTCTTTCACTTTGGTGCTTCTTGGCCTTTTTTGGGGAAATTATCACATTTGAAGACTTTTTAAAAAATCGAATTTGAGAGATTCGTATTTACATTGAACCATCTGATATCTTACTTCACAAAGTTCTATGAGAGTATATTTCTAAAGTGTATGGCTTTGGGCTTCAGGTTAGCTGCTTCTAGTAGATTATAAAGCTTACTTACGGAGCACGGTTTTTGAACCCTGGTATTGACGTTGTGTACCCAGATAATTCCTTTTGGGGAGGAGCTTTGCTGTGCATTGTAGGATGTTAAGCAGCATTTCGGGCCTCTTCCACTCAGTGCTGTAGTAACCTCCTTTCCTCGTGGTTGTAAATCCCAAATATGTTTGTGTAAGCAAAATTGCTTGCATTTACTGTTCTAGAGAGTTCTCAAAAAGAAATAGGAAACCACTTGAACAGTTTGGGGAAGTTGTATAGAAGATCTCATTTCCTTCCAGCTCTCTGTTCTCCTAACTCCTTGTCCTTTTCTATCTCCATGTTGTGAGTTGGGCCTATAATATTTTTCCTTTTGCAGGATAATGTTAAAAACACAGGTGAAACAGGTGTCGAAGAGCCAATACTGGAAGGCCACCTTGGGGTAACAAAAGAGTTATTGGCCTTTCAAACTTCTGAGAAAAAGTATCACTTTGGTTGTGAAAAAGGAGGTGCTAATCTCATTAAAGTAAGTACTTTTTTTTTTCTTTTTTTGAGATGGAGTCTTGCTCTGTGGCCCAGACTGGAGTGCAGTGGTGCCGTCTCAGCTCACCGCAGCCTCCACCTCCCGGGTTCAAGTGATTCTCGTGCCTCAGCCACCCAAATAGCTGGGATTACAGGCATGTGTCACCACACCTGGCTAATTTTTCTATTTTTGGTAGAGACCTGGCTAATTTTTGTATTTTTGGTAGAGACCTGGTTTCACCATGTTGGCCAGGCTGGTGTTGACCTCCTGACCTCAAGTGATCCGTTCACCTCCGCCTCCTAAAGTGGGTGAGCCGCCGCACCCAGCCTCTTTAAGGTAAGTTCTGAATTTTGTTACTGAACTTCTTATCATGACCTCATAAATGTTAGCAAATCTGTCTGATTGACCTCTGTATAATGTCTTTGAGACATAATCTTGATATTTTTTCTTTTTTCTTGTCCCACTTCTCTTTTAAAAAGGATCTCTGAAGAGGTTACAGTAACTTTAAAACGTGTGCCTCACTTTAAGAGATTTTGTAAAGTAATTACAAATCAGAGTTACAATAAAGTGGTATGAAAAGTCAGTAAGCAGCATTGAGGTGATTTTCATGTTGAATAAATCTCAATTTTTCTTGACTAGATTTCTAAATGAGAGAAATTTCTGTCTTGCAAAACTTCATTTTTTATACACTATTTCTTGGTGAGCTTCTTTATATGTCATGCAATTCAAGAAAAAGAATATAACTTTGATGCATTCTGTTCCTGTTTGAAATGAATTTGTTTCTGTTTATATCTGATTAAAGAAATAAATTTATTTAGAATGTCACTTTTCTTTGGTATAAAATTGTTTAAATCACTTCAAAAAATCTAATCTGGAAAACTGATTACATTTATTAATTGTACTCGGGTTTTTTTGTGGGGTTTTGTTTTGAGATATAATGAGATATTTAATTATGTCAGATAATTACTAAAGTATTCCCTTTGAAGAAACATATTGTTCCTAACCTATATTTTCTACTAATAACATGTAATGTCTTTTTCTAACTTACTAGGAATTAATTGATGATTTCATCTTTCCCGCATCCAAAGTTTACCTGCAGTATTTAAGAAGTGGAGAACTACCAGCTGAGCAGGCTATTCCAGTCTGTAGTTCACCCGTTACCATCAATGCCGGTTTTGAGCTACTTGTAGCATTAGCTATTGGCTGTGTGAGGAATCTCAAACAGATAGTAGACTGTTTGACTGAAATGTATTACATGGGCACAGCAATTACTAGTGAGTATTTTAAATTATAAAGCTGTTTTGTTCATTAATAATACTTCACTGTAAAATTTTATTTGGTGTTTTAGAAAAAATTAACTTGTGATGGACTTTTTTTGATCCAATGAGTTTAACATTTTTTAGCTGTCAGTTATACAATTAAAACCACTTTAGTCAGAGAACATTAATTCAGAAAAATTTTTAGCTGTGTCTTTTAAATGCTCCTTATAGTTTGTTTAGATGAGTTTTATTTAATCATATGTGAAATAAAACCAAAACTTCAGAGTAACAGGAAGGCAAATTTAATGCCATAAAAAGTTTATATTTAAAATGTATGTATTGAAAAGATTTTCATAATCCTAACACTGAAGTTGCTTAATGTTATTTTAGTTGAATTCTAAGGAAGGTATGGTTTTAAAGATCACAGTGTGAGAAGAGAATATTTGAGTGTATTTTACTAAGTTCTAAATGCCTACATCAGTCCCACAAAGTGAGTACCTATGTTCAGATCTTACATAGAACTGAAACTCAGAGTGGGAGGTGGTATAAGTAAAATAACAGATAATAATATAAAATTTAGTTCATTTCAAGGAAAAACCCAAGGCTTAAAAATATAATTAATAACAGCATTCATTATAAATCTTTAATAAATATGAATTTATCTTTGCTTATGTCTTTCTCTGGGTGAGGACGTTTTCAATCACATTGTAGGAGTTTCTAGCTAAACTCCCTGCTTAGAAGGTCAGATGTTTTTTTGTCGCTTTGAATCTGCATAGAGAGAAGAGTTTCTTCTTTTGAGACGAAGTCTCACTCTTGTTCCCCAGTCTGGAATGCGATGGCGCCATCTCAGCTCACTGCAACCTCCGCCTCCCGGGTTCAAGCAGTTCTCTTACCTCAGCCACCCAAGTAGGTGGGATTACAGGCGACTGTCACCACACCTGGCTAATTTTTGTATTTTTAGAGAGACAGGGTTTCACCATGTTGGCCAGGCTGGTCTAGAACTCCTGACCTCAGGTGATCCACCCATCTTGGCCTCCCAAAGCGCTGAGATTACATGTGTGAGTAACTACTTGAGATTACATGTGTGAGTCACTCTTTTTTAAAAAGTTTCTTTTTTAAAAACGCTTCTTTTGTTAATTTATTTAGCTAATGTATTTATGTGGTAAGTGTAGTTTCAAAAGAGTTTATTTTTTAGAAACACTTGTTTATGGCCGGGCGCGGTGGCTCACGCCTGTAATCCCAGCACTTTGGGAGGCCGAGGCGGGCGGATCACGAGGTCAGGAGATCGAGACCATCCCGGCTAAAACGGTGAAACCCCGTCTCTACTAAAAATACAAAAAATTAGCCGGGCGTAGTGGCGGGCGCCTGTAGTCCCAGCTACTTGGGAGGCTGAGGCAGGAGAATGGCGTGAACCCGGGAGGCGGAGCTTGCAGTGAGCCGAGATTGCACCACTGCACTCCAGCCTGGGCGACAGAGAGAGACTCCGTCTCAAAAAAAAAAAAAAAAAAAAAAAAAAGAAACACTTGTTTATTTTACTAAAGTTTATACCTGGTAAATATGTATTTTCAAATACAAAAGAGGATACATGTTAACAGTTATTAACTTCCTACAGGTTTTATGTTTCCAGTCCAGAGATTATCTCTGTCTATGCATTTATATGTATGTATAGCTATTCGTTTTGTACAAATGAGAATGTACAAAATACAATATTGTTAATTTTGTTTTGTACTTTGTGACACACCTGTCAGCACATGAAGGTCTGTATAATTCTGTTTTTTAGCTACATAACTTGCAGTTCAATGTGCTCCAGTTTATGTAATTCATCTCTGATGGTGATTGATGTTTAAGTTGTTTTGGTTTTATGCAAGTAAGAGAGGGATTTATAGTTCTCACAGTGATTTGAAATACACCATCCCATTGACTTTATCTCACAATAAAACTGGATATTGGTAAAGCAATTATCACTATTTACTAAGGAAGGAAACAGATATTTACGTGAAGGTTATACTTTTTTAAGAATCAGAACCACGACTTGACAAAGTCAAGTTTGTAATGTATACATACTTTCATTATAAATAAAACAAAGTGGTCCTATATGCAATTAAAAGTGAGAAAACCATAGTATTTTGTTTATATAGAGTTCTGACCACAGTGAATTCAATACACTTAGGTACAGAAGTTTATTTTTTTGTTGTTGTTTTTGTTTTTGAGAGGGAGTCTTGGCCTTGTTGCCAGGCTGGAGTGCAGTGGCACGATATCGGCTCACTGCAACCTCCACCTCCCGAGTTCAAGCAGTTCTCCTGCCTCAGCCTTCCTAGTAGCAGGGACTACAGGTGCATGCCACCACACCCAGCTAATTTTTGTATTTTTAGTACAGACATGGTTTCACCATGTTGGCCAGGCTGGTCTCAAACTGCTGACCCCGTGATCTGCCCGCCTTGGCCTCCCAAAGTGCTGCAATTACAGTCGTGAGCCACCATGCCCGGCTAGAAGTTTTTAATTAGTAAAATAATAATGGTTAACACTAAGCCTGTGTTTAACACATGGAAATTTAATGCTATACCATCTTGTTTTTTTGAGACAGAGTCTGTCTCTGTCGCCCAGGCTGGAGTCACTGCAACCTTTGTCTCATGGGTTCAAGCGATTCTCCTGACTCAGCCTCCCAAGTAGCTGGAATGACAGGCACATGCCACCGTGTTCAGCTAACTTTTGTATTTTCACTAGAGACAGGGTTTCACCATGTTGGTCAGGCTGGTCTTGAACTCCTGAACTCAGGTGATCTGCCTGCCTTGGCTTCCCAAACTGCTGGGATGACAGGCATGAGGCACGGCACTGGCCAATATTACATCATCTTATATGACTCTTAAAACTGTTACAGAAGCAGTATCATTAAAAACATCAACTTAACAAGGTCTGTAGTTAAAATCTGTATGGTGGCTTATGTTGTTGGTGTCAAAATTTAAAGTACTGTTTCAAAGTGGCTGTGGTGGTGAAGGAGGTGTTGCTATTATTAATTTGTTAGCCTGAAAATGGTGAACAGAATCACTGTTTTCATAGTATAAGCATCTTTTCTCTTTTCAACTCAGCTTGTGAAGCACTTACTGAGTGGGAATATCTGCCCCCTGTTGGACCCCGCCCACCAAAAGGATTTGTGGGACTCAAAAATGCTGGTGCTACGTGTTACATGAACTCTGTGATCCAGCAGCTATACATGATTCCTTCTATCAGGAACAGTATTCTTGCAATTGAAGGCACAGGTAGTGATTTACACGATGATATGTTCGGGGATGAGAAGCAGGACAGTGAGGTAAATTTTAATACTGTTTTCTTTGAAGAGTCTGATAGCAGATGCTGTTGTTCTCCCTCAGATTACTATACTTTCATGGGATGTTATGGGGACTACATTTTGATGATACAGACAGAATCTCTGAGATACTATGTCTGGCATACTTGTAGTACTCACTATGTAATAGACTTAAAACTCCAGTTGATAATTAAACACTGTTTTTTTGTTTGTCTCCAAAGCACAGTTAATATAATCGCATTTTGTGTGACATGGTAAATGTAATTTGGTATTTGAAAAATGATGAATCTATTTATTTTTAATAATTACATTTTCATTGCCTTGTTTTTTAAAATCTGTTATTTCATTTCTTTCACTTTTTATATTGTCTGTGTTTCATAAGCTGTACTTATTTTTAGGATTCTCTATTTTTCTCAAATTAGAGCTCTTTCTGCTAAGGAAACAAATTTGTTTCTCAGCTAATGCTTCACGGACCTGTTAACAATATTAGTTAACAGTTGCAGTCAGGCTGCCTATGAAATGTATCCAGTTGAAAATAAAGCAGTAAAAAAGTTAGGTTTTAGTGGCAGATCACATATTTAAGATGCAGGTCTTAAATACATGTATATGGAAAATTTGAAGTTTTGGTCATATTTTGGCTGGGCATGTGGCTCACGCCTATAATCCCAGCACTTTGGGAGGTCAAGGCGGGCAGATCACCTGAGGTGGGGAGTTTGAGACCACCCTGACCAACATAGCGAAACCCCGATTTTACTAAAAACACAAAAATTAGCCAGGCGTGGTGGCACATGCCTGTAATCCCAGCTACTCAGGAGGCTGAGGCCAGAGAATCACTTGAACTCAGGAGGCAGAAGTTGCAGTGAGCTGAGATTGTGCCACTGTACTGCAGCCTGGGTGACAGAGTGAGACTCCATCTGAAAAGAAAAAAAAATTTCGGTCATGTTTATACTTAGACTGTTTATCTTTTACTTTTTTGCATATATGTTGATAGGAACTAAATGCAGAAACAAAAATTGTAACTGCAGGAAATGGTTCTCCAATTTCTACATATCTTCCCTTCAGTGATCAGAAATAGTTTGAGTTTCAGATTGTAGTGTATCATTTATGGAGATTACAAACACTTGCTGCCGCCTTTCAAGATCTAATAAATCACACCATCCAGGCATTCCTATCTGGGTAACTATACTTACAGTAGAATCTCCATGTGGGTTGTTGACCAATACCAGGTTAAGAGCCACTACTGAAAGGAAATTGGAAATTAAGTCCTACTTTTATAGCCCATGTTACCCATAGGGTGTTGAATTTAAAACAGATAGGGATGGCAAATCATACTGACAAGAAGTAAGTGAGGCCAACAGAACATAAACTTTCAGATTAGGTCACCCACCTTTGTGCTTGGTTGCTTGTGCTTTATGTTGTCTCAGCACTGTACTATGGCATGCATGTGTCTGCCTACTTTTTCTATGCAATGAGCTTCTCCAGGGCAGGAACTGGGTATTATTTATTTCTGTATCACAAATACCAGATACAGAGCAAAGCATATAGAAACATGTTAGATATTTGTAAAGTAGCTGTATTTTGCTCTGTAGCTACAATGAGATTATGACCTATGGAGCTTCTGTATATGCTCCCGTACCTTCCACAGCTACTCTTAATAACTTTATTTATTGTTAATAATTGTGATAACATTATGTAAATTACTTCATGAATCTGGAAAATGCATTATGCTCACAAGAAAATACTGAGTCCTAGGAAGACCAAGTAACTTATTCCCCTGAAGTTACTTACGGCAGAGCACTCATTTGTCTTTACTGCTGTATACTTGACCAAACTTTACTATATTACACTACCTCTAATGTATTTTTTTAACTATTCTTTTATGATAACTTATCTGTGAAATCTTTTATCATAACCCATCTGTGAAATGAGCACTAATATTAAAAATTAAGTGCTTTGGAAGTAAGAAATATAAAAAAGTGCATAACATTTCATTTACTAACTTCTGGTATTTGTTTCAGCTTCTTTCGTTATACTGTTAAAGTTAGATTAGCTCATCAATAATGTCTTTTGGTCTCTAGAGTAATGTTGATCCCCGAGATGATGTATTTGGATATCCTCATCAATTTGAAGACAAGCCAGCATTAAGTAAGACAGAAGATAGGAAAGAGTATAATATTGGTGTCCTAAGACACCTTCAGGTCATCTTTGGTCATTTAGCTGCTTCCCAACTACAATACTATGTACCCAGAGGATTTTGGAAACAGTTCAGGTAAATTATGGGTGGGTGATCATTTAAGTTTCATAAAAACCTCAATACAGTAAACTTCTAAAATGTAGCTTAGAATACATAATTAGTTTTATATTTAATATTTAAACTGTACTAATATTCTAATTATCCTTCTTGGTCATAGTTTTGTTTTATTTTCCCAATAGAATGTTTTATTATCCCAATAGAAAGAAGTAAAATTTGTCACAGTAAAGAAAGGCACTGTGTTCTTTAATCTCTTAAGATGTAATTTACTTCTTCATTTTGGAAGACATCAATTATATAAAAGCAGCCAGGCACGGTGGCTCACGCCTGTAATCCCAGCCCTTTTGGAGGCCAAGGCTGGCGGATCACCTGAGGTCAGGAGTTCAAGACCAGCCTGACCAACATGGAGAAACCCCATCTCTACCAAAACTACAAAATTTGCCGGGTGTGGTGGCGCATGCCTGTAATCTCAGCTACTCGGAAGGCTGAGGCAGGAGAATCGCTTGAACCCAGGAGGTAGAGGTTGCAGTGAGCCAAGATTGTGCCATTGCACTCCAGCCTGAGCAACAAGAGGAAACTCAATCTTAATAAAAAATGATATAAAAGCAAAATACTAAAACAGTCATCCCCTTGCTTAAACAGCTCTCTGCTGAAGCAAATGTCAAATATATTGTTTTATCTATATAGATTTTTTTATATATCCCTAACATTTTTCTTTAAGAAGATGATCATGGTACATTATCACATATAATAAAAATTACTTTATAATCTTGGGAAACATGGCAAAACTTTGTCTCTACAAAAAAATGCAAAAATTAAGCATGGTAATATGAACCTGTAGTCTCAGCTCCTTTAGTGAGTGGAATATCATTTCATTCACTAACTTTTGTTCTTAGTTTCTTTCAACTTCTTTCATTATAAGTTAGATTAGTGCATTAATGATATCTTTTGGTCTCTGGAGCAGTGTTGATCCCTGAGGTGATGTATCATAATCACCTTGAAGACCAGCATTACTCATAAAGAAATGAACATTTTCACCACTAGAAAGGAAGTCCCCCTTCCTAGTCTGGCAACAAAAAATATATGTGTATTATTATATATCTTTATATACTGTATATATTATATATAATTATAACTTTATATTTTTATATATATAGGTATATTTTTCTTTACAAATTTGTAAAGTGATGATTCCCTAACATCCTCCAAAAGTGACCAATAAAATTTGGCCTCTTTTTAGGTTTGGAAAACCTCAATTAGGCCAGCTGCAGTGGCTCACACTAGTAGCCCCATCACTTTGGGAGGCCAAGGCAAACAGATCACTTGAGCCCATGAGTTCAAGACCACCCTGGGCAACATGGCAATACCCCATCTCTACTAAAAATGCAAAAACTTAGCTGGGCGTGGTGGCCTGTGCCAGTAGTCCCAGCTACCTGGGACGCTGAGGCAGGAGGATCACCTCAACCGTAATGGAGCCACTGGCCTCCAGCCTCAGCAACAGAGGGAGACCCTATCTCAAAAAAAAAAACAAAGAAAGAGCTCAGTTACATCTTGAACTTGTCTTTTTTGTTTGTTTGTTTCACCTATTTTATCAAGGCCTACTTTGTGTTATACATGCTACTAAACACTGTAGCACAACTTTTTACTATATACTGTAATACATGCTCTTCCTAATGTGTAGAAAAATGCTGCTGCCCCTCATAAGAATTTAGAGTTCTTTCAACAAGATACTTCCTTGATAGCTCAGAGATAGGAAAGGAAAGGGCTCTTCTGATTTCTGAGCTGCTTTTTCTGTTGCACTTATGGCAGCCACCCTTATATGTATTAGCATATCACTTTGATTCCTTTTGAAAGTCACAAACTTACAGTACACTGACTCCCCATTATATCTCTCAGTATAAATTTCTGTATTCTGTAGCTGAGC
Organism: Homo sapiens; assembly: GCF_000001405.40. Taxonomy (NCBI): domain Eukaryota; kingdom Metazoa; phylum Chordata; class Mammalia; order Primates; family Hominidae; genus Homo; species Homo sapiens. The sequence continues at coordinate 12,820,517 of NC_000024.10, forward strand.
TGTAAGCCTAGATTATAAGTACGATATGCATATATAATTCTTCTTTTCCTCTTTCAGTTATGTAACTTCACACGTGCCTTGCTCCCCTTTTTACCTGTTTCAACTGTTTTTTTCTTTCCCTAGCGTATGCTTTCTTTACCTCGACTTTTTTCTGCAATCTAGTCAACAATTCTGTTCCTGTTCTTCCAATTTACTATAACACTTTTAGATTTGTCTTCAAATCTTTCACTTAATAATATATGTGTGATAACTGAATACACAGTTACATAATTATATACATTATAGAGGAATTTCATACACACATATATAGATATATATCGTTTTGCTTCTTTATAATCTGTATTTAAATGTATTAAGCTATAATGTGTTTGTACTTAAATATGTATGTTTTTGTCCTCTCAGTGATTCTCTCCAAATAAGTGTGGAGCTCACAATTTGTCCTAAAACATTTGTGTTACACAAACTGTAGACACATATGTTCCTATTACATTTTTTTCTTTTGTGGTAAAGTTCTCATAAAATTCAACATTTTAACCATTTAATAGTGTACAATTCAGTGCTTTTTGGTACATTCAGAATTTTTGTGAAAATATCACTACCATTTGGTTCCAGGACATTTTCCTCACCAAAAAAAGAGGTTCCCTGCTCATTAAAGAATCATTCAGCCCACTTTTCTCTTCTTCCTACCCCGACAACAAAAAATTACTTTTCTCTCTATATAGGTTTGCATATTTTTGATATTTCTTGTAATTTAATCACAGCATATATGGCCTTTCTGTCTAGCTTCTAATGTTAAATATGGTGTGTTTAAGGTATGTCCATTTTGTAACATGTATCGGCACTTTGTTCATTTTATGGCTGAATTATATTTCATTGTATGACTAGACCATGTTTTATTTATCCATTGATTAACTTTGGATGGTTTCCGTCTTTGAGCTATTGTGAATAGTGCCTCTGTGAAAATTCATGAACAAGTTTGTGTGTGGATCCATGTTTCATTTCTTTTTGGAGTAGACCTAGAAATGCGGTTACTGGGTCATGTGGTAATTCTATGTCTAATTTTTTGTGGAGCCACCAAATTGGTTTCCAAAGCCCCTGTAGAATTTTACATTTTCTTTTTTTTTTTTTTTTCCTTGAGAAGTAGTCTCACTCTGTTACCCAGGCTGGAGTACAGTGGTGCAATCTCAGTTCACAGCAGCCTTTACATCCCGGGTTCAAGAAACCGTCCTGCCTCAGCCTCCCTGCCTCAGCTCCTGAGTAGCTGGGACTGCAGGAGTGCTCCATCAGCACTCCACCACAGCTGATTTTTGTATTTTCAGTAGAGACAGGGTTTTTAGTAGAGATGAGATTTGGCCATATTGGCCAGGCTGGTCTCAAACTCCAGACCTCGGATGATCTGCCGACCTTGGCCTCCCAAAGTGCTGGTATTATAGGTGTGAGCCACTGGCCCTGGCCCAGACATTTACATTTTCTGTCAGCAAATTATGAAGGTTACAGTTTCTCTACATCTGTCAACACTTGCTGTTTCCTTACTTTTAGTATATCCATCTTGAAATATGTGAAGTGTATCTTATTTTGAATTTGATTTGCATTTCCCTAATGACTGTTAGTACTATTGAGCATTTTGCATGTACTTATTAGCAATTTCTGTACTTTTTTGAGGAAATGTCTGTTGAAGTACTTTTCTCATTTTTTGATTGCCTTTTGTTGTTGCATTGTAAGACTTCTTTGTATCTTTTTTGCGTATTTGTGATATTAGGCCCTTAAAGATAAATTATTTAGAAATATTTTCTCCCATCTGTGGATTATCCTCTCAGTATATTTATAGTACACTTTATGCTTAAGAGGTTTTTTCTTTTTTTTTTTTTTTCACAGTATCACTCTGTCACCCAGGCTGGATTGCAGTGGTGCAATCTTGGCTCACTGCAACCTCTGCCTCCCAGATTCAAGCAATTCTTCTGCCTCAGCCTCCCAAGTGGCTAAGACTACCGGCCTGTGCCACCCCACCCAGCTAATTTTTGTGTTTTTAGTAGAGACGGAGTTTTACCACATTGGCCAGGCTGGTCTTGAACTCCTGACCTCAGATGATTCGCCTGCCTTGGCCTCCCAAAGTGCTGGGATTACAGGCGTGAGCCACAGCACCCAGGCAAGAGTTTTAAATTTTGATGAAATCATACTTATCTTTTTTTTTCTTTTCATTTTCAGGCTCCTCCTGTGATTTACTATTTCTATCGTGGCAGAATGTGCATAACATAAAAATTCACCCTTTTAATAGATTTTAGTTGTCCAGGTGACTGGCATTATATACCTTTACGCCACTATATCCGAAGGTTTTGCATCTTTTTTTGTTTGTTTGTTTGTTTGTTTGGAGACGGAGTCTCGCTCTCTTGCTGTGCTGCAGTGCAGTAACGTGATCTCAGTTCACTGCAACCTCCACCTCCCGGGTTCAAGCAATTTTCCTGCCTCAGCCTACCGAGTAGCTGGGATTACAGGTGCCTGCCACCACGCCCAGCTAATTTTTGTATTTTTAGTAGAGACAGGGTTTCACCATGTTGGCCAGGGTGGTCTAGAACTCCTAACTTCAGGTGATCTACCTCGCTCTGCCTCTCAAAGTGCTGGGATTACAGGCTGAGCCACCGTGCCCTGCCAGTTTTTCTTCTTTTAAATTGAAACTTTATATTCATTAATAATAGCTCCCTCATATCCCCATATTGATTTTGAGGTGCTGATTTGGAAACTTTGTTGAATTATTTTATCATAGTGATGTATACTTGTGTGTAATCGTTAGGATTTCAATTTGGATGCTTTTTGTTTCTTATTTCTTTAATGATTGTCTAGGAGAATTACTGTGTCAAATAGAAGTGGTAAAAGTGCATATCTTTGAGTTGTTCCTGGTCTTAGAGGAAAAGCTCTTAGTCTTTCATCATTAAAACCTTGTCTTAGACAAGCTTGTCCAACCTGCCTTATTTCATTGTTATGTTTTGTTTTCTTTTAGGCTAAAAGCAGCCTGAAGCCATGGGTTTTTAGTTTCTGTGTCTAGTGATAAGATTAAACGAGGGTGAGGAAGGAACTTTACTGGCCTATCAAGAAACAGAAACTCAGAACCCATGAGTGTATTCTCTCCCTTGGACAATCCTGCCTTAGACCATATTTAAATATTGACTCAGTATGAATCAAAGCTAAACATAATAAATAAAATTTTATAAGTTTAAAGGGAAAATTTATGACATTGGATTTGGCAGTGATTTGTTTGATTACATCAAAAGTACAGGCAGCAGAAGAAAAAGTAGATAAAGAATAAAAGTCATATTCTGATATCCAGTGAAAATATCTCTTAGTAGTTACTGGGATATACATTTATTCTCATGAGAAAGGAAACTTGTGAAGAAATTTCTAAATTCTGTCAAAAGTTTTGGCAGAAAGGTAGTTAAACACAGGGACACATGTAATTGCAAGAAAGAATACAAGCAGGAAATGGTATATGTAGTAGTCTTATTTTTCTTTCCTAGTTTGTTTAAATTTCTATGAGTATTGAAAATAAAAATAACATTAAGGGGTAATTATGCATGGTTTTAGTATGTTTGACAATTATATATGGAGAAAAGTAAATGCTTATTATTTGGCTGTGAAGCTTCTGTATCTTAATGGAAGTGGTAAAATATTAACACTGTGATAATGTAATTCATAAAGCAATTGTATATAATTTATACATATATTCTGTATATGTATTTACATACATATATATTTGTGTGTGTTTATGTAAAATTACACAGACATAGACAGCTAAACGTACATACAGAAATAAGTACAAGTAAAACCTAGAGAAATGTAATTTAAGATTTTGGCTTGTACCAATAATAGTATCCCAATTGTGATACTGTGTTACATAGTTTTGCAAGATGCTATTGCTGGGGAAATTGGATAAAAGATATCTTTATTAAAATACAGAAACAGAGAAAACAGCATCTCTGTTATTTCTTAAAACTCCATGTGATTCTACAATTATCTCAACTTTTTTAAAAAAAAAATCCAAGCTTGGAAAAAGAAAATAGGAAATCACTAACCAAGAAAAGTTGAAAGAACCATCCCAAGTAACTCTGGAAGACAGTGTATTGAGTAGGTACTGTAAAGCTAAATAAAAAGAACTGTACAGAAGTACTAATCTCTGCAATTCTATTTCCAAGTGTTACCAATTCTGGAACTACTTTAGATGTTTATTAGAGGTGAACAAATCTAGCACAGATAATAACAGCCAGGATTGTAATTTTTGTAAAGATAAGTTACAGGTAAGGGAAGGTAGGTGGCTTGAGTGAACAGTGGTATGTAGTTGTAGTCATGTTTATTTTAAACTACATACGTGGTGTGATATGTATGTATGCTTCTTGGTGGTTGTGTTTTTGTTGGTTTGTTTGTTTGTTTGTTTGTTTTGAGACAGAGTCTTGCTCTGTAGCCTGGTCTGGAATGCAGTGGTGCAATCTTGGCTCACTGCAACCTCCACCTCACAGGTTCAAGCGATTCTCCTGCTTCAGCCTCCCAAATAGCTGGGATCGCAGGCAACCATCACCATGCCCAGCTAATTTTTTTTTGTTATTTTTAGTAGAGATGGGGTTTCACCATGTTGGCCAGTTGGTCTCGGACTCCTGACATCAAGTGATCTGCCCCCATCAGCCCCCTAAAGTGCTGTGATTACAGCTTGAGCTGAGCCACCATGCGTCTTGTATATATGTTTTAAGTTTAGACACATACATACAGATAGGCGTAGCAATAGAGATATGTGTGTGTGAGCATTGATGTGGTATATACACATATATTTCCAAGTTCTGTGCACTGAGAATGTCTAAAAATAATGACCCCAATAATGTAGGTGTCTAACGGTTGGTACCTAGAGCTTAATTTGTACATAGTTATCTAGGCAGTTGGTATCTAGAGCTTAATTTGTACATAGGTATCTAGCAGTTGGTATCTAGAGTTTAATTTGTAAGTACCATTTTCTGATGAAAAGGAACCAGACCTGCCTGGAAAGTTGGTGTGTTCCCAGGCAGGAGCAGACGACTATGAGCATATTGGCCTAGATGCAAGCCATTAAGGAAATTGTCAAAAAAGAAAAGAAATAATACCAAGTCAGCATAGGAGCCAACTGAAAAGCTCTCGTGTTTAATATTGAAACAATTTTAGGAAAAAGATAAATAATAATAGTATTAGATTATAATACTTAGCATAAAATAAATGCTCATACTGATAGAAGCAAATAACTGAATAAATAAATGAAGGAAATAGAGTAACACCATTAGAGCATCACAGTAATAACTGATGCAAGAAAGATTCACTGATTACCAAAATTAGTGGGGAATAGTTGAACGGTAAACAGTATATTTTCTTTTCTTTTCTTTTCTTTTCTTTTCTTTTCTTTTCTTTTCTTTTCTTTTCTTTTCTATTTGAAATGGAGTTTCACTCTTGTTGCCCAGGCTGAAATGCAATGGTGTGATCTCGACTCACCACAACCTCCACTTCCCAGGTTCAAGCGATTCTCCTGCATCAGCCTCCCAGGTAGCTGGGATTATAGGCGTCTGCCACCACGCCCAGCTAATTTTTTGTGTTTTTAGTAGAGACAGGGTTTCACCATGTTGGTGAGGCTGGTCTCGAACTCCAGACCCTGGGTGATCCACCAGCCTCGGCCTCCCAAAGCGCTGGGATTACAGGCATGAGCCACCATGCCAGGCCAGTAAACGGTATATTTTCATATAGGAATTATTAACCTGTTTTGTACCTTAAAACTAGGGGAGCAGCCAGGTATGGTGGCTTATGCCTGTAATCCCAGCACTTTGGGAGGCCAAGGTGCGCGGATCACTTGAGCCCAGGAGTTGAACACTAGCCTGGCTAACATGGTGAAACCTCCATCTCTCCTAAAAATACAGAAATTAGCTGGGCATGGTGATGCATACCTGTAGTCCCAGCTACTCAGGAAGCTAAGGGAAGAGGATTGCTTGAACCCAATAAGTTGAGGCTGTGGTGAGCTGTGATTATATCACTGCACTCCAGCCTGGACAATAGGGCAAGATCCTATCTTAAAAAAAAAACAAAAATGAAAAAGAAAAAAAAAGGAAAGAAAAAAATACAGTGGAGAAAATAGTAAATTAAACCCAAAACAAGCAAAGATTTTTCAGAAGTACTAGAAACCAATGAAGTTGGAAAAAAAAAAAAAAAAAAGAAGTGATAGAGAAAGAAACTTTAGAGTAGTGCTAAAAATGAAAACAATGTGTTTTTACTTCTTGTCAGCTTGAAGTAATTTGGACTTAATTTGCCTCCTTTGGTGAAACAATTTTTTAAAAATATACAGATAAAGTACATTAAACTATGGCTTCAACACATTAGGCATCAGACAAAAAAGGAATATTATTCTTGAGATAGGAAACAAATGAGAGCCCTGCAGTAGCCTTAGTTAGTCTACAGTGTAGGGTGGGACAGTGAATCAGACCAATGGAATTCCTGACTTAAGGAAACATTGTGGAGAATCCAAGGAGACTAAAGGATCTAAGGTTTGTAATAGTGCATCAGAGAGCTGCATTAATTCTAGTAATTTTTATTTCTCCTTGAATATTCAAGAGAGAACTAAGCACTACATGTAAATCGGGAAACAAATTGGGGTAAGGAAAGAAACACATGAAAGAATTAGAGGGAGCAGTCTAAATTCTCACAGAACAGGAAAAATAGCTGTTCCTCCCAGCCACATTAGAAAAACTGTTAGTTCACAGGGTATAGAGTATCTAGAAGAGCCTTGTTCGGTACCAAGGAATACTTATTCCTATACTATGCACTGTTTTTGGCTACCTAAAGTGTGAACAGGAAAATCAAACTACGTCTCAAACCAAGCTAGAGAAAGTTTAAAAGAGTACAGAATATCAAGCATTGAATAAGGTAAAATTCAAAATATCTCTATCTAGTCAAAGATTATCAGGCATGCAAAGAAGCAGGAACATATGACCTACCATGTGAAGAATCAACAAATAGGTGGACCTGACCTAGAACTGACTCAGATGTTAAACGATAAAAACTTTTAAAAGTTTTTGTAATGTATATTCATATGTTCAAAAAGTTAGAGATAAGCAAAATTACAACAAAGCTCTGCAGATGAAGACTTAAAAGAGATGAAAAATACGCTAAGGCTGGGCGCGGTCATGGCTCATGCCTCTAATCACAGCACTTTGGGCGGCTGAGACCGGTGGATCACCTGAGGTCAGGAGTTTGAGACCAACCTGGCCAACATGGTTAAACCCATATCTACAAAAAATAGAAAACTAGCCAGGTGTGGTGGTGCATGCTTGTAATCTCAGCTACTTGGGAGGCTGAGGCAGGAGAATCGATTGAAGCCAGGAGGTGGAGTTTGCAATGAGCCGAAACCACGCCATTGTACTCCAGCTTGGGCAATGAGTGAAAGTCCATCTCAAAAAGAAAAGAAAAAGACGCTAAATGAGATTAACAGCTGATAACACACTGCAGAAGAAAAGATCTATTAAATGTATTCATTATAAAACACAAGGGTAAAATGATTTTCTAAAACAAAAGAGTATCACTGAGCTGTGGGACAACCTTAGATGATCTAATTAATTTCCCCAAAACAGGAGAAGGAAATCAAAAAAAAAAAAAAAGGCATTAGAAGATATGATGGCCTAAAACTAAATAAAAAGTTTTTATTAAGATTCTTCAAGAACTACTTTGCTTGATAGCAAAATATGACAAACATTTAAAAATACTGAAACTACAGACCACATTTCTGGTGTTAGATGCACGGTTTCTAAAAATAATTTTGGAAGTTGAAGTGAACAATGTTAAAGACAATACCTGATGACAAAGGAGAATATATTTTAGGAAAGCTTAGTTGGTTTAAATCAATTAATATACTTACATTAAACAAACTAAAAAGGAAACTTATATGATGACTTCAGTAGATGTAAGAAAACATTTGACAAAATAGATTTTCCTGATAAACATCAGCACAACTAATAATGAAAGAAAACCTGATAAAAGGCATCTGCAGACAGCCTACAGCTATCATGTTGAATGCAAATTCATTATTGTGAGTGGAAAAAAAAAGACAGGAATGGTGGATATCGTGTGATTGTATTAGTATTAAAATTATAGAAAATGGAAATATTCTAATTGGCAGAAAGCACAAAGTGGTTGCTTGAGATGGGAAGAATGGGATGGCAGGGGCAAAATGGAGAGGTTAAAAAGGAAAATCATTTGAGTGTTGGATACATTCATTATCTTGACTGAGGTGATTTTACAAGGGGTGTGTGTATGTGTGTTGTTATAATTTATCGTTTATGCTTCTGTTTACTGTATATGAACACTCTTTACCGAAACAAACAAAAAAACCAACAACATTGAAAACTAATTGCAGCTTCTGAATGCTGAACACTGAAAAAAAACTGCAGAGATCAAAGAAGGTAAAAATTGATAGAAAAAAACTCACAACGATTTTTTTTTCCCACAAGACCATGCAGATACCATACTATCCCTTTAATGAAAGATGAAATATTGCTAACATGTCAGTTCTTCCCAAATTGATTTATAAACCTATGTTTTCTATCAGGATATTTACATATATTAATTTACCAATTATTAGCATGAAAGGAAAGAGGACAAGGAAAGCTAAAACAATTTGGGAAAGGAAATGATCCAAATTGGAGAACTTCCACTGCGTGATTTCAAGACTGCCATTAAAGCCACAAAAATTAAAACATGGCATTAATAAAAGGATAGGCACAAAGATTAATACCATGTGTAGCTTTGGAAAATAATGTATACTAATATGACTAATGTCCCAGATCATTTAATGAAAAGACTTCGCATTTTTCCCATCTTGGGGAGAGAATGCAAAGTCTTCACTTTTAGTGATTTGGGACAACTGGACATTCATATCCTTTCCCCTAAAGTGAACCTCAACCTGTGCCTTATACAAATTTAATGCAAAATGAAACTCAGACCTAGAATGTGAGAATATTGAAGAAAAACCTTTTGTCACTTTGAATTGTTATCAAACAATATTTAGATGATAATTCATAAATGTTGATACGTGTGACTTCATCAAAAGGAAAGCCATATACTCTTCCAAAGACGACATTAGGAAAATGAAAAGGCATAGCATGGGAAAAATATTTGCAAAATACATACAAAATAAAGAATTTTCCTAGCTCAATATTAAAAAGTACATAATTAAAATTCTTAAAATATTTGAAAACTTAACCAAAGAAGATAAATGGTATAAAACTGTGTTCAACATCATTATTCATTAGGGGTTTTTATGTTAAAACCACAACAGATACAACTACACCCCTGTTTTTTTCTGGTGCTGGTTTGGATCAGGAGTACATGATACTCAGCCGTTACTGATAAAATTTTCCAAAGTTGTGATCCTTTGGGAAACTGCCAGTTTCTTACAAACTTATTCATAAACTTAATGTACAACTAAGCAGGCTGACTCCTGGATATTTATCAAAATGAACTGAGGACTAAGATAGAGCCTGTCTGTAGGTATTTATAGCAGCTTTATCAGCAGTGCTAAATTGCTTGTGTCCCAGCAATTTTGGGAACAACTTTTGTCCCTTGAATGGCTAATAGATAAGTAAATTCTGGTACATTCATATGGTGAAATACAACACGGCAAAGAAAAAGGATTAAGCTATTGACACACTGAGCTGAGTTAAAGGTTCACATTCATTGTGCTAAAGGAAAGCCTCAAATCTACATCTAACATATAGAAGCCTGACAAAGATGCTGCAAGAAAATTATAGACCAGTAATCCATTATGAACATGGATGCAAAATTCCACAACAAAATACTAGCAAACCCAATTTAGCAGCATGTTAAAAGAATATTATATCATGACCAAGTGGGGTTTATTCTAAGAATATGTGCATGATTCAACAAGTGAAACTAATCAGTGTAATACACCACTTTAATAAATGAGCAAAAAATAGCACATTGTCATCTCAATTGAGATGGAGGAAACATTTAACAGAACTGCCTTTCATGATAAAAACATGCAGTGAATACAGAACAGAAGGAAACTGCCTCAGCTTAATAAAAGCCATGTATAAAAAACTCTGAGCAAGCATATTTGTAATATAAAGCTTTTACTCTAAGATAACGAACAAGGCAAAGCTGCCCACTTATACCACCGCTGTTTAATATAATACTGGCAGTCCTACCCAGCACAGTTAGGCAAGAAAAAAGAAGAGGCATCCACATTGGAAAAGGAGCAGAAAAATTATCTCTGTTTACACATGCTGTGATGTTACATGTATAAATTTCTGAAGATACTCCTACGAAAACTGTTGGAGTAAATAATTGAATTAGGCAAAGTAGCAGAATGCAAAGTCTCACAAATATCAGTTGCATTTCTATACAATAACAGTAAACAGTCCCAAAAAGAAAGTATGAAAACATTTATATAGCCATCAAAAAATAAAATACTTAGGTATTAATTTAACCAAGGTGGTGAAAGATTTATATTGCTCTGCCATATAAGATGTGCTTGCTTCCGGTTCCCTGTCCACCATGATTAAGTTTCCTAAGGCCTATCAGTCTTGCTTCCTTACAGCCATGTGGAACCGAGTCACTTAAACTTTTCTGTATAAATTACCCAGTTTCAGTACTTAACAGCAGTGTGAAGACAGACTAATATGACCAAAAGATTTGAATAAATGTTTTTTCAAGAAACATACAAATGGCTAAGAGGTACATATAAAAATGTTCAATATTACTAATCATAAAGGCAATGCACAACAAAACTGTATTGAAATACCATTTTAGATGTATTATAATGACCATTATAAAAATAGTAATTGCTGGTGAGGCTGTGAAAAAATTGAAACCCTTGTGTACTAAGGGTGGGATTGTAAAATGGTACAGCCACTGTTGAAAACATATAGTGCTTCCTCAAAAAGTTAAAAGTAGAAGTACAGCCGGGTGTGGTGGCTCATGCTTGTAATCTCAGCACTTTGGGAGGTGGAGGCGGACAATCACCTGAGGTCGAGTTCGAGACCAGCCGGAAACCCCATCTCTACTAAAAATGCAAAAATTAGCTGGGCGTGGTGGCATACACCTATAATCTCAGCTATTCAGGAGGCTGGGGCAGGAGAATCACTTGAACTTGGGAAACAGAGGTTGCAGTGAGCCAAGATTGCACCACTGCTCTCTGGCTTTGATGACACAGCAAGACTCTGTCTCAAAAATAAATCAATAAAAGTAGAATTACCATATGCTCCAGCAATTTCTCTTATTTCCCTGGTGGGTATAAACCCAAAGGAATTGAAAGCAGGGTCTCAAAAGAGGTAGTGTACACTCGGTAGTTAGTGACATTCACAGTTGATAAATGTAAAAATATTTTTAGTTTGTATCATCTGATAAATTGATAAATCTATATACATATTATGAAATGTTATTCACCATTGAAGGAAATTCTGTAATATGCTACAACATAGATGAGCCTTGAGGACTTTATGCTAAGTGAAATGATCCAAGTACAAAAACACAAATTCTGTATGATCCCACTTACATGAGGTTGTATTTATAGGTACCAAATGAATGCTGATTTTCAGAGGTTGTCAATAAGAAGTTTTTAGGGGTTGTTTAATGGGTATAATTTCAGTTTTGCAAGATGAAGAGAGGTCTGAGATGGAATGGTGTAATGGTAGTACAGCAGCCATCATGAATGTTCTTAATTCCACTAAACTTTACACTTAAATGATTTAAAAAGTAAATGTTGTGTTGTATTTATTTTACCACAGTAATATTAATTAAAAACAAAAGAATAAAGCCACATTCCAGTTCATCAGTATTCTTAAAGGGTGGCCTTAAAGTTGAATGAATACTCCAGATGTGGTACCAGATTTCTCTTTATGTATTAGTGAAGCCTAACACATTAGCATTTTACCCCTTTATTAGTTACATTGTCCTGTTGACTTGTACTGACAAACTAAAATCTCCTGGTTTTATAAAGAATCCTACTTGTTCTGTGCTCCTCTCTCTTTAATTTGCTGTCATACTTCTAAATTATCGATTACATTTTTCCTGATTAAATTTAATGTCTTTTTTAAAAAGGATAAAAAGTAAATTATGTAAACTCTACCACAATAATAAAAAGGATGGAAACACTAAATCTATATGCTTTCCTGTATGTAATATTCTAGAAAAGGCTACTTCAGATTTATGAAGAACAGATCAGTGGTTGCCAGGAATTAATAGCAGGAGATTCATTTGGCTTACAAAGTGCTACTATTAGGAAATTTAGGAAGGTACTTAAGAGATTGTTTGATACTCCAATTGTGGTGGTTACACAGCTGGCTGCCATTTGTAAAACTCACATCCTATGGCTTCAACAGAGTAGCTTCTATTGTATGTGAATTTTATTGTATGTATTAATATTTAAAATTTATTTTTAAATTTATAACAATTTTTTTAATTGTGAAAGTTCACCGCAAAGAAAAACACAGTGTACCACCTTAGCAAGTTCAAAATATTCCCATACCTTTTGCTAAAAATGACATTTTCTGATGCTTATTATTAGGAAAATATTGTTAGATGTTCTCAATAGCTTCCAGAATAACCTCTTTCAGCAGCATTAGTTCTCATTTTGTATACTTATCATTGGTATTTTCTTAGGATTGGTTCACCTTTTATGCCTATTTAGATTACTGAAAATATGTTTACTCTAGAACGGGGAAACCTTTCACTTTTCACTTGGAAAAATTGCTTTGATGAACAATGGTAACTAAGTGGTAGGATCTTTTCACTATATCACCAGAAATAAGCAGAATAAAGTTTTAACGCAGTAGTTATAGCATCCACATAAGCATTAGGTTCTTTCTCATGTAAATGTCATTTTTTACTTGAATTGAAAGTGCTTGAATATACTGTGCTTTATGAAGCAAACATTATTCTAAACCTACTATCCAGCTTAGTCACACCATTTATAACTTTTTGACACTGTAGTATCATTATTACTGTAAGCACTTCGATTGTGTTGCATCTGCAAACAATGTGCGTTTCTCCTTTCTATGTGGCTTAAACTCTCAGCTTATGTTTGTCATTGTTATTTTTGTTGTTATAAAATATGGATATTCTAGGCATGTATTACATAACTCATTTTGTTTCCTTTCCTTCTTAGGCTTTGGGGTGAACCTGTTAATCTCCGTGAACAACATGATGCCTTAGAGTTTTTTAATTCTTTGGTGGATAGTTTAGATGAAGCTTTAAAAGCTTTAGGACACCCGGCTATACTAAGTAAAGTCCTAGGAGGCTCCTTTGCTGATCAGAAGATCTGCCAAGGCTGCCCACATAGGTAAGTGCTAATTATGTTTTTAATGTATACTTCGTGTTGTTTTTTTTTTAATAATAGTGTAAATCTTTCATTAGTACTTATATAAAAGCAGAGTGTACCAAAAGCCTAGGACTATGAATGAATTAAATTCATATGCATACTACACTATTCTGATTTTTTTCTTCCCAGGAACATTTGGTTAGTACTTCATTACTTCCTCAATTCATTCTTGTTTGCTTTGTCTTATCCTGTGTCTTAAAATGGCATTTTCCATAAATCTACACTTATTCTTTAAATAGACATTTTCTTTTTATGTTCTAACTAGCAATCAGAATATTTAGATGGAACTTCCAAAGATAATTGGCAAGACTGGAGTAGTAACCCATTATTCATGGTTTCAGTTTCCACCTCATCGTTCACTTTAGAAGGCCGAAGCAGGTGGATCACGAGGTCAGGAGATTGAGACGATCCTGGCCAACATGGTGAAACCCCATCTCTACAAAAATGCAAAAATTAGCTGAGTGTGGTGGCATGTGCCTGTAATCCCAGCTACTCTTCAAAAAAAAAAATTAAGTGGAAGACTCCAGAAATAAACAATTTATAAGTTTTAAACTGTGCCCCATTCTAAATAATGTGATCAAATTTGGGGCTCTCCTGCTTTGTCCTTCTCAGGATGTAAATCATCCCTTTTTCCAGCATATCCATACTGTCTCTGTGCCTGTTATCTACTTAGTTGCTGTCTCAGTTGTCAGATTGATTGTCAAAGATATCACACAACTTAGTTCAAATACCTCTTATTTTACTTAGTAATATTCTGGTAATTCAGATGCGCCAAAGAAAAGGCTAAAAGCGGCTGCTAATCTATTCCTGTGCATCATTTATAAATTAAACATAATCACACTTAAGTATGTATGTTTAGGAAGAAAACAGAATATACATAGTATACAGAGTTCAATGCTATCTGAGGTTTTAGCCATCTCTTGGATTTTGAAACATCTCCGAAGGAAGTAACATTTAAATGACTTAAATTACTCTCAATTCTTACTATTCTTGAGAAGTGTTACATATGCTTGCACATCAAACCACTTAGCAAGATTTGACAAGACAGGAAACAGTAAAAATATCAGTAGCATAAATAAAATATTTATTCTAACTAAACTTGTTATTAGCATCCAAGACTTCTATATTATAAGGCATTGGGGGTTGTTTTGTTTTGTTCTGTTTTTTGAGATAGAGTCTCACTCTGTCACCCAGGTTGGAATGCAAGGACACAATCACAGCTCATTGCAGCCTCAACCTTCCAAGCTCAAGTAGTCCTCTCACCTCAGCTTCCTAAGTAGCTAGCACTGCAGTCACATGCCATAACACCCAGCTAAATTTCGTATTTCTTGTAGAATTAGGGTTTCACCATGTTTCCCAGGCTGGACTCGAACTCCAGGTTCAAGCTTTCCTCCTGCCTCAGCCTCCCAAAGTGCTGGGATTACAGGCATGAGCCACTACACCTTGCCAGAGTATCACTTTTAATTGTAGGATCTTTTAATTATTTTATTCTCTAAGATAGCCTTATACTTCTCTATGGGGTGGTTCCTGATCAAAAGCAACTTGCATAAGTCATTTATAAATGTAATTTCATTTTTGTGACTGTCTTGTTTTTCCTGAATAAATCAAAAGTTTCCAACTGTGAGAAACTGGCCAGTGGTGGTAGCTCACACCTACAATCCCAGCACTTTGGGACACCAGCACTGGCAGATCACTTGATGTCAGGAGTTCAAGACCAGCTTGACCAGTATAGTAAAACCCCATTTCTACTAAAAATACAAAAAACTTATCTGGGCATGGTGGCAGGCTTCTGTAATCCCAGCTACTCAGGAGGCTGAGGCAGTAAAATTGCTTGAAGCCGGGAGGCAGAAGTTGCAGTGAGCTGAGATCGCACCACTATGCTCTAGACTGTGCAAGAGAGTGAGATACTGTTTAGACATTTTGAAAATATTGGTTAGATGAATGGATTTGATGGTTGACGTGCCTGCCCCATCTCATTTTCTGAGTTTGTAGAAAATTACCATAATCTGTGATGCTGACTCAGTCCCACATTATTTACTCTCTACTCCACTTATTTATTTATTTATTTATTTAAGACAGGGTCTCACTATGTTTCCCTGGCTGAAGTATAGTGATTATTCAAAAGTGTGATCATAGCACACAACAGCTTCAAACTCCTGGCCTCAAGTGACCCTCTCCTACATCAGCCTTTTGAGTAGCTGGCACTACAGACAAATGCCACCCCACACCTGGCTCTCTGCTTATGTTTACGACTTTATAGACAAGAACACCAGAGGCATTTAAGCATGATAAGTGTTTGAACTTACACATTAGGAAAGTGTTTATGACAGAAATTGAGGGACACTTAAAAATAAAGTTCATTAATGGTTTAGTATAGGCTTTTTTTAGAGCTTGATTAATTCTTATTTTTACCTCGTCATGAATTACTGTTTAAACAGATAATATGTATCATAGTGTGATAGAACATAAAGAACTTAAGAGGTAAGGCCAAACAAGCTGGTTTTCAAAGCATCATTCCACCTAATAAACTGTATCAAATTATTCTTTTTGACTTCCCTACTCAACCCCATTGTCTTAGCTTTAAAGTAGGGATGGATATGTACCTCTAACAGGGCTTTTATCAAGGTAAAGATGAGCTATAATCTGTGTAAGGAATCTAATACAGTGCCCAGTACAAAATAAGCAACTGATAAAAGATATTACTTATTAATAACATTGTATGATTAATATACTTGACATGATGTGTTAAATACTGCATATGTGTTTTTCATCAAGTTCACAGTTAAGGAAAAGATGTATTCATTATTACTTTTGAAACGGAGTCTTGTTCTGTCTCCCAGACACTCGAGTGCAGTGGTGCAATCTCAGCTCACTGCAACTTCTGCCTCCTGGGTTCAAGTGATTCACCTGCCTCAGCCTCCCAAGTAGCTGGGATTACAGGCATGTGCCACCATACCTGGCTAATTTTTATATATATATATTTTTAGTAGAGATGGGATTTCACCATGATGGGCAAGCTGGTCATGAACTCCTGACTTGTGGCGATCCGCCTGCTTTGGCCTCCCAAAGTGCTGAGATTACAGGCATGAGCCACGGCACCCAGAAGGATAAGATTTAGAAACCAGGCTGGGCACGATGGCTCACACATGTAATCCTAGCATTTGGGGAGGATGAGGCAGAAGGATCACTTGACCCCAGGAGTTGAAGGACAGCATAGTCAAGAGCAAGAACCCATCTCTACAAAAAACAAAACAAAAAACAAAAAAAACTTGCCTGGGCATGTTGGTACCCACTTGTAGGCCTAGCCACTAGGGAGGCTGAGGTGGGAGGATCACCAAAGGCAGCAGTCCCCAACCTTCCAGCACAAGGGACCAGTTTTATGGAAGATCATTTTTTTCACAGACTGAGGATGGGGGGTAGTTTTGGGGTGATTCAGGTGTCTTACATTTACTGTGCCCTTTATTTCTGTTATTATTACATTATAATATATAATGAAATAATTATACATCTCACCATAATGACCATAATGTAGAATCAGTGGGAGCCCTGAGCTTGTTTTCCTGCAGCTATATGGTCCCATCTGGAGGCAGTGGGAGACAGTAACAGATTATCACGCTTTAGATTCTTACAAGGAGTGCACAACCTACATCACTCACATGTGTAGTTCATAGTAGGGTTCTTGCTCTTTTGAGAATCGAATGCTGTCCCTGATCTGACAAGAGATGAAGCTCTGGTGGTAATGCAAGCCATGGGGAGTGGTTTAAATACAGATGAAGCTTCACCAGCTTGCCTACCACTCACTGGCTGCTGTGCAGCCCAGTTCCCAATAGGACACATATCAGTACTGGCTGGGGATCCCTGGCATAAGCCCAGGAGTTCAAGGCTACAGTGAGCTGATTGTGCCACTGCACGCCAGCCTGAGAAAAACCCTGTCTCTAAAAGATTAAAAAAAAAAAAACTAAACCTATAGAATACATTCTTTTAATTTGTTTCATTAATAATATCTTTAGGTATGAATGTGAAGAATCTTTTACAACTTTGAATGTGGATATTAGAAATCATCAAAATCTTCTTGACTCTTTGGAACAGTATATCAAAGGAGATTTATTGGAAGGTGCAAATGCATATCATTGTGAAAAATGTGATAAAAAGGTATTTTTTTTTACTTTTGAAAAATAATGATTGCATTGAACAGAATAGGAGGACATTGGAGTTGTTTATGCTCATCTTCAAAATTAACTTCTGCTTTATCTCTGCTGTTACAGTGGTAGCAGAGAGGTGGTCAACATGATAACTGGTTTAAAGCAAAATAACATTGAGAAAATACAGTGCGTGGCAGACTAGGAAAAACAGAACATTTTTATTGGGTGAATAATTTTGAAAGTCATAGAATCTTACAAGTTTTTCCATCTCTGCCCTGAAATCAATTGCAATTGAATGCTTCAATCTTGAAGAGTTGGTAGTAGAAAACATTATTTTCTTACTCTAGTTTCCTCTTGAAGTAGGGAAGCTTGCTAATTTTATTGGGTTACATCAGATTTTCACAACCACGTGTAGTTTCACTAACAGATCTCATTTTTTTGAATTTTTTTTTTATTTCAGACGGAGTCTTGCACTGTCATCCAGGTTGGAGTGCAATGGTGTGATCTCGGCTCACTGCAACCTCTGCCTCCTGGTTCAAGCAATTCTCCCACCTCAGCCTCCCAACTAGCTGAGATTACAGGCACCTGCCAGCACGCCAGGCTAATTTTTTGTGTTTTTAGTAGAGGCAGGGTTTCACTATGTTGGCCAGGCTTGTCCTGAACTCCTGACCTCATGATCTGTCTGCCTTGGCCTCCCAAAGTGCTGGGAATACAGGCGTGAGCCACTGCACCCAGCCCAGATTTCATTTTTTGGGCCTAGCCAGCTAATTTTTATCTCTGGCACTTAGTTTGGGAGATGGAATGATAACATGTCTTTTAAGATATTATATATTAAAAAATGTATGTGTTTTCCTTGACCTTCAAAACCCCTCACCTTCAAGCTGCCTACATGGTTTTGAACTTATGCACCACTTAGATTGTGGTTTGTTTATAAAGCCATACTGCCTGTTACCCACACTTCTGACAGTTGGGACTATTTCTTCTCACCCTTTCTGCTACTCTTAATCCACATGTTTTAAAATAATTATACATAGGTAGTACCTTTTTATAAGACAGTGAGGATTAAATTCATTAATATGTGTGCAGCACTTAGTGTATTACCTGGTTTTTAAGTGCTATAAATATTAGCTGCTATTAAAATTGCTTATCATATGTCTTCAGTTTACTCACAGCAAATTCTGTTCATTAGCATAAAAGAAAACATCAGAGGAGTAACACAGTCAAGTAATAGTGGCCATATGGAACTACATAGCCATCAGTGTCTTTATCAGTAATGTTTTCCAGTTTGCAAGAAATGAAGGACCTTTCATATCCACAGCTTCTGCAAACACCATTTCCTCTAAACATGTATGAAAAATATTTGAAAACAAAAAATAACAGTACTACCATAAAAAGTAATATAAATTCAAAAGCCATTACAGTGTAATAACCATCTACATAGCATACTTAATACATTGTATTAAGTAGGTTATGTAGAGATGGTTTAAACTATACAGGAGGATGTCTGTAGATGATATGTAAATACTGCTCCATTTTAAATCAGAAACTTGAGCAGACACAGATTTTGATATTTATGGGGGTCCTAGAGCCAGTCCCCTACAGATACCAAAGGATGAGTATATTTATATATTTTTAGCTTTGGTAAGTAAGGATTCTTTAAGTCAGTTATGACATAATTACCCTGATGGTATTTATTTTTATTTACTCATCTGCTTATAAATAAATTTAAATAGACTGTAAACTTTAAAATTAACATGAAATTGTTTTAGTTTCTGTTCTAGTTACAAGAGAACATTTGTTTATATTCTCTGTTTATTATAGGTTGACACAGTAAAGCGCCTGCTAATTAAAAAATTGCCTCGGGTTCTTGCTATCCAACTCAAACGATTTGACTATGACTGGGAAAGAGAATGTGCAATTAAATTCAATGATTATTTTGAATTTCCTCGAGAGCTGGATATGGGACCTTACACAGTAGCAGGTGTTGCAAACCTGGAAAGGGATAATGTAAACTCAGAAAATGAGTTGATTGAACAGAAAGAGCAGTCTGACAATGAAACTGCAGGAGGCACAAAGTACAGACTTGTAGGAGTGCTTGTACACAGTGGTCAAGCAAGCGGTGGGCATTATTATTCTTACATCATTCAAAGGAATGGTAAAGATGATCAGACAGATCACTGGTATAAATTTGATGATGGAGATGTAACAGAATGCAAAATGGATGATGATGAAGAAATGAAAAATCAGTGTTTTGGTGGAGAGTACATGGGAGAAGTATTTGATCACATGATGAAGCGCATGTCATATAGGCGACAGAAGAGGTGGTGGAATGCTTACATACTTTTTTATGAACAAATGGATATGATAGATGAAGATGATGAGATGATAAGATACATATCAGAGCTAACTATTGCAAGACCCCATCAGATCATTATGTCACCAGCCATTGAGAGAAGTGTACGGAAACAAAATGTGAAATTTATGCATAACCGATTGCAATATAGTTTAGAGTATTTTCAGTTTGTGAAAAAACTGCTTACATGTAATGGTGTTTATTTAAACCCTGCTCCAGGTAAGCTTTGAAAGTAGCTTCTTCTAATAAAGAATAGTTTTTATTTGGCTTCTAGGATACCTTACAGGGCATCAAATGTGTTTCACCTTTTTCTTCAGTTTTCTTTTATTTTTTCATAGAATCTTTAACCTCATTTTATATGAATGTGTTGGCTTTTTTGGTATAGTTATTTTAAAATGAAAAAATTATGATATCTGTACCTTTGAACAGTGATTCTTAATATATGGAAATATAGAAAAGCATTTGTTGTAGTAATTACTATTTTTTACTCAAGAATTAGTTTGAAATATGGGTTAGGGAAGGGGTAAGATAATCACTAAGAATAACTAAGATTTTTTAACATAGAGTTTGAAGATAAAAATGTTTTTAACCATATATATACTTTTTATTTAAAGGGCAGGATTATTTGTTGCCTGAAGCAGAAGAAATTACTATGATTAGTATTCAGCTTGCTGCTAGATTCCTCTTTACCACTGGATTTCACACCAAGAAAATAGTTCGTGGTCCTGCCAGTGACTGGTACATGGTTTTGGATTTCATTCTTATAGTACTTATAGTTGTTTGGTTCTTTATTTTTTCCTGTTTTATTTTTTCCTAACCATGAAAATATCATTTCAAATTTAAAATATAGAATAAAAATCTTGGCAGTAGTCATGAGATAAATTAAATGTGCCTTTATTTAAAAACTGGCTCCTAGTCCTGTGAATTTGTATCATATCTGAGTCTATTTCATCATTTAATTATTTTATTTTTACTAGATGAAATTCTCACTTATAGTTAAAAAGGTAGATGATTTTTAGGTCAGGTGTGGTGGCTTATACCTGTAATCCCAACACTTCAAGAGGCCAAGGTGGCAGGACTTGAGGCCAGGAATTTAAGACCAGCTTGGGCAACATAGTGAAACCTCGTCTCAACAAAAAGTTAAATTACCTCAGTGTGGTGACTCACACCTGTAGTCCTAGCACTTTAGGATCCACCTAATCCACCACAGGCTGGGATGGGTAGATCACTTTAGGCCTGGAGTTTGAGGCTAGCCTAGGCAACATAGCAAGATATCTTGTATACAAAAAAAAAAAAAATTAAAATAATTAGCTAGTAGCTTGTTCACGTAGAGCCAGCTACTTGGGAGGCTGAGGCAGTAGTATCATTTGAGCCCAGGAGTTTGAAGCTGAAGTTAGCTGTAATTGCACCACTACATTTATTTCAGCTTGGTCAGTAGAGACTCTGCCTCTTTAAAAATTAAAAAAAGACAATTTTAAAATAGCTGTATAGTTTTAAGTTACTATTAATTATAAAAGTACGGAATACATTATAATGCCTTGATTTAACAACTCTTAGCATTGCTCACGTTGAAAGATATTAAAGAAATGTTACTTCACTGGGGAGAGTTTGATCATGGATTTGCAGAGAGCTACATATATTTCGTATTTCATTCCTTTTTTTGACTCTGTGGGACTAAAGTCACACAGCTTTATCAATCTGATATTTGTACTAAAACCAACTGACCGTTAATTGGAGAGAACATCTCAGATCGTTGTTTGGTTCATAAAAATCTGTTTCTTCCATGTACCAAGCAAAATAAACACATCACTAAAATTTGACGTTCATAGATGTTTCTGTTTTAGGTATGATGCACTGTGCGTTCTTCTCCGTCACAGCAAAAATGTACGTTTTTGGTTTACTCATAATGTCCTTTTTAATGTATCAAATCGCTTCTCTGAATACCTTCTGGAGTGCCCTAGTGCAGAAGTGAGGGGTGCATTTGCAAAACTTATAGTGTTTATTGCACACTTTTCCTTGCAAGATGGGTCTTGTCCTTCTCCTTTTGCATCTCCAGGACCTTCTAGTCAGGTAATTGCATGGCTTTTTTTTTTTTTTAAGCAATTAAATACTTAGAAGTAAATTCTGTTTCTGCAAATTCATATTAGCAAATTTATGTTCCTCTCTTTGATGTATTCACCATAAACAAATTCATACGTATGTTATGACACTTGTGAGTTCGTAAAATTATTTCATGGTAATAGTGATTGCTGGGCATTCTGAAAAAGAAGGGAAATTCCTTTTGTGTATTCAATTATTTAGTTATTTAGTAAATCCTTAAGTTTGACATTTTTAAGATTTATTTTTATAATGGCTAAAGGCTTTTCAGTGAAACACTGTAACATGAAATTGACATTAGTGATAATGTAAATAAATAATCCACTTAAATTCTTCTGTTGAAGTTGCCAGGGCTTTTTGTTTGTTTGTTTGTTTGTTTTACAGTTACAGTAACATACAAGATCTACAATGAAGTCTAGCCGAGCTCTTCATTCTCTCTCTCAAAGAGCAACTATATTTAATAATTTTCTTTCTGAAAGATTTGCTCCGTATAGGAACATAACCTTTTGTATGCAAATAAAAGCTGTTTCTGCATCTTGATGCTGATAAAATAATATTTCATTTTTCACAGGCATGTGATAACTTGAGCTTGAGTGACCACTTACTAAGAGCCACACTAAATCTCTTGAGAAGGGAAGTTTCAGAGCATGGACATCATTTACAGCAATATTTTAATTTGTTTGTAATGTATGCCAATTTAGGTAAGAATTTTTCACAACTATATTAATGATTGTTTCAATTTCAAATATTAAATGGGAAGCACATTTTAATCAAGTGATTACATGTAATTTGTTCTGAAGTAGAAGCAATATACCATATTCATATTCTTAAAATGCATTGCAAATTTTCTGTGTAACTTTAATGGCATTTCTCATATTATATGGTAATTTATGCACTTGTTTTATTTCTCTGGTAATCTTTAAGATCACATACTTTGTCTGATTGATGTTATCTCTTAACATTGCTTTTTGAAAAATACTGGCTTCCTGGTCATACCCCACACTATCTGAATCAGAATTCCTAGGGCTTGGATAAGGAATCCATATTTCTAAAGGACCCCAAGTGCTTGTGTTGCTTATCAGGTTTAAGAATTATTTCTTTAAAGAATTTGACATGTACATATGTTTTATTAAAATAAACTAAATTGAAATTAATAATAATGCAAATTTATAATCCACTTTAATTCTTCTGTTGATATTAATATTAACATCAATTAAGAAATGTGATTTTCAGTATATCTTTCTTAAGGTAGCCTGCTTTTTCTCACATCAACCTATTTATTTCTTCTTTTGAGTGCCTCTAGAATGCTTACCCAAAAAATTCTGTTTGGCTTATTCCATTGTGTTTTGATGGTTTTTAAAATATTTGCCTTACTCCCCAGCTAGGTAGCAGAATTCTTGCAATGAGTGGGGATTGCATAGAACAACTCAGTCATTGTTGAATGCATGGATAGATTGCCAGGAATCCACATCAAAAATCATTATAGTGTTTTCAATGTTGTTTTATGTTGTTTTTATTGTGTGGAAAGAAGAGTAAATTTATTACAGATGTAGTTATCCAATTTGAATATCAGCAATTCAGGTGTTAGTACAACAATATTTCAAAATTAATAATTTATTGATATAATTAAAATTTATTGACTAGTTAAAATTTTAGTGTTAGTAATAAGTATTTGATCACATTTTTTGAAGATTTGACTAAATTAGCACATACACTTTTATATCTATGATATTTGTGATTTTTAAAAGTTAAATTTTATAACTGTGTATCTATATTACACTTTTATATCTGTGGTATTTGTGATTTTTAAAAGTTATTCAGCTAACTTTTAAAAATCACAAATATCTTACTACCTAAAGTTAAGTTCTGTAGTCATGCATTCTTCTAATGAAAGTGTTATATGTGTTATTAATCTTTAACTTGAGCAGGAAGAACATTTTATCAGTTATTCTTCCTTCTCTGATCATCTCTGTGTTTTCTCTTTCTCTGCCTTGCCTGACTACATATGAGATTCCTGGATACTTGTAATAGAGTAAGAAGCAGATATTACACAAACATAAATGAAGTCACTTTTATATTTTAAATATAAAAGTATTAAGTTTATGCATTCACAAAAATCCTATTTTATACTATTTTATTTTAGATATTGGCTGCTCATATACAACACATTGATGGTTTATAATACAACTTAATGATAATTTTCCCTGCCAAGAATTAGTGTAGATTTATGACTCTTAAGTCATTAGGGCAGTATGTTTTAGGTTTTAGAAGTTTTTGGATTTCAGAAAAATGAGACAATGCGTTTGCCACACGTCGTGTGAGATTCCCAGTAAGGCCTCAGGCAGTACCCTACAATCAAACATGCTAATATTTCTGTGATGAATAATTAATATTTCCTTTAAGGGTGGAAGAAGCAGCTTGCCAGGAGAAAGGGGTTGGTTAGGATTTTTTAAACAGAGTGGTTGGTGCATGCAGGCTTAGTATTGACATAACTTTGCTTCTTAGACACAGTGTGAGGTATTCAGTGTGACTTTATACAGTGAAGAATACAGAATAGCAGGACTGATTTCCAGGATTCTCTAATTATGCTACTCTGATTTTGTAAAGTGTTCTGGACATTATCAGGAGGGCATGAATGGACCACTAGAGGATCACAAGAAGCTTAACTTAAAAACATCACACTGTCTATAACGTAGAATGGCTTACGATAGACCAAGATAAGAAAGTATTAAAAATTATCAATAGAAAAAAATTGCGGCTGCTTTATATTAGGGAAACTGGCAGTATGGAAGACAGGTATGAACAGATGCAGGAGCTCTTTATGAGTTAGAATCAGCAGGAGTTGGTAATTTGATATTTGAGAAAGCGGAGCAGGAAAGAGATGTTAAGCCTACATCCAGCATGTGACTTGATGAACTGAGAAAATAGTAGTGCCATTTTCTGATAGAGGAAAAAGGAGTTGTGTGAGCAGATTGCATTTTAAAAACATATGGGATACCTATATAAAGAAATCCAGTAGTGGGATACATATGTCCAGAATTTGGAATCATCTAAAATCATTTGGATACATCTATTACTATAGATGTAGTTACAAAAAACAAGCCACGTAAGGGAATGTCCTAGAATGGAAACTTTTTCTAGAACAGTTTTTATGGCTCATTTTATTTAGTTTCTGTCTTACTTTGTTTTATTTTTATTTATCTATTTTATTTTTCTGAGATAGTGTCTCGCTTAGTCGCCCAGGCTGGAGTGCAGTGGCACAGTCTCCTCTCACTGCAACGTCCGCCTCCTGGATTCAAGCAATTCTCCTGCCTCAGCCTCCCAAGAAGCTCGGATTACAGGCACCAACCACCACATCCCAGCTAATTTTTGTATTTATAGTAGAGATGGGGTTTCACCATGTTGAAAAGGCTGGTCTCGAACTCCAGACCTCAGGTGATCCACCCGCCTTGGCCTTGCAAAGTGCTGGGATTACAGGTGTAAGCCACTATTCCCAGCTAGTTTCTGTCTTACTTTCTTATGATGAAAGTTATTCTTTAGCTAGGGCCTTCCAGCTTCTCTAGGCCCTAGAAAGTATACATTTCCCTTAGTACCTAGGCTAATTGGAATGCCATAGTCATGATCATTATTTCAGGGTTACGGTACTGTATCTTATTTAATTATATCAGTGTATTTTCTGTTCTGTCAGCATTCTGCCTGTATTGTTTCTATTCTAAGCAAAGAGAATGAGCTTTTAGTAATATAACTTACAAAGAGCTATAATAATTAATTTTTAATTATTGCAGTACTTACCCTCTTAGTTTTTTTTTCTACATATTATTTTTCTGTCCTTTTTTATAGGTGTGGCAGAAAAAACACAGCTTCTGAAATTGAATGTACCTGCTACCTTTATGCTTGTGTCTTTAGACGAAGGACCAGGTCCTCCAATCAAATATCAGTATGCTGAATTAGGCAAGTTATATTCAGTAGTGTCTCAGCTGATTCGTTGTTGCAATGTGT
The DNA here is from genome assembly GCF_000001405.40 of Homo sapiens. Lineage (NCBI taxonomy): Eukaryota > Metazoa > Chordata > Mammalia > Primates > Hominidae > Homo > Homo sapiens. The sequence continues at coordinate 12,846,492 of NC_000024.10, forward strand.
CATCAACAATGCAGTCTTCAATCAATGGTAAAGTAGCATGTTCCATTTCTTTTACAGCAGTTTAAAAATAATGCTAGCTTTATGTAGCACTTGATAAAAAGTAGCTCTGAAGATTTATAAAAATGAAATTAGTCTGAAGGCCTATGTTCTAGAATATTATATTTCTTAAGTTTTAGCTTTTTCATATGTTTAATAGGGAGTTTATTTTTTAAATGTAGGATACTGTGATATCTTATGAAATGCTTAGTGTAAAAATGATAAACTTTGTCTTTAGTGTCAGCATTTATATTTTGCATTTTATCATCTTGGTATATACCTGACCATTTAGGTGAATTTTTAATTTAATTTAAAATCAGATTGTATTTTTTAAGTTAAGAAGTTTATTATTATAATTTTGTGAGGAATTCTATTGGTTTTTCATTGATAACAAATCTGTTCTAGGTAATCCCCCTCTCCCCAATCCTTTCGGTGACCTTAATTTATCACAGCCTATAATGCCAATTCAGCAGAATGTGTTAGACATTTTATTTGTGAGAACAAGTTATGTGAAGAAAATTATTGAAGACTGCAGTAACTCAGAGGATACCATCAAATTACTTCGCTTTTGCTCTTGGGAGAATCCTCAGTTCTCATCTACTGTCCTCAGCGAACTTCTCTGGCAGGTGAAAGAAAAATAAACATTTATATATCTGTAATTCTATTCATTTTTTAAAAATACATAATTCACTATCTCTTACCTATTTGTAGGTTGCATATTCATATACCTATGAACTTCGGCCATATTTAGATCTACTTTTCCAAATTTTACTGATTGAGGACTCCTGGCAGACTCACAGGTGAATACCCTTTTGCCACCAGAATAATTAGAATTTCCCAAGTTCTTGAAATGACTGGAATTGTCATTTGCCATACACATTTTTTATCTTTGATACTCCGCTTAATGTTGTCTTTAAAAACATATGAAGAAAAATTGCCACTTACTTGCATTCTTTTTTTTTTTAATTATACTTTCAGTTCTAGGGTACATCTGCACAACATGCAGGTTTGATACATAGGTATACATGTGCCATGTTGGTTTACTGCACCCATCAACTTGACACTTACATTAGCTATTTCTCCTAATGCTATTCCACCCCCGCCCCCACCCCCCGACAGGCCCTGGTGTGTGATGTTCCCCGCCCTGTGTCCAAGTGATCTCATTGCTCAATTCCCACTTATGAGTGAGAACATGCAGTGTTTGGTTTTTTGTCCTTGTGACAGTCTCCTCAGAATGATAGTTTCCAGCTTCATCCATGTGCCTGCAAAGGACATGAACTCATACTTTTTTATGGCTTCACAATATTCCATGGTGTGTATGTGCCACATTTTCTTTATCCAGCCTGTCATTGATGGATACTTGGGTTGGTTCCAAGTCTTTGCTCTTGTGAATAGTGCCTCAGTAAACAAACATGTGCATGTGTCTTTATAGTAGCATGATTTATAATCCTTTGGGTATATACGCAGTAATGGGATCAGTTGGTCAAATGGTATTTCTAGTTCTAGATCCTTGAGGAATTGCCACAGTCTTCTACAATGGTTGAACTAATTTACACTCTCAACAACAGTGTAAAACCGTTCCTATTCCTCCACAACCTCACCAGCATCTGTTGTTTATTGACATTTTAAGAATCACCATTCTGACTGGTGTGAGATGGTATCTCATTGTGGTTTTGATTTACATTTCTCTAATCATCAGCTTTTTTCCATGTGTCTGTTGCCTGCATAGATGTCTTCTTTTGAGAAGTGTTGTTCATATCTTTTGCCCACTTCTTGATGGGGTTATTTGTTTTTTTTTCTTGTAAATTTCTTTGAGTTCTTTGTAGATTCTGGATATTAGGCCTTTGTCAGATGGGTAGATTGCAAAAATTTTCTCCCATTCTGTAGGTTGCCTGTTCACTATGATGGTAGTTTCTTTTGCCATGTAGAAGCTCTTTACTTTACATTTGTCTATTTTGGCTTTTGTTGCCATTGCTTTTGATGTTTTAGTCGTGAAGACCTTGCCCATCCTATCTCCTGAATGGTATTGCCTAGGTTTTCTTCTAGGGTTTTCATGGTTTTAGGTCTAACATTTAAGTCTTTAATCCATCTTGAATTAATCTTTGTATAAGGTGTAAGGAAGGGATCCAGTTTCAGCTTTCTACATATGGCTAGCCAGTTTTCCCAGCACCACTTATTAAATAGGGAATCCTTCCCCCATTGCTTGTTTTTCTCAGGTTTGTCAAAGATCAGATAGTTGTAGAAGTGTGGGGTTATTTCTGAGGCCTCTATTCTGTTCCATTGGTCTATATATCTGTTTTGGTACCAGTACCATGCTGTTTTGGTTACTGTAGCCTTGTAGTATACTTTGAAGTCAAGTAACGTGATGCCTCCAGCTTTGTTCTTTTGGCTTAGGATTGTCTTGGCAATGCAGGCTCTTCTTTGGTTCCATACTAACTTTGAAGTAGTTTTTTCCAATTCTGTGAAGAAAGTTATTGGTAGCCTGATGGGGATGGCATTGAATCTATAGATAACCTTGGGCAGTATGGCCATTTACATGATATTGATTCTTCCTATCCATGAGCATGGAATGTTCTTCCATTTGTTTGTGTCCTCTTTTATTTCATTGAGCAGTGGTTTGTAGTTCTCCTTGAAGAGGTCCTTCACATCCCTTGTAAGTTGTATTCCTATGTATTTTATTGTTTGAAGTGATTGTGAATGGGAATTCATTCATGATTTGGCTCTCTGTTATTGGTGTATAGGAATGCTTGTGATTTTTGGCACATTGATTTTTTATGCTGAGACGTTGCTGAAGTTGCTTATCAGCTTGAGGTTTTGGGCTGAGACAATGGGGTTTTCTAAATATATAGTCATGTCATCTGCAAACAGGGACAATTTGACTTCCTCATTTCCTAATTGAATATCCTTTATTTCTTTCTCTTTCCTGATTGCCCTGGCCAGAACGTCCAACACTATACTGAACAGGAATGGTGAGACAGGGCATCGCTGTGTTGTACCGGTTTTCAAAGGGAATGCTTCCAGTTTTTGCCCATTCAGTATGATATTGGCTGTGGGTTTGTTATAAATAGCTCTTATTTTGAAATACATTCCATCAATACCTAGTTTATTGAGAGTTTTTAGCATGAAGGGCTACTGAATTTTGTTGAAGGCCTTTTCTGCATCTATTGAGATAATCATGTGGTTTTTTTCATTGGTTTTGTTTATGTGATGGATTATGTTTATTGATTTGCATATGTTGAACCAAGCTTGCATCCCAGGGATGAAGCCCACCTGATCATGATGGATAAGCTTTTGGATGTGCTGCTGGATTTGGTTTGCCAGTATTTTCTTGAGGATTCCTGCATCAATGTTCACCAGGGATATTGGTCTAAAATTCTCTTTTTTTATTGTGACTCTGCCAGGCTTTGGTATCAGGATGATGCTGGCCTCGTAAAATGAATTAGGGAGGATTCCCTCTTTTTTCTGCTGATTGGAATAGTTTCAGAAGTAATGGTATCAGCTCCTCTTTGTACCACTGGTAGAATTCAGCTGTGAATCCATCTAGTTCTGGACTTGTTTTGGTTGGTAGGCTATTAATTAATGCCTCAATTTCAGAGCCTGTTATTGGTCTATTCAGGGATTCAACTTCTTCCTGGTTTAGTCTTGGGAGAGTGTAGGTGTCCAGGAATTTGTCCATTGCTTCTAGATTTTCTAATTTATTTGCATAGAGGTGTTTATAGTATTCTCTGATGGTAGTTTTTATTTCTGTGGGATCAGTGGTGATATCCCTTTATCATTTTTTATTGCATCTATTTGATGTTTCTCTCTTGTCTTCTTTATTAGTCTTGCTAGTGATCTATTTATTTTGTTGATCTTTTCAAAAAACCAGCTCCTGGATTCATGACTTTTTTTTTTTTAAGGGTTTTTTGTGTCTCTATCTCTTTCAGTTCTGCTCTGATCTTAGTTATTTCTTGCCTTCTGCTAGCTTTTGAATGTGTTTTGAATGTGTTCTTGCCTTCTGCTAGCTTTTGAATGTGCTCTTGCTTCTCTAGTTCTTTTAATTGTGATGTTAGGGTGTTGATTTTAGAACTTTCCTGCTTTCTCTTGTGGGCATTTAGTGCTATAAATTTCCCTCTACACACTGCTTTAAATGTGTCCCAGAGATTCTGGTACATTGTGTCTTTGTTCTCATTGGTTTAAAAAACATCTTTATTTCTGCCTTCATTTCACTATGCAGTGGTCATTCAGGAGCAGGTTGTTCAGTTTCCATGTAGTTGTGCAGTTTTGAGTGAGTTTTCTTCATCCCGAGTTCTAATTTGATTGCTCTGTGCTCTGAGAGATGGTTTGTTGTGATTTCTGTTCTTTTACATTTGCTGAGGAGTGCTTTACTTCCAACTATGTGGTCAATTTTAGAATAAGTGTGATGTGGTGCTGAGAAGAATGTATATTCTGTTGATTTGGGGTGGAGAGTTCTGTAGATGTCTACTAGGTCTGCTTGTTGCAGAACTGATTTCACGTCCTGGATATCTTTGTTAACCTGTCTCAATCTTTCTAATATTGACAGTGGAGAGTTAAAGTCTCCACTGTCACACAAAATAATAATTTTGTCTCCCATTATTATTGTGTGGGAGTCTAAGTCTCTTTGTAGGTCTCTAAGGACTTGCTTTACAAATCTTGGTGCTCCTGTATTGGGTGCATATATATTTAGGATAGTTAGCTCTTCTTGTTGAATTGATCCCTTTACCATTATGTAGTGGCCTTCTTTGTTGGTTTAAACTCTTTTGATCTTTGTTGGTTTAAAGTCTGTTTTATCTGAGACGAGGATTGCAACCCCTGCTTTTCTTTTGCTTTCCATTTGCTTGGCAGATCTTCCTCCATCCCTTTATTTTGAACCTGTGTGTGTCTTTGCACATGAGATGGGTCTCCTGAATGCAGCACACCGATGGGTCTTGACTCTTTATCCAATTTGCTGGTCTGTGTCTTTTATTTGGGGCATTTAGCCCATTTACATTTAAGGTTAATATTGTTATGTGTGGATTTGATCCTGTCATTATGATGTTAGCTGGTTATTTTGCCAGTTAACTGATGCAGTTTCTTCACAGCCTTGATGATCTTTACAATTTGGCATGTTTTTGCAGTGGCTGATACCGCTTGTTCCTTTCCATGTTTAGTGCTTCCTTCAGGAGCTCTTGTAAGGCAGGCCTGGTGGTGACAAAATCTCTCAGCCTTTGCTTGTCTGTAAAGGATTTTATTTCTCCTTCACTTATGAAGCTTAGTTTGTCTGGATATGAAATTCTGGGTTGAAAATTCTTTTCTTTAAGAACATTGAATACTGGCCCCACTCTCTTCTGGCTTGTAGGGTTTCTGCTGAGAAAGCCATTGTTGTTAGTCTGATGGGCTTCCCTTTGTGGTTAACTCGACCTTTCTCTCTGGCTTCCCTTAACATTTTTTCCTTCATTTTACCCTTGGTGAATCTGACAATTATGTTCTTGGGGTTGCTGTTCTTGAGGAGTATCTTTGTGGTGTTCTCTGTATTTCCTGAATTTGAATGTTGGCTGGACTTGCTCGGTTGGCAAAGTTCTCCTGGATAATATCCTGTAGAGTGTTTTACAACTTGGTTCCATTCTCCCCATCACTTTCAGGTACACCAATCAAACGTAGATTTGGTCTTTTCACATAGTCCCATATTTCTTGGAGGCATTGTTTGTTTCTTTTTACTCTTTTTTCTCTAAACTTTTCTTCTTGTTTTATTTCTTTCATTTGATCTTCAGTCACGGATACTCTTTCTTCCACTTGATCCAAGTGGCTATTCAAGCTTGTGCACGTGTCCCAAAGTTCTCGTGCCATGGTTTTCAGCTTCATTAGTTCATTTAAGGTTTTCACTGTTTATTCTAGTTAGCCATTCGTCTAACCTTTTTTCAAGGTTTTTAGCTTCCTTGCGATGGTTTCGAACATGCTCCCTTAGCTCGGAGTAGTTTGTTATTACCAACCTTCTGAAGCCTACCTCTGTCAACTCATCAAAGTCATTCTCTGTCCAACTTTGTTCCGTTGCTGGCGAGGAGTTGCAATCCTTTGGAGGAGAAGAGGCGCTCTGATTTTTAGAGTGTTCAGCTTTTCTGCTCTGGTTACTCCCCATCTTTGTGGTTTTATCTACCTTTGGTCTCTGATGTTAGTGACCTACAGATGGGGTGTTGGTGTTGGATGTCCTTTTTGTTGATGTTGATGCTATTCCTTTCTGTTATTATTTTCCTTCTAACAGTCAGGTCCCTCAGCTGCAGGTCAGTTGGACTTTGCTGGAGGTCCCTCCAGACGCTGTTTGCCTGGGTATCGCCAGTGGAAGCTGCAGAATTGCAAATATTGCAGAACAGCAAATATTGCTGCCTGATCCTTCCTCTGGAAGCTTCATCCCAGAGGGGCACCCGCCTATATGAGGTGTCTGTTGGCCCCTACTAGGAGGTGTCTCCCAGTTAGGCTACCTGGCGGTCAGGGACCCACTTGAGGAGGCAAACTGTCCATTCTCAGAGCTCAAACACTGTGTTGGTAGAACCACAGCTCTCTTCAGAGCTGTCAGACAGGGATGTTTAAGTCTGCAGAAGTTATCTGCTGCCTTGTGTTCAGCTAAGCCCTGCCCGCAGAGGTGGAGTCTAGAGGCAGCAGACCTTGCTGAGCTGCGGTGGGCGGAAGCAGTTCAGGCTTCCCAGCTGCTTTGTTTACCTACTCAAGCCTCAGCAATGGTGGATGCCCATTCCCCAGCCAGGCTGCTGCCTTGCAGTTCGATCTCAGACTGCTGCACTAGCAGTGAGCAAGGCTCTGTGGATGTGGGACCCACCGAGCCAGGCATGGGAGAGAATCTCCTTGTCTGCTGGTTGCTAAGACCTTGAGAAGAGCGCAGTATTTGGGCGGAAGTATCCCTTTTTTCCAGGTACAGTCTGTCACAGCTTCCCTTGGCTAAGAAAGGGAAATCCCTGGACACCTTGAGCTTCCCAGGTGAGGTGACGCCCTGCCCTTCTTCGGATCACCCTCCGTGGGCTGCACCCACTCTCCAACCAGTCCCAGTGAGATGAACCAGGTACTTAAGTTGGAAATGTAGAAATCACCCATCTTCTGCATCAATCACAGTGGGAGCTGCAGACCAGAGCTGTTCCTATTTCTCCATCACATTCTTTTCTCTTAATGTTCCACTTTCATCCTTAATATTAGGTTTTGTCTTCCATTTACTGTTTTTATTTTTTTAAGGAACCCAGTAAGGCTTTTGATACCTCCTTAAGTTCTGTTAATATTTTAGGATTATGATGTACTTTTTCTAGAATTAGTTACAATAGGTAACACTTAATCCATCGCCTCTAAGTAGTTGTATTAGTATATAAGAAATCGGAGTGGTAATTTTTCAGAACTGAGATTATGCTACTAACAGGTCTATAAACATACCCCTAGAATTCTCAATTGTGTTCTCTTCAGTAAAATCAGTCTAAGAATTATACTGTAGAATTAGTTGCCTAATTCTGCCTGAAAATTCTAACTTTTCTCCTCGTGAGAATTTTAATATAGCTTGTTTTAGGAACACACACAAACATACACACACACAGAAACACACCTATTAGACATAATAATAAGCAAAAGAACCCGAAAACAAATGTATTATAAAGCTGCAGAACACAGTGCTTAAAGGTAAATCATTGTAATCTTGAATTTTAGAGAACCGAAAATATTAGATTTCAACAATTAAAATTCTCAAGTTGTGATTCAGTCCAGCATCAAGCAGATCAAATAATGTAAAAGTGGCATTAGATGGGTAATGTTTTATATTAGATCTCATTTGTTTTAATGGGTTCCAATTTTTATTTAAAATTTTTACTGTGTTTGAAAGAATTTTTAGACAAATATTGTTTGCTATGTGATTTTATTTTATTTTTTTGAGACTCCTTCTTGCTTTGTCATCTGGCTGGAGTGCAGTGGCACAATCTCAGCTCACTGCAACCTCCGTCTCCCGGATTCAAGTGATTCTCCTGCCTCAGCCTCCCTAGTAGCTGGGACTACAGGTGCATGCCACCACGCCCAGCTAATTTTTTTGTATTTTAGTAGAGACGGGGTTTCACCATGTTGGCCAGGGTGGTGTTGATCTCCTGACCTCGTGATCCACCTGCCTGGGCATCCCATAGTGTTGGAATTACATGCATGAGCCACTGCACCCAGCCAGCTATGTACATCTTGTAGTTACTATAAGGCTAAATCACATTTTTAGCCTTCTTATCTTATCCAAGGAAGTGATTTTAGTAAAGGTACACATGTTGGATTAATGTGGAAAATAGTAGACTTTTGTACAAAATTAATATTGTCCTTACAAACATAAGCTTGAAGTGTTTTGTATAATGAACATTGAGTTTATTCAGTAAACAGTATTCAACAGATATATATATCAACATCTGCTGTGTGCCAAGCAGTGTTATTATCACTTCATTATAAACTGTAAGAGAATAAGAAAATGGAATATGATACATCACAAGTGTTGCAGGAAGCATATCCATGTTATTTTTTGTCTGAAATGATTAGATTTCAAAAGTTGCCCTTTCCAAACAAAAGTTGTATTATAAATGTCTCTGAAGCTAACAAAAAAAACCTAACATCTGACCTGGAATATAAAAATACTTTGTTAAGTAAGATACATGGTATAGAGAAAAGAAATTTCAAGTTATTTTTCTGTGTAGGTAATGACACAAAAGAAAGAAAGCATATATTTGTTTGTAACTTTTTTTTGAGACAGAGTTTTGCTCTTGTTGCCCAGGCTGGATTGCAGTGGGGTGATCTCCGCTCACTGCAACCTCAGCCTCCCAAGTAGCTGGGATTACGCACATGCACCACCATGCCTGGCTAATTTTTGCATTTTTAGTAGAGACAGGGTTTCACCATGTTGGTCAGGCTGGTCTCAAGCTCCTGACTTCAGGTGATCCACCCAGCTTTGCCTCCCAAAGTGCTGGTATTACAGGTGTGAGCCACCGCGCCCAGCCTTCGTTTGCAATTTTTTAAATTGACTATTAAGGAGAAACAGGGAAGAGTTGGCTATGTAAATATGTTGCAGTTAGGCAGTCCTGAAATAAAATAATTGATCATTAGCAAATCAGGCAGATTTTATCATTGTCAGTGAAAATTGCTTTATGCGTCATGTATGTGTTTTCACAGTATCAGAATTCAAGTTAATTTTATACTGCCAATTTATATCATTGTTCCATAATCAGTAAGTTTTTTTCAACTAAAGAAGTCTTAAAAGACTAATAGCTTTAGTAAAGTAATGTGGTGAACTGGACATGGTGGTGTGTTTCTGTAATCCCAACTACTTGGGAGGCTGAAGTGAAAGTATTCCTTGTATTCTGGTTTTGAGGCTACAGTGAGCCACAAACTACAATCATGCCACTGCAGTCCAGCCTGGGACACAGAGCAAGAATTCTATCTCTTAAAAAAAAAAGAAAGAAAGAAAGGAAAAGAAATATGAAAAATTATGTGGCATCATTGTCCTTAATTTGCTCTTAGTAATTTTTGTGAGCAGCTGGTTAGCAATCTAAGTGAGATTCCTATGTCTGACTAAGTCAGATTGCTAACCAGCTGCTCAAGTTGCCAGATCTGTAATATTTGGCAAGCTATTTGTGCTGTCTGTACTTGTTTTCTCATTTGTTAAAATGTTCCTAATTTTAATTTGTTCCTACCTACTTAGGAAAGTAACTCTAATGTTAATTAGATTATATGATTACATCAAAAAAGTACTAAATGGCACATAATTAGGAACTCAAATGTTAGCTACTATTGGATATTACAAAGTTTTACATCTGCTTCTGTTTTAGAATTCATAATGCACTTAAAGGAATTCCAGATGACAGAGATGGGCTGTTCGATACAATACAGCGCTCGAAGAATCACTATCAAAAACGAGCATATCAGTGCATAAAATGTATGGTAGCTCTATTTAGCAGTTGTCCTGTTGCTTACCAGATCTTACAGGTGAGGGTTTTTCTCTTATAAATTTGTAGAAACCTCTGTCACAAGTAAGGAAATGATCGTGAAATTTTTGTATTAGCATTTTAAGCTGATACTGAAAATCATTCTAAATTCTAAATAGTTTTATTTTTTTCTAAAGGGTAACGGAGATCTTAAAAGAAAATGGACCTGGGCAGTGGAATGGCTAGGAGATGAACTTGAAAGAAGACCATATACTGGCAATCCTCAGTATAGTTACAACAATTGGTCTCCTCCAGTACAAAGCAATGAAACAGCAAATGGTTATTTCTTAGAAAGATCACATAGTGCTAGGATGACACTTGCAAAAGCTTGTGAACTCTGTCCAGAAGAGGTAAAAAAAAAAAAGGCTACCAATGGACAGCAGATGGAAATGGGAAAAAGAAAAGTATTTTTTTAATGTGTAGGCCCATGTTTATTAATATTGTGCTTAAAAAAATCATGTGCAGTTTTGTTTGCTTTAGTGGTTAGCTTGATTTGTTTGATCTTAAGTTAACAAAGGAGTTTCCTTTTGGAAAAAATTTCTGTGAAATTGTCTAAAAATCACATACCTGAGAGAATTCAGATATTCTTTTGTTTGTTTTTTGTCTTTGTTTGCTTTTGCTTTTTCTTTTTTTTTTTGAGTCTCACCCTATTGCCCAGGCTGCTGCAGCAGCGTGATCTCGGCTCACTGCAACCCCCACCTCTCAGGTTCAAGAAATTCTTCTGCCTCAGCCTCCCGAGTAGCTGGGATTACAGGCAGCCACCACCATGCCTGGCTAATTTTTGTATTTTTAATAGAGACAGGATTTCACCATGTTGGCCAGGCTGGTCTCAAATCTTGACCTTAAGTGATCCACCTGCCTGGCCTCCCAAAGTGCTGAGATTATAAGCATGAGCCACTGCACCCGGCCTGTTTTCTTATATTTTAAATTATTTGCAGTAAATGCAAAGATGTTAAAGAGGCCAGCTTTGTGCATTTTTTAAAAGTTTATTCTAAATGAAGGAAATTAAATATAAATTTGAAGTTACTTTTATAATCTAATGCTTAATCTCTTTAAATATTTAAAATTAGGAGCCAGATGACCAGGATGCCCCAGATGAGCATGAGCCCTCTCCATCAGAAGATGCCCCATTATATCCTCATTCACCTGCCTCTCAGTATCAACAGGTAAAAAGGATTTTTCATTTTTATCCCCCAAACCCATTTTGATGCTTTACTTAAAAGGTCTTCAATTATTATTTTCTTAAATATTTTGAAAGTCCAAACTTTCTCTGTACCTGGCTGATATTTAAAACTGGATAAACTGTTCCAAACCAACATGGAGTGAAGATGGATCCACTGTGACTGTAAAGTAATAAATTATCTAGAACAGCTTTGACAAGATGATCAGTAGAGTGTTAGTTGAAATGACGTCATGTTTTATTTTGCCATTGTGATATGTTCTTTGTAACCAGGTACTACCCCCTTTTGCTATTTGCTATGGTTAATAAAATTGTGTGATATTTCAGTAATTGTTGAAGAAATGTGAAAGCAAAAGTATCTGAGATTCAGTGGCAGTAAAAATTCAGTTTGACTGGCTTTAATAGATGGTTAACTGAAAAAATATAACTTCGGAAAAATATAAATAAACTTTCTGATAAGTTCTTTTGCAAAACAGGTATATTTGGGAAAAGATTCTGGGAAGATTAGCCGCAAATGTGGCTAATGCAGTCATTTTAAGGCCATGGTTCTTAAATTTAATGTACATCATAATCATGTAAATGCACTGATTGAGAACAGCAATTGCAGGGTCCAGAAATTGTCACTCTACAGGGCTATCGTGGGGCTCAAGAATTGGCCTTTTTTTTTTCTTTTTTTGAGAGAGTCTCACCCTGTCACCAGTCTAGAGTGCAGTGGTGCAATCACAGCTCACTGTAACCTCCGCCTCTGGGGTTCAGGCAATTCTGCCTCAGCCTCCCGAGTAGCTGGACTATAGGAACGCACCATCACGCCCAGCTAATTTTTGTATTTTTAGTAGAGGTGGAGTTTCACCATGTTGGCCAGGATGGACTCAATCTCTTGACCTTGTGATCTGCCCGCCTTGGCCCCCCAAAATGCTGGGATTATAGGCGTGAGCCACTGCACCTGGCCAACAATTGTCACTTCTTATAAATTTCCAAGTGTTGCTGCTCTGGGGAAAACACATGGAAAACCTTTCTGCTTAGCACAATAATTGGCCATCCAAGACTTTTTTATTTTAGACCTAGTCTGACTCTGTTGCCCAAGCTGGAGTGCAGTGGCCTGATCTCGGCTCACTGCAACCTCCACCTCCCAAGTTCAAGCCATTCTCCTGCCTCAGCCTCCCAAGTAGCTAGGACTACAGGCTTGCATCACTTTGCCCAGCTAAGTTTTTCATTTTTAGTAGAGACAGGGTTTCACTGTGTTGGCCAGGCTAGTCTTGAACTCCTGAACTTGTGATCCGCCCACCTTGGCCTCCCAAAATGCTGGGATTACAGGTATGAGTCACTGCACCTGGCCAAGACTCTTGGGTACATTCTCTAGGGAGGTGAAATGAATTTTTATCAGAAGCTGACACATTTATGTGTGTGCACTTTCTCAAAACACTTTATTCATATGGTACTTCTTCTCTTCAAATATAAAAATCAGATTGTAAGTTCTTTTTTTTTTTTTAAAGATCCAGGTTTAAAAATGTCTACTTTTTGACCAACCTTACCCCATGGTTTTAAATTTTTAATTGTTAATATTTGAAAAGTGTTACAATGCTGGTCTCTTTCACCCTCTTAGAATAATCATGTACATGGACAGCCATATACAGGACCAGCAGCACATCACTTGAACAACCCTCAGAAAACAGGCCAACGAACACAAGAAAATTATGAAGGCAATGAAGAAGTATCCTCACCTCAGATGAAGGATCAGTGAAAAGCAATAATTAACTGCTTCCTTTATGACTATGCACTAAGGTCTTATAGTCCAAACTTTCTCTGTGTCTGGCTAGTATTGAAAACTAGATAAACTGCTCCAAACCAACATGGAGTAAAGAGCATATTCACTGGTTTATTTGCAGTAATTTGCAATTTGTCAGTGTATAAGACACATGCAGGGTGAAGTGTACAGAGTTTTGTAACAAATGACTGGTCCTAATCTGTAAATGAGAAAGGTATATATACTATGTTAATGTCTGACTGTTAATTCTTAAGCAAGAAACTTTTTTTGATGAAAACAAGTCAGATCTACACAGTCACACAATTATTTTTTGTTGTGTTCACTACATTGTGCAATTGATATTGCCTGCTTTGAGCAGTTTGGTCAACTTACCAACTTCCCCCCAAAAAAGGGAACATAAAAGAGCCCATCTTTGTCAGTTTACACCAATAGTTTCTTGTTAATCCTTCTTTCCTGGATATATAAGGCTGGTGGTAACTTTTGAATTATATGGTTGATGTGGAAAATTGGCAGTGTAACATTTCTAGATACTTTTCATTACCTTTTTATTCTGGTATATAGGCTAACCACTTTAAAGCTATTCTTATGCTGTAACAGTTAGCATGGCTTCACACTGTTTGTGTAGCCAAGAGGACAGAATTACATGAATGACAGTGCCCAGAGTGACAGCTGTATATTGCTCAGAGCTTTTATTTCTTATACCTAGAATAAATATAAAATGGGGGAAAAATGTGACAGACAAGCAGTTTTTCATTGCACACATATTCTTCACATTTAATGTTTGATAGTTCAATTTCTTGAGCTGAAGAATATCAAAGTATCGATAATACGAATTTTAAAATATTAAAACCAATACACAAAATTTTCCTATGTCAGAATGTGGTGGAGCATAATAGATTGTATTTGGTGTGCTTGCGATTTTTTTTTTCCATAGAATTTATTAAGTGAAGTTTCTAAAACTTTGCTTCTCCTGATCCCGGTGAAGTGTACATCATAAGAATCCATAGTACTTTGAAGTACCATTGCACCAAGATGTCTGACTGAATTCATAGTCACACTTTTATTTGAAAGAAAGAATTGTTGTAGTTTTTTTTCATTATTCTAAAACTCTTGTTGTTAGATACAAGATTTAATTAAGATCTAAGCTCCTGCTTATTTAATGTAATTCTAAGGTACCATTTTAGAAAAAACATTTGTTTTAAGATTCCAAGAAACCTGTGAGTTAATACTATATTTAAAAGAGAATTGGTAAATTTTGAATGTGTGTAATATTTTGGAACCTGTTTAAAAACCAAATATACCTGCAAATAGATACAGCCTATCCTATACTATTTAAATGTTTGGCTGTTTTGTTTTATAGAAATTATTTTGCTGAATTCACAAATAAAATTTAAGAAGACTTTTGTCCTGTGGTGTGTTTTTGTTTCTTGTTACTCTCTTGTAGTATTCTTAAGGACTACGCATTTAAATTAATTATTTGCATGGCATGCGTTGGCATGACACTGAATTCAGCATTTCAGACACATTGAGTTTTTATGCATAAAAAAATTGGCCCTTGGCCTTTCATTAAGGACCTAAAAAAAGAAAAAAAAATTAAGATATTGGCCTTGTAAAAAAATTTTCTAGCTTAATCATTTTTGTGCTTTTGGCACATTTTTACATAGTTGATTCTTGTTATTCACAGTTATAAAGTCACCATGAATACCAAATTAGCAAATGTTGAACTATTTTATACAATCAATATTTAAAATGCTTATACTCTCCCAAACTACCACTCTGTAACCTGTGTAATATGTTCATTTGATGTAATATCTCTTTGCCCATTGTTGGACACAGTAGACCCTGGAATGTGTTGCTTAGTATGAAGAAATGCAATTCATTTGTCCAAATTGGTTATAATATCTTTTTTTATATATAGCATTTTAAGCGTTATCACTGACCTCTGCGAATACAGTCGTCAGGATCCATTAATGCCCTGGCAGGGCTACTGCCATTGGTCCATTGTAATCCAGCTATGTTAAGGGCCTTCCTATTCAGGCCATAGTTATTTGCAGTCTGTGTCTCTCTTCTCACCTGGAAATGTATCTTGGGATTTTGTTCCTCACAGAGTACAAGAGGAATATGTCTAGATTCACCCCATCTGCATTACTGCTGCATCTCTGTAAGGTGACCACCTCAAGCAAATCCACCAGGATATCAACTTGCTGGTTCTAGTCACCTCCCCATCGTCCTGGAGAGGGTCCTTCGGGTGGATGTCAACATACCCTTCTTTAACATACCCCTTAAATTCCACCTTGTACTTTCCAAAGGGCTGTGTCACATACTGGCATATGCTTAATAGTTCAGTTTTCCATTGTCCCTGTGGCCAAGCCGTCAGTCACTACTCATGAATTGGCAAGAATTCAAACAAATGCAGTGTTTAAAAAAAAATTGTAAATTTTTTAATACTCATAAGAAAACAACATGCAGTTCAACCATTCAACTAATTTGTTTATTCTATCTTCAATCGGTCTTTTCATTTCTAGTCTCTATGAAAGCCTGCCAACAGGACATTGTTCACCCACCTTGAAACTGCCATCTGTAAACCAAGCAGGTCTTTCTTCGTCAGTAGGGAGCTATTCAAAGGGTATTGCCCATGCAAAAGTAGCATGCAGTAGTTCCTGAAGTGGTTCCAAACTTGATCATAGGAAAAAAGAGACTACCTGCTCTTTAACATGATTAGCACCTCCTTGCACTTTCCTGGTAACATGTCCGTCTATAAATCCATTTTGCATGTTATTTTGGACCTCTTCTGAGCACTTCCTCATTAGAATGTTTTCTTAATTCACGCAACACATTATAGGTGTTTCAGATTTTAAGATTATGGTCTTCAGTCTCAGAAGCAGGCAAGACAAGCTAGTAATTAGCTTGTCAAGGCGAACTACACCAATGCAAGGCAAGCTATTAAGTATCTCTCAAATGGCACATATTATATCATGGCATCCAGGAATTTCCTGGTCCAAAATTCCCAGCTATTGCTGCAGAGTGGCATGTGCAGTTGTTTGTTTGTTTAACCATAGTTTCAGTCTGCCTAATAACCTGCAAGCACTTCCAAAATCAGATTGTGGATCATAACGCCCCAAAATATTGAGAGAGAGCACTTTTTGAAATTCAGACATGGCCTGCCTTAGTGCAATTTCTTAATTAAAGAAACCCCACTCTCTTTTTTTAAGTTGATGCATTATAATTGTACATATTTATGAGGTTCAAATGATATTTTGATACATGTAGACAATAATGACCAAATCACTAATTGGTATATTGGTGTATTGGTAATTGGTATGTTAGTCACTTCATACATGTATCATTTATTTGTGTTGAGCACATTCCAAATCTAATCTTGCAGTTATGTGGAAATATAATTATTCATACCTATAGTCTCCCTCCTATACTATCAAACGTTAGGACCTATTCCTTCTAATGCTATTTGTACCCATTAACTAACTCATCTCTTCCCCTGCCTAGTGTTCTTCCCAGCCTGTGGTAATCTTTCTACTCTCTACCTTCATGAGATCAACTTTTTATTTCCCATCTATGAATGAAAACATTCCTGGATTTTTTCAATTAATGTCCCTTCAATGAAACTTCTTTTGGGTAGTGTTCTGGAAAGGAGCTAGAAATATTTTCGGATGTGTAATAGGAATCCCCAAAATCCTATTCAACCAAATGCTGGGCTTCCTGTTTGCTTAGGAGTACGTAATGACAGAAATTCATTCTAGGTCACCTATGAAGTGTCACAGTGTCTCTTTCCAGGTGTTTCTAAGAATTTCACCATTTGGGTGCATCTCTGGATTTATGATCTCTCCTTGTTGGTCATGTGAATCAACATATATAAGTCTGTGTTAGATTGCTCTTCAGTTTCAGTTTTAACATGTCATCTTCAGTATGTTGTAGTAGTACATTGAAGAACTGCATCAAGCCCAAATCTCTCATAACCAAGTTATGATAGTAATCTTATGGCAAAATATTAATAGTTAATGTCATTTGGGATCTTTTCCACATGCAGTTGACTCTTGTAAGATTGAGACAAAGAAAAACATTTGCAAGATGAATGCATATCACTATCCTATAGTCTCTTTGTTGTACTGTGGAAAGGAATGTCGACACTATTGATGGTATATGCAGCACTACGTTATTCTAGATTTGTTTCCATGAACCAACTCTTTTTCTCCTAGGTCACAAAAAGCTTACTCTAGATAATTTGTCAGTACTAGTCCTTTCGTTTCTAATTAAATTAGTTAAAGTGTTTTTTGTTTGGGGTTTTATTGTTGTTGTCCACAAAGTATCCTACGCTGTTTCAACAATTTTTATGAGCATAGGTAGTTCTAGTTGTTCCTATTTTAATGTATTCAATCAAGTCTGGACTGAGGGCAAATTTCATGCCTTCTATTTTACTATAAGAAGTAGCATAGGGTGAGTGCAGTGGCTCATGCCCATAATTCCAGCACTTCGAGAGACTAAGGCAGGTAGATTGCTTGAGCCCAGAAGTTGGAGACCAGCATGGGAAACATGGCAAAACTGCATTTCTACAAAAAACACAATTAGCCAGGTGTGGTGACAGGTGCCTGTCATCTCAGCTACTGGAGGCTGAAGTGAGAGAATCATCTGAACCCAGGAGGTAAAGGCTGCAGTGACCCATTATCACGCCACTGCTCTACAACTTGGATGACAGAGCCAGACTGGAGAGAGGTTGGAGAAGCTGGATAGGCCTGTACCATCACAGACAAACCACATCACAAAGTTTCTTCATCTCAAATTTTCTTGCAGATATTCACCTTAAATTAATCACTGTTGGATCCCCTATCCTCTCAACTGTAGTCCCCACCAGGTCTTGGAATCACAGTGCATGGTGTTCCCATGTCATTGAATCCCAGAAAAATACTTACCCTCTGCACATTTGATGTATATATATGTGCTTTGGGTCCCCAGTCTGGAATCAAATCAGTATGTCCTGACCCTATGCCAATCTTCATCTTGATTCATCTGTCCATCAGATAATTACCCAGACAATTCAAAGGCAAGTTTCTTATTGTTATCTTTTACTCCTGGCTTTTTAAATACTTGGAAACTGAGATAAATCGTGCAGATTTATTTAGGGCCCCTTTTCCTTTCCTTTTCTGTGAATATCTCTTTTCTGTGAATCAGTCTGTGAATGAATGTCTCCCTCCTTTTGCTTTTTCCCTTTCCTATGAATCTTCTGAGTACCTGTAAGGCCTATAAAAGGAATCTGAGACAACATATCCAATATGACTTCTAGGACTGTTTCTTAGTTTTGATTCAGTAAGGCTATAGGATATATCGATAAAAAGGGACCCCCACCCCAATAAGACAGCATTTGCTGGTAGCTGGATAAGGGGTCTTACTCAGTAGATGAATATCCAGATCATCTTGAGGCCAGTGCAGGATTGCATGCCCATGAGTATATCACTTGTCATAGATGGAAGGAAAACGACTTCTCATGGTAATCAAACTTTACAGTGGCTTTTATCCAGAAGCTAGCTTTCTCCTGGAAATCACGTACAGCCCTCTGTTGTTCATACCAAGCTGTGAATCTTATATCAATCAAAACACAGTCTTCTGTTTAATAGCATTCCGAACCAAATGCACTGCTCTTAGGAGAAGTTTGTTGCTCTTACAATCCATTTAGTAAAGATTCTTCAGAAAGCTGACAATACCAGTCCACAAAATAATAAAACCCTTTTGCACTCTATACTTGCTTACTTCTTGTAGCTTATTGGTTCTACCCTTCTTCTACTTGGAGTGTTGCACTTGATCTTAGTCAAGAGGCTGAAAAGTGATTACCTAGACAATTGGTTTGGTGATGTGTAGTCCTAGATGTGTTAGCTGTTGTGTTGATACAATTTTCCCTTTTCTTTTTTTCTTTTTTTTTTCTTTTTTTTTTTTTTTGAGATGAAGTCTCTTTCTGTTGCCCAGGCTGGAGTGCAGTGGCATGATCTCAGCTCACTGCAACGTCCACCTCCTGGGTTCAAATGATTCTCCTGCCTCAGCCTCCTGAGTAGTTGGGATTACAGGCACATGCCCACACCCAGCTAATTTTTTTTGTGTATTTAGTAGAGACAAAGTTTTACCATGTTGGTCAGGCTGGTGTTGAACTCCTGACCTCGTGATCTGCCTGCCTCCGCCTTCCAAAGTGCTGGGGTTACAGGCATGAACCACTGTGCCCGGCCCAATTTTCCCCTTTCATAGTAGTCCTCAGGCTATCAGTCAAAGCTGAGACTGAAATGTAAAGATACCTGAAATCTGAGCTTGGCCCAGTATTAGAATTTGCCCCAACGCTCTTTTACTTTTTTTTTTTTTTTAGCTATTACAGACAACAATAACCAAGGGATTGTATATTTAGCTTACTTGTCTTTTTGTATTTCCTTATGTACCCAGTAAGCCACACCTGTTTTTAGTGCATTTAAAATAATGAGGTTGGCACACTGACTCTCACATAATCCCAGCACCAAGAGAGGCTGAGGTGGGCAGATTACCTGAGCCCAAGCATTTGAGAGCAGCCTCGACAACATAGCAACACCCTATCTCTACAAAAAATAAAACATTAGCCAGGTAGGGTAGTGCAGGCCTGTTTTACCTGCTACTGTTTTGGGAGACTGAGTCAGAAGGTTGACTTAAGCCCTAGAGGTCACAGCTGCAGTGAGCCATGATTGCAGTACTGCATTCCATCTTCAACAGTAGAGTGAGACCCTGTCTCCAAAAAATTAATAAAATAAAACAAAATTAATTAATTAAAAATAAAATAATGAGAAGTACAATTGTCATGGTTTATTGTCTATTCATCATTCTACTAAATGCTAAGATTAGCAATGCTATGGGTCCCAGACAAAACTTGAAATACTTTTCTAACTCCATGTTCAAGAACATCATTTTTTCAAATGAAATGTGTTTTAGAATTAAAGCCAGGCAGCTTTAGTTTGGCTTCTATTAGTCTTTTTATGGCAAGAAGTAACTTTCTTGCTGAAAGCTGCAAATTAAAGGTAGTAAGTTTGGAAACAGTTCCAAAACTATGTTATTTCTTCTTGTGTACCTTCATCTTTTAACCATATCATTATAAACATTCTCAGTGTTTAGCATCATACTAAATCAAACTTAACTGCTCCTGCTTTCTAGTACCTCTCTGTACTAGAAGCAAGAACATAGGTAACTAAATTAGTTAATAGTGCTTTTCCATTGTATGCAGAACTACCATAGATTTCCTTTGACTTTCCTTCTTACCCTCATCTGAAATCAATATGACTAAAGACAATTAAGAAAACCCACAATTTGTGGCCATTATGCTAAAGCTAGCATACAGTGAAGTGTTAAGAGTAGTAGGAGCTCTATTATTAGCAATAGGAGCTCTGTTGGATTCAGCAGCTAGTGGATCCTTTGTGTGCTTCATTTTTCTCCTGTAAAATTAGGATAAATATATGAGGATTAAAGTACACAAACAGCTAAAAACAGTACTTGACATATGATAAAAACATATATCTTTATATTATTCTTACTGTTTAGACATTTTTTGTACTTCAAGGATAAATCGAAGACCATACATATACTGCATTTTGTTTCAACATAGCCCAGAGCAATCCATAACAGTATTTTCCATTGTTATGGGAATCGCTTCATTTATTCCTGCAACAAGGTACAAATATGCAAGTAGGTAACAATGTTGAAATAAACATTTAGAAAAACATCCCAGCCACTTCCTATGCCTACGTGCTTTAATGCTAATTCCCTTTTTTTAAAATGTAGCTTTAAATTTTCCCTAATGTTTTTTCATAGCTGTATTTAATTGTAATCAGCCTTTTTAATAATCACTTTAGGATGTGGCTTCCATTAAGCCAATTTGTCTTCATGCCTGCCATTTGTCTTCATTATTAATGTTACCATCCACCCCTACTTAATTGTGGGAAAAGTGATAAGAGCTTTTGGTAATAACTTTTGAGCTATGTGTGATATTAACTCTTTAGCTACATGTGAGCTACCTCCATATTAAAACAATTTATTTCACAAATAAAAGAGCTATTAATGAAAGAGTCCAGTGTTTAGACAACTTTAAAATCTTTTATATAAATACACTAATCTAGATTAAAAAAAAAACAGCCAGCATTCTTTCAGTATTAGTCAACTGTTAATATGCTGTAAACATTTTGCATACATCATTCTCAAATGGATATAAGGGTTCCTATTTCCACTTTGCAAGTAAGAAAAGTTAGACATGGAGTGGGTGGAGATCCCATAACCATAAGCGACATACTGTGGACTTGAACTTAAGAAGCCTGAATTCAAGGCAAACTCTAGAATTCTAGAGTAAGAAGAGATCTCCAAAAGTAAGAACAGATCTCCAAAGAACAGAACTAAAAAAGTATCTGACACAAGTCTCCATCAGTTTATCAGTTTATTTTGCCTACATTGAGGGCATACTTGGGAAAAAGAAACACAGGCCACAGTAGGATCTGTAGCTCACACTTTTTCCAAAGAGGGTTTTGAGGGCTTCAATATTTAAAGGAAAAAAAGGGGGGCAAGAGGCAAGGGAGGCAGGAAAAAATGGGGCAGGCAGACAAGTGAGACGGTTGTATTCTCTTGAGGCTTTGTTTAGCACTCATTGATTCTACATGTTGCATGTGAAAGGGAATGGGTAGAAAAACATGCAATTTTGTATTGATCTCATACTCGGTACATCTGCACTTTACACAACATAAAGTCAACATGGAGTAGAGAAAAAAGTCAAACATGCATTCCATTATTTCTAGGCTCCTCTTGTCCCAGACTTAGGAAGATAAGTTGTTCATTTGCATTGTTGAGATGACAGAGGCTACCTGGGGAGATGATATGGCCTACTGTCTTGTAGCTTTCTGTTTAGAAAAGAGTGTCTGTGTGACCCATTTTCCAACCTTAACTTTTCTCTTTGGCATAGCGGGTTTGGGGAGATCTCAGAGTTCTTTATTTCACAGTTTTGGTCATTAGGGGCTGACTTCAGTGAACTGATGCTTGCAAACCCACAATAACTGAAATGTAGATATCTGTCTTTTTACATATAAGCATTTATTTTTCTGGTTCCTTTTGTCAAAAGCCTCCAAAAAGATCAGCTCCAAAGTTCACTCCAGATTAAATATTTATGAGGAAGCCCTTACTGTGTGGCACCTGATACTTTTGCCACATTCAGTTTTTAGGAGATGTGATTATTAATTTTGTGTCAATTTGACGGGGCCGTGACATATCTGGCCAATTATTCTGGGTATGTCTGTGAGAGTGTTTCTGGATGAAATTGACATGTAAATGGGTAGATTGAGTAAAACAGATCAGCTTGCCTAAGATAGGGGCCTTGTGCAATCGGTTGAAGGCCTGAGTTAAGCAAAAAATTAAAACTCTCCTTTAAGTTAACAGAAATTTCTCCCATCTGACTGCCTTCAAACTGGGATATCTTTTTTTTTTTTTTTGACATATTCTAACTGTTGCCCAGGATAGAGTACAGTGGCTCAAACCTGCTAAGCAGAGGTTACAGTGAGCCAAGATCGCAATACTGCAACCTCTGCCTGCCAGGTTCAAGTAATCCTTCCACCTCTGCCTCCCCAGTAGCTCAGATTACAGGACTGCACCACCACACCCAGAAAATTTTTTGTATTGTTAGTACAGGTGGGGGTCTCACCATATTGCCCAGGCTGGCCTGGAACTCCTGATTTCAGGCAGTCTGCCCACCTTGACATCCAAAGTGCTAGGATTCAGGCATGAGCCACTGCATGTAGGCCAAACTGGGATATCTTTTTCCTCTACCT
This sequence comes from Homo sapiens, assembly GCF_000001405.40. Lineage (NCBI taxonomy): Eukaryota > Metazoa > Chordata > Mammalia > Primates > Hominidae > Homo > Homo sapiens. Next base: position 12,869,259 of record NC_000024.10, read on the forward strand.
TTGAACTCAGCCTGAAACATCAGCTCTTCTGGGGCTTGAGCCATTTGGTCATTCTATTGGAACTTACACCTCCTCTCCTGCTTGCTGACTGCAGATCTTGCAAATTCTCAGCTTTCATAATTTCATGAGCCTGTTTTTCATAATAAATCACACATACACACACCCTATTGTCTTATTGATTCTATTTTTCTGGAGAACCCTGACGAATACAGAAGGAAAGCACTAAATCCAGCCACATTGAAGGAGAGGGAAATTCATGGTTTGAAGGGAGAATTATCAAAAATGTTACCTTAAAAATAATTTAAAGATTAAACAGAAGCGGCTGGGTGAGGTGGCTCATGCCCGTAATCCCAGCACTTTGGGAGGCCAAGGCAGGTGGATCATGAGGTCAGGAGTTTGAAACCAGCCTGGCCAATATGGTGAAACCCCATCTCTACTAAAAATACAAAAATTAGCCAGGCATGGTGGTGCGCGTCTATAATCCCAGCTACTCAGGAGGCTGAGGTAGAAGAATCGCTTGAACCTGAGAGACGGAAGTTGCAGTGAGCGAAGATTGCACCACTGTACCCTAGCCTGGGCAACAGTGAGACTTCTCTCAAAAAAAAAAAAAAGATAACAATTCAAATTCTCAGGCATTGCAGTATTTATTTCCTTCCTTCCTTCCTTCCTTCCTTCCTTCCTTCCTTCCTTCCTTCCTTCCTTCCTCCTTCTCTCCCTCCTGCCTCCCTCTCTCCCTCCCTCTCTCTCTTTTTCTCTCTCTTTCTCTCTTTATCTCTTTCTTTCTTTTGAGACAGCTTCTTGCTCTGTCACCCAGGCTGGAGTACAGTGACACAATTATGGCTCAATGCAGCTTCTACCTCCTGGACTCAAGCAGTCCTCTCACTTCAGCCTCCCAGTTCACTGGGGCTACAGGTACATACCACTAAACCTGACTAGAGACAGGGTTTTCCTGTGTTGCCTAGGCTGATCTTGAACTCCTGAGCTCAAGCTATTTGCCTGCTTGGCCTTCAAAAGTGCTGGAATTACAGACATGAGACACCACACTCAGCCAATATTTTATTTTCTAACATTGTTGTGTAGCTTTATTCCAAATACCATGATTTTGAGATCATCCTGTAGCCCCTTCTGAATACAAAATGCTATCCAAATAACTGTGAAGTATCAGGAAACTCGATGAGGCAGAAGTATAAAATATGTGCTGTTCCTGTAATGTTAGGGGTACTCATGTTTCAAGCCACCTCTATCAAATTCACCTATAGCTAATGGCTATGTTTTGCCAGAAATGCTGCAAATTGTGACCAAGAACAAGCAAAAGTAGTCATTTACAATACCTCATAACCTGGTTCAGGAAGCATGAGTAGTAGATATCATTGGCCTCACAATCACCACTGCTTCCACCATAGGATATATGCCGAATATATGACTGACTAGTATTTTCCCCATTAATGCTGTCCATATCCTTTGTTAGCAGTAGCACCACTCACAGAAGTGAAATTATAACGGCATTATCTATTGGCCACTTACCACATTTCAGGTGCTGTTACAGTATGTATCAACCTATCTAATTCTGACATAGCTCTCATGAAGTAGTACTATTATTATTATTCTTCATTTAATAAATAATGAAACTGAAGCATAGAGAAGCTATTACACACTCAAGTTACCACAACTAGGCAGAGGTTGTGCTAGAATTTAACATAGAAAGCTGTCTACACAATGCAGGTTAATGAGTACAAAGGGACTGTTACTAAGCAATAAGGGGCTAAACAGAGGGGTGTTGCCCTTAAGGAAACCTAAAAATATCCCAGAGGTACAAACAGAAAGCCTTGTGTAAATGTTGGTTACCGTTATTTTATGCATTCTAGCAGGTACTATGGAAAAAGATAGCCTCATTTAGATTGTGAGTGCTATAAGGGTAATGATAATATCCTATACTATACACCATTGTAAGTGCTCCACGAGTATTTTTCATTGACAATAAAGTAATAGAAAAAAATCATACTTAAATTTAATCTAGTTTTAACAGTAATTGTTACCTACTTTTGAACTATAGTCATAAATCCTTCTTATGGACTGAATGTGTTCCCCTTCCCACAAATGCATAGGTTGAAGTCCTAGCCCCCAAAATATTAGCATTTGAGAATACCTGTGGGCAGTAATTAGGTTTAAATGAGGTACAGGTGGGACCTGCATAATAGAGTTAATGTCTTGTCTTCAGTAGGAAGAGAAAGAGACTGAACTTGGATTTCTCTACACCATGGGTAAATATAGCAAGAAAATGGCAGATTGTAAACCATGAAGAGAGCCCTCACCAGAAAAAGTTAACCAGCCTTCATCTTACCACCTTGATCTTGGATTTCCCAGCCTTCAGAACTGGAAGAAATAAATTCTTGGTTGTTTAAGCCACCCAGTCCAAGTATCTTATGAAGCCTGAGTAAGACAACACTTTACTCACTTTATCTGAAAACAATACTGCAAAGTAGATGCTGTGCTCATTTTAGAGATATTGGCAAACTTGCTCATAATCACACAGAAAAAAGAGGCTGGGTGCTTTGTCTCATGCCTGTAATACCAGCACTTTGGGAGGCTGAGGCAGGTGGATCATGAGGTCAGGAGTTTGAAACCAGCCTGGGCAACATGGTGAAATCCCATCTCCACTAAAAATACAAAATTATCTGGGAATAGTGGCATGTGCCTGTAGTCCCAGCTACCTGGGAGGCTAAGGCAGGAGAATCGCTTGATCTTAACACATTCATCTTGGATCAGAGTGCTGCAATGAGCCGAGATTGTGCCATTGCACTCGAGTCTGGGCGACAGAGCAAGAATCTGCTTCAAAAAAAAATTCTTGGCTCTAAATACATTGACTATGGATCTACCAGGATACCTCTCCATTTTAAGGTCCTTAATCTAATGACACATGCCAAATTCTTTTAACACTGTAAGGTTACATATTAACACATTCTAAGGATTAGAAGATAGATATCTTTTGGAAATCATCGTTTTATTTATCATATTAAAATAATCAACATATTAAAATAAGCAAATTATCAATCTTATTTAATGGACTGAGATGATGCATAAGAAAAATTTAAAGGAAAAAAGCCACAGATTTGGAAAAGAAGGAGATAACAGGGTTAAAGTGGAGGAAGAAGTATAATTAACAGCACTTATTAATTTTTTATTTTTAGTTTTTTGAGACAGAGTCTCACTCTGTTGCCCAGGCTGGAGTGCAGCGACGCAATCTTAGCTCACTGCAATCTCCACCTACCTTCCGGGTTCAGACCATTCTCCTGCCTCAGGCTCCCAAGTAGCTGGGACTGCAGGTGTGCACCACCATGCCCAGCTAGTTTTTGTATTTTTAGTAGAGACAGGATTCACTATGTTGGCCAGGCTGGTCTTGATCTCCTGACCTTGTGATACGATGTCTCAGCCTCCCAAAGTGCTGGGATTACAGGTGTGAGCCATCGCGCCTGGCCAGCACTTAATGTTTTACCACATGCATTCTGCATGACCCAGCAGTCTCTTTTGAGTGTATCCTACCTAACTATTTATACAGGCCCATGGAGACATTTACAAGAGGCCTATTCCTGTGTGGTTTGTTGCAGCAGAGATTGTGAGGCAGTCTCTGTGTCCACTTCAGAGGTTTAGTTGGGTTCAATGTTGGGGGGGGGGGGCACCACAGAATATCATAATACAATTGGAAGCAATGGGTTTGATATATACATAGGAAAAGAAATTGATCTTTAAAACTTAGTTCTGACCAGGCCCAGTGGCTCATGCCTGTAATCCCAGCACTTTGGGAGGCCAAGGTGAGCAGATCAGCTGAACTCAGGAGTTCGAGACCAGCCTGCCTACCACAGTGAAACCCCGCCTCTACTAAAAATACAAAAAATTAGTGAGACGTGTTGGCGGGTGCCTGTAATCCCAGCTACTTGGGAGGCCAAGGCCGGAGAATTGCTTAAAGCTGGGAGGTGGAGGTTGCAGTGAGCTGAGATCATACCACTGCACTCCAGCTTGGGTGACAAGAACAAAACTCTGTCTCAAAAACAAACAAACAAACAAAAAACAACAAAAAAAGCTTTGTTCTTACAAATACAGTAAGAAATAAGATAAAACAGGTAATCCAGTACTATTTATGTAAATTAAAAATATATGTCCATACCGTGTTGTGAATGTACATAATGCCACTGAATTCTACAGTTTAAACAGGTTGAACAGGTAAATTTTTTAATGCATATATTACCACAATGAAAAAAATAATAACAAAACACAGATACGTGATAAGCCAGGATTTTAAACCTTCCCAGATGTCAAATAAATTGCTTTTTTGCTACAAAGGTGGGAAAGGGTGGGACAAATGGTAAATTGACTGCAAAGAACTTTGTCATGTTTTTCTCTGAGCCCCAGACTGTTACAGATTGCTGGGCAGACACTTGAGTGGGCAGATCTAATCACAGAGAAACAAGGTATACCAGCAGGAACTTTACCAGCCAAGAAATTATTTTCTAATAAAACTACAAAGACAAAATAACTGGGTACTGCTGATGTATATTGTTATCTTGTATCATAGCCTCCTCATAAATCTCTTTGTAGAACAGAGTTCAGCTTCTTTTTGAAGTCCTTGTTCAAAGCAATTGAGTAGCATGGTTCCCTATGCTAGGGAGGATTACAGGGAAAAGAGCAGTCAAAACTCTCTTTGCAAACTAATACTTTCTTATTCTCAGGAATACACATACCGTATTGGTTTGTTCTCACACTGCTATAAAGTATAAGTGCAACTGGGTAATTCATAAAGAAAGGAAGCTTAATTGGTCCACAGTTCCACAGGATGTACAGTAAGCATAGCGACTTCTGCCTCAGGAAACTTAAAATCATGGCAGAAGGCAAAGTGAAACAGGTGCATCTCACATGGCTGGACCAGGAGCAAGAGACTGGGAAGTTGCCACACTCTTTTCAAAAGCAGATCTCACGGCCAGGTGCAGTGGCTCACACCTGTAATCCCAGCACTTTGGGAGGCTGAGCCAGGTGGATCACGAGATCAGGAGTTCAAGACCGGCCTGGGCAACATGGTGAAAACCTGTCTCTGCTAAAAATACAAAAATTAGCCAGGCGTGGTGGCACATGCCTGTAGTCCCAGCTACTTGGGAGGCTGAGGCAGGAGAATTGCTTGAACCCAGGAGGCGGAGGTTGCAGTGAGCCAAGATTGCGCCACTGCATTGCAGGTTGGGCAACAGAGCGAAACTTCATCTAAAAAAAAAAAAAAGAAAGAAAGAAACAAAACAAAACCAAGAAAACCAGAGATCTCATAAGAGAAACTGCCATCATGATCCAGTCACCTCCCACCATGTCGCACCTCCAACATTGGGGATTACAATTCAACTTGAGATTTGGGGAATAGACACAGATCCAATCTCTCTCTTTCTCTTTCTCTCTCTCTCTCTCTCTCTCTCTCTCTCTCTCGGTCTCTCTCCCACACTCTCTCTGTCTTGCTCTCTCTCTCTCACACACAGACACACACACATAGCATGCACACACACACACACACACACACACACACACACACCCCTATAGAAACTTCAATTACAGAACAAGTTTCAATGGTTAATGCTAGTAATCCCAGCACTCTAAAAGGCTCACTTGAGCCCCAGGAGTTTGAGACCAGCTTGGGCAACACACCAAGACCCTATATCTATTTTTTTAAAAAAAAGAAAGAAAAAGAAGAAAGAAAATAAATTTTATAAATATGAAAAAGAATAATTATGCTGTTATAGGTCAAAATGCTAGTGATCCCTGGGATTAATAACTGGAAGAGTAGCCAGAGGGGGTCTTTTGGAGTTCTGGTTGTGTCACATTTCTGGCTCATGGGTGCTGGTTTCAAAGAGGTGTTTACTCTGAAAATTTGTAGAGCTATGTGTTTGTGATTTGTTCACTTTTTTGCATTGACAGTATTATGTCTATGAAATTTACATTAAAATAAAAATGCATACCTACAAAATAATGGCTGTTTTGGAAGTACTTATGAAAATAAGTATATATAAATGATTGCTTACCTATATGGGACAAGGAAGTGGAAGTGGAAAATGGAGATAAGAGAAAACAAACCCACAAGGTGCCAGGTGTGCACAAGTCATGATAATATTTCATTAACAGGAGAGTGTTATTAAGAATCTCTGCACCTGATAACAAAAGAAAAAGAAATAGAGAGAGGAGGAAAGGAAGGAAGAATGAGAAAAGCTAAACTCTGCTTTTCTCTCTCAGAGAGACTCACTGTAGAACTTTATTTGTGTGTGTGTGTTTTTTTTTTTTGAGATTGAATTTACTAAGAGATTAGTGATTCCCCCACCTACACATCCCAGGAAGAAACCTAGTGATTGCTTAGAAGTGCACAAGACCATGAGGGAGTCTGGCCTGTCTAACATTGGCTACTCCGGTCAATAGCTTTGTCTGCCTCAAAAACTTCATGGTGGGGAAAGTTGCAATCTAATAAAAATCTAGGGAAACAGCATTTGACGAGTTAAAACTAAACTGATATGTACTTTAAAGAGCCTTCAATTTTTTTTTACCAGAGTAGTTTTCACACTTTAGTTACATGAGGATCACCTGAAAAGTCTGATAAAGAACCAAGTGCTGCCTGCTGTCCTCCCATATTTTCCATGATACTGTATGTCTAGGATAGAAAATAAGAATTTGCATTTCTAAATTCTCAGTGATGCTATATAGTGCCACATTTTAAGAACCATCACTATATTGCCTTCAAAAATTAAAAGAGAAGAGATGAAGCAAAGTTGTTGGTCATTTCTGATTAGTAATTCTTGTTCTTTGGAACCTGCCCCAAGTTCCGGCAGGCTGATGCCCCTCAACTAAGTAACATAGGCTGAGAAACAGAACCAATCCCTTGGTTTTAGCAGGAATAGTGCAAAGGAAAATTAGAAAATTTTGAATTGTGAGGCTGGCAATAGCTCACATATTACTCTGGATATCCATTTCACTCTTCATTCGGCTCAAGAGGTGATGGTTTGAGCTTTCAGGTAAGAAATTGGAACTGCAGCCCAGTTCATTTTCAGTGGTAGTCTCAGGGAAACATGAGAGTCAAAGAAAGCAGTTCCCTCAGTAATTATATTCTGATCCTATTCAAAGAAAGAATATAGCATAGAAGATCAGCAAAGAGTCTAGATCATCACTCCACAAACTTTTTCACACTGCAGCATACTCAGGAAATGGTAATATTTGTACATCTCACTGGAGTAAATTGCAAAGGATATGTCAGGGTCTATGAAGGACTGCCTAAAATAAAGTGAATGATACAGTTTTATTTTTGTTATGTAGTTATGCTAATAAAATGTTGGAAAAGATATTAAGTATCAAACTGGTATAAAACTTGCAAAAGAAGCTATTATAAAATATACAATCATTAGCTTTTCAAAAGCTGCTCAACATAACTCAGCACTAGAGAAATGCAAATAGCCAGGTGTGATGGCTCACACTTGTAATCACAGCACTTTGCAGGGCTGAGGCAGCAGGATCACCTGAGGTCAGGAGTTCGAGATCAGCTTGGACAACATGGTGAAAATCTTTCCCTACTAAAAATACAAAAATTAGGACAGGTGCGGTGGCTCACCCAGCACTTTGGGAGGTCAAGGTGGGCAGGTCATGAGGTAAGGAGATCGAGACCATCTGGGCTAACATGGTGAAACTCAGTCTCTGCTAAAAGTACAAAAAATTAGCTAGGTGTGGTGGCACATGCCTGTAGTCCCAGCTACTCAGGAGGCTGAGGCGGGAGAATCACTTGAACCTGGGAGGTGGAGGTTGCAGTGAGCCGAGATTATGCCACTGCACTGCAGCCTGGGTAACAGAGAAAGACTCTGTCTTACAAAAAAGAAAAGAAAATTAGCTAGGTGCGGTGGCACGCAGCTGTAATCCCAGAGAAGCTGAGGCAGAATTGCTTTAACCTAGGAGGTGGAGGTTGCAGTGAGCCAGGATCATGCTGCTGCACTCCAGCCTGGGCAACAAGAACAAAACTCTGTCTAAAAAAAAAAAAAAAAAAAAAAAAAAAAAAAAAAAAAAAAAAAAAAGAGAAGCGCTAATAAAACCACAATAATATACCAGTTTACATCTCCATTAAGACAGGTATTATCAAAACAATGAAAAATAAGTGCTGGGAAGGATATAGAGAAATAAGAAAGAGTCATGTACTATTGGTGAAAAATGTAAACTGGTGCAGGTGCTATGGAAAACAGCATGATAATGTCTCAGAAAAATTAAAAATACAATTACCATATGATCCAGCAATTTCACTTCTGGATATATATACCTGAAAGAATTGAAAGCAGGCACTTGAAGAGATACTTCATAGCGCATTATGTCACAGTAGCCTAAATGTAGAAGCAATCCAAGTGGCCATGTCAGAAGAATGGATAAACAAAATATAGTATAGCATACATTAGAACATTATTCAGCCTTAACAAGGAAGGAAAATCTGACACATACTACATCACGCAACAGCCTTGGTAACATTAGGCTAAGTAAAACAAGCCAGTCACAAAAAGACAAATACTGCAGGTTTTCACATATGTGAAGTACATAGGGGAGTCAAAATCATAAGAGATAGAAAGTAGGAGACAGAATGCCAAGGACTAAGTGAGAGGTTAATATTGTACAGAGTTAGTGTTTAATGTGTACAGAGTTTCAGTTTGGGTGATGAAAAATTTCTGGAAATAGATAGTGGTGATCATTGCATAACAATGTGAATGTCTTTAATGCCACTGAATTATACACTTTAAATGATTCAAATGGTCAATTTTATGCAGTTTTACCACCACTTAACAAACATATACCTCTCCCTCCCCCTCCCCCTGCCCCTCTCCCTCTCCCTCTCCCCACAGTCTCCCTCTCCCTCTCTTTCCACAGTCTCCCTCTGATGCCGAGCCAAAGCTGGACTGTACTGCTGCCATCTCGGCTCACTGCACCCTCCCTGCCTGATTCTCCTGCCTCAGCCTGCTGAGTGCCTGCGATTGCAGGCGCGCGCCGCCACGCCTGACTGGTTTTCGTATTTTTTTGGTGGAAACGGGGTTTTGCTGTGTTGGCCAGCCTGGTCTCCAGCTCCTAACCGCGAGTGATCCGCCAGCCTCGGCCTCCCGAGGTGCCGGGATGGCAGACGGAGTCTGGTTCACTCAGTGCTCAATGGTGCCCAGGCTGGAGTGCAGTGGCGTGATCTCGGCTCGCTACAACCTCCACCTCCCAGCAGCCTGCCTTGGCCTCCCAAAGTGCCGAGATTGCAGCCTCTGCCCGGCCCCCACCCCGTCTAGGAAGTGAGGAGCCTCTCCGCCTGGCCGCCCATCATCTGGGATGTGAGGAGCCCCTCTGCCTGGCTGCCCAGTCTGGAAAGTGAGGAGCGTCTCTGCCAGGCCGCCCATCGTCTGAGATGTGAGGAGCGCCTCTGCCCTGCCATCCCGTCTGGGATGTGATGAGCGTCTCTGCCCGGCCGCCCCGTCTGAGAAGTGAGGAGACCCTCTGCCTGGCAACCGCCCCGTCTGAGAAGTGAGGAGCCCCTCCGCCCGGCAGCCACACCGTCTGAGAAGTGAGGAGCGTCTCCGCCCGGCAGCCACCCACTCCGGGAGGGAGGTGGTGGGGTCAGCCCCCCGCCCGGCAGCCGCCCCGTCCCGGAGGGAGGTGGGGGGGTCAGCCCCCGCCCGGCCAGCCGCCCTGTCCTGGAGGTGAGGGGAGCCTCTGCCCGGCCGCCCCTCCTGGGAAGTGAGGAGCCCCTCTGCCCGGCCACCACCCCGTCTGGGAGGTGTACTCAACAGCTCATTGAGAACGGGCCATGATGACAATGGCGGTTTTGTGGAATCGAAAGCGGGGAAAGGTGGGGAAAGATTGAGAAATCGGATGGTTGCCGTGTCTGTGTAGAAAGAGGTAGACATGGGAGACTTTTCATTTTGTTCTGTGCTAAGAAAAATTCTTCTGCCTTGGGATCCTGTTGATCTGTGACCTTACCCCCAACCCTGTGCTCTCTGAAACATGTGCTGTGTCCACTCAGGGTTGAATGGATTAAGGATCGTGCAAGATGTGCTTTGTTAAACAGATGCTTGAAGGCAGCATGCTCATTAAGAGTCATCACCGCTCCCTAATCTCAAGTACCCAGGGACACAAACACTGCGGAAGGCCGCAGGGTCATCTGCCTAGGAAAACCAGAGACCTTTGTTCACTTGTTTATCTGCTGACCTTCCCTCCACTATTGTCCTGTGACCCTGCCAAATCCCCCTTTGCGAGAAACACTCAAGAATGATCAATAAAAAAATAAAAATAAAAAATAAAAAACAAACAAACAAACATATAATGATCAGTATTTTATGACACAACTATAATATATTCCCAGCACATAGTGATGACATTCTCTTTGGGAAGCTCAGGTCTAGATATCACACATCCAGACAGCAAAAATTTGGGAATGTCCAGCTTGTCAAGAACACGAGACAAATTTGGCTAAAAGAACTCTGCCTGTGGTTCACCATTGAGGGAGAAAATCAAAGCTCTGCAGATATTGTGTCCTGGCTGATACGAAGTATTCTTTCAGGCTGAAGTACTCCTGGGCCCTCATTCTACATTTGCTGTTTGACTTCAGGTTAATTATCACTTAGTAAATCAGAAAACTAAATCGTAAGTCTCAGGCTTACATAACAGCCTCCAAGTTTCTTTGAGAAAGCTTTCTTTAGGGTCCTAGTCCTATGTCTCCACTTCCTGCTGTGCAATGGATAGTCACCTGCAGGAATTTAAGGGAGAACAGAATCTCTTGCAAAAAGTATCAGGAATTCCTTTGCCATTTATTTGCCACAAATTTTCTCATGATTTTTTCTTTCTGATTCGGAGTCTTGCTCTGTTGCCAGGCTGGAGTGCAATGGTGTCATCTCGGCTCACTGCAACCTCTGTCCCCAGCCCCGGGTTCAGGTGATCCTCCTATCCACTTTAGCTTTCTCAGACTCTGATACCAGTCTCCTGAAACTCCAAACTGCAAGAATCACATTTCAGGACTCTCCAAGTGATCTGCTGTATGTGTGTACTCATCTTAAGCCTACTTTTTTTTGTCTCAACTACTACTGAAACAATCTGATATGAATATAACCTGACAATATTCCTTAATATAGTTTGGATATTTTTTCCTGCCAAATCTCATGTTGAGATGTAATCCATAATGTTAGAGGTGGGGCCTGATGGGAAATGATTGATTCATGAATGATTTAGCACTATCCTCTTGGTGGTGTCCTTATGATAATGATTTCTCATGAGATCTGGTTGTGTAAAACTTTGTGGCACCCTCTCTCAACTTCTTTTACTGCCACTCTCACCATGTGATGTGCCTACTCCCGCTTCATCTTCTGCCATGAGTAAAACTTCCCTGAGGTTCAAACTAGAGTGAGTAGATACCATTGACATGATTGCACAGCTGCAGAACTCTGAGCCAATTAAATATCTTTTCTTGGCCTGGCCCCGGTGGCTCATGCCTGTAATCCTATAATCCCAGTACTTCAGGAGGCCTAGGTGGGTGGATCACGAGGTCAGGAGTTTGAGACCAGCCTGACCAACATGGTGAAACCTGTCTCCACTAAAAATACAAAAATTAGCCAGGCATGGTGGTGTGCACCTGTAATTCCAGCTACTTGGGAGGCTGAAGCAGAAAAATCGCTTAAACCTGGGAGGCAGAGATTGCAGTGAGCCGAGATCATGCCACTGCACTCCAGCCTCAGCGACACAGCAAGACTCCATCACACACACACACACACACACATCTCTTTTCTTCACAAATTACTGAGCCTCAGGCATTCTTTTATAGCAATGCAAAAATGGCCTAATACAGAAAAGTAACTGTACTTTTCTGTATTACTGTACTTTACTGTAGCCAGCTGTAACACAATAGTATTTGTGTATCTAAACATAGAAAAGATACAGCATGCTGGGCACAGTGGCTTATGCCTGTAATCCCAGCAATTTGGGAGGCTGAGGCTGGCGGATCACAAGGTCAGGAGATCGAGACCATCCTGGCCAACATGGTGAAACCCCGTGCTATTAAAAATACAAAATTTAGCTGGGTGTGGCGGCATGCACCTGTAATTCTAGCTGCTCAGGAGGCTGAAGCAGGAGAATCGCTTGAACCCAAGACGAGGAGATTGCAGTGAGCTGAGATTGAACCACTGTATTCCAGTCTGGGTGACAGAGTGAGATTCCATCTTAAAAAAAAAAAAAAAGGAAAAGATACAGTAAAAATATGGTATTATAATATGATGTGGGATCCACTGTTGACCAAAATGTCATTATGCAGTGCATGACTATATCTCCTGGAAGTGGAATCATATATTTGCCTACACATGGAATAATACACTGTGTCTTTGTGACTGGCTTATTTCACTTAGCATAATATCATCAAGGTTCATCTGTGCTATGGCATAGTGCAGAATTTCCCTCCTTTTTAAGGCTAAGTTAAGGCTGGTTCTATTGTGCATATACTATATTTTGCTATCTATTCATCAATAAACATTTGGATTGCTTCCACATTTTAGTTATTGTGAATAATGCTGCTGTGAACACTAGTGTATACAACTATTTCATCAAGATTCTGCTTTTAATTGTTTAAGTATATATCCAGAAGAGGAACTGCTGGAGCAAATTGTAATTTTATTTTTTTTTTTTTGAGGAATCACTATATTGTTTTCCATAATGGCTTTACCATTTTACCCAACAATGCACAAAATTTCAATTTCTCCACATTCTCACCAACACTTATTTTCTGTTTTTATTTTATATTATAGTAGCTATTGTAATACATGTGAAGAAATAGCTCATTGTAGTTTTATTTCCATTTCATTAATAGTGATGCTGAGTACCTGTTTATGTGCCTATTGGCCATTTTTATATCTTTTTGAAGAAAGCTCTCTTCAAGCCCTTCATTCTGGGGGGTGCCTTATTTTAATTTTTATTTTTTTGGAGATTGGGTTTTGCTCTGTCGCTGAAGCTGGAGTGCAGTGGCATGATCATGGCTCACTGCAGCCTCAGACTCCTGGGCTCAGGTGATTCTCTTGACTCAGCCTCCCCAGTAGCTGTGACTATAGGCATGTGCCACCACATCCAGCTACTTTTTAAATTTTTTATAGGGATAGGGTCTCACTGTGTTACCGAGTCTGCTCTTGAACTCCTGAACTCAAGCAATCTCCAGCCTCGACCTCCCAAAGCACTGGGATTACAGGCATGAGACACCATTGCCTGTGCCTATAGTGTCATATCCAAGAAATCATTGCCACATCCAATGTCGTGAAGCTCTGCCCTATGTTTTCTTCTAAAAGTTTTATAGTTAGATCTTATGTTTAGATCTTTGATTCATTTTAAGTTAATTTTTGCATGCAACATTTGTTAAGTTCCAACTTCACTTTTTTGCAGATTTCCAGTTTCTCCAGTGCTTTTTTGAAAATGCCGTTACTTCCCATTGAATAATGTTGTCAAAAATTATCTAACTATTTATGTGAAGGTTTATTTCTAGGCTTTCTATTCCATTGGCTCATATGTCTGTCTTATGCCAGTACCATGTTGTTTTGATTACTAAAGCTTTGTAGAAAGTTTTGAAATCAGGAAGTGTGAGTCCTTCAGTTTTGTTCTTTTTCCGGATTGTGTTGGCTACTATTCAGCATCCCTTGCATTTTATATGAATTTTAATATTAGTTTTTCCATATTTACAAAAGAAAGTTATTGAGATTTTTATACGGATCACACTGAATCTGTAGATCTTTGGGTAGTATTAACACCTTCATAGAACTAAGTCTTACAATTTATGAATGTAAGATATGTTCCCATTTATTTATGTCTGCTTTAACTTCTTTCATCAATGTTTCATAGTTTTCCCCGAATAAGTCCTTCATCTTCTTGGTTGAGTTACTACCTAAATAAAATACTTAAATATTTTAAATATGTAAGTAATTAGTATATAAAATACCTAAGTATTTTAAATACCTAAGTAGTTAGTATATAAAATACCTAAGTAGTTAGTATTAAATATTAAAATACCTAAATATCTTAAATACCTAAGTATTTTATTTAGCTATTAAAATTAATGAAATAAAATAGTATTTTATTTTATTCTAATGTTTGTGGACTTGTTTTTGTAATTTTCTTTTCAAATTATTCATTGTTACTATATAGAAATCCAACTAATTTTTTGTATGAACTTAGTGTGTGTTGCTTTGCTGAATTTAATTATTAGCTCTAACAGTGCTTTTGTGGAGTCATTAGGTCTTTTTTTACGTATAAGATACCATCTGGAAAATAGAGATCATTTTACTTTTTTCTCCCAAATTGGATGCCTTATTATTTATTTCTTTATTTTTATTTATTTAATTAACTTTTGGAGGCACATTCTCACTGTGTTGCCCAGGCTGGAGTGTAGTGATGTGATTACACCTCACTGCAGCCCCAGCCTCCTCCGGCTCAGGTGATCCTCCCATCTGAGGATTTTGTACTTTTTGTAGAGACGACATTTTTACCATGTTGCCGGGGCTGGTCTCAAAATCCTGGGCTCAAGCGATCCTCCTTTCTCAGCCTCCCTAAGTACTGGGATTACAGGTGTGAGCCACTGTACCCAACATATTTATTATTATTATTATTGAACTAACTGCTGTAACTAAGTGCCTTAAGAGGGCATCCTTGCCTCGATTCACGTATTAGAGGAAACACTTTCACTCCTTCACCATTGAATATTATGTTTGCTGTGTGTTTTTCATATAGGGCTTTTATTATGTTGAGGTAGTTTTCTTCTCTTCCTCAGTGGTTGAATGTTTTTATCATGAAAGGGAAATGAATTCTTTACAATGCTTTTTTGTGCATCCATTGAAATGATCATGGATTTCCCCACCTTGTTCTGTTAATCTAGTGAAATACCTTAAACTCCTTTTATCTTTGCAACTTTCATTTTAGGTTCAAGGGGGTACATGTGGATGTTTGTTGCATGGGTAAATTGCCTGTTGTTGGGGTTCGCTGTATACATTATTTTGTCACTCAATTAATAGGCATAGTAGCTGATAGGTAGTTTCTTGATCCTGACTCTCCACTCACCTTCCACCCCCAAGTAGGTCTTGGTGTCTGTTGTTACCTCCTTTGTATCCCTGTGTACTCAATGTTTAGCTCTCACTTGTAAGTGAGAACTTGTGGCTTCTTGCTTTCTGTTTTTGCATTAATTCACTTAAGATTATGTCTGCCAGCTCCATCCATTTGCTGCAAAAAACACAACTTCAGTCTTTTTGACAGCTGCATAGTATTCTATGCTGTAAATGTATCATATTTTCTTTATCCAATTCACTGTGGATGGGCACCTAGGTTGATTCCATGTCTTTGCCACTGTGAATAGTGCTGTGATGAACATACATGTGCATGTGTCTTTTTGGTAGAATGATTTATTTTCACTGGGATATATACCAGTAATGGGATTGCTACCCTAGTTTTCACGTGTTGAAACATCCTGGCATTCTAAAAATGAATCCCTTTTGGTTATGGGTACAGTGTATAACCCTTTTGAAATGCTGATTTTGATTTGCTGGTATTCTATTGAGGATTTTTGCATTAATGTTTATAAGATATTAATGTGTAGTTTTCCTTTCTGGTAGTGTCCTTATAATCTGGTTTTGATATCAGGGTAGTGTCGACCTCATAGAATGAACTAGAAAGTTTCTTTCCCTTCAGTTTTTGGAAAAAGCTTGAAACACATTGGTATTATTCTTTCAGTGTTTCCTAGGATTTGTGCAGGAAGCCATCGGGTCTGGAGTTTTTCTTTGTCAAAATATTTTTGATTACTGATTTGATCTTCTTACCTCATTATAGATCTATCCAGACTTTCTATTTCTTTGTGGCTTAGTTTTGGGAAATTTTGTTTCTAGAAATTTTTTATTTGATTTAGGTTATCCAATTTGTTGGCAAAGGTTGTTTATAATACTCACATAATCATTTCAATTTCCGTAAAATCAGTATTAAAGTCCTTATTTTGATTTCTAATTTTAGGCATTTGGGACTTTTCTCTTGTTTACTTAGTCTTATTATCTAAAGATTTGTCCATTTCTTTCATCTTTTCAGAGAACCAGCTTTTTGTTTCCTTGATTTTCCTCTATTGTTGGGTAGAGTATTCTGCATGTCTTTTGGATCTACTTGTTTATTGTGTTGTTCTCTATTTTCTTATTTATCTTTTCTCTGGTTCTATAACTTATTGAGAGTGTAGTATTAAAGTCTCCAACTATTATTGCAGAATTATCTATTTCTCCTTCAATTTTCTGTTTCTGCCTCATGTATTTTGAAGATATGTCATTAGGTAAAAAAATATTTATTAACATTTATAATTGTTATGTCTTCTTCCTCTATGGAGTCTTTCCTTAAAATATGATGTCCTTCTTTATCTTTTATAGCCTTTTTTATTTAAAATCTGTTTTGTCTGATATTAGTACATTGCTTTGTGGTCTAACTGCATCTCTGCTCTTACTTGATCACTTATTTCTTTTTTTCTCCTCAGACTTCTCAGGGATGAAGGTTACTATTCCTTGGAACATTTTTTTCTTCCTATTAATATATTTCAATCTACGTGTGTTTTTGGATCTAAAGTGAGTTTCTGTAGATAGCACCTGGTTAACCATATTTTTTGTCCATTCAGCAATCTCTCCCTTTTAATTGGAGAGTTTAATCTGTTTATGTTTAAAGTAATTACTAATAAGAAAGACTTACCTCTGTCATTTTGCTACTTGTTTCACATATGCATTATAGCTTTTTTTGGCCCTAATTTTCTACATTAGTGTTTATTTTTATGATGTTATTTTTTATAATAAAATGTTTAAATTCCATTCTAATTTGTTCTTGTACATATTCCTTAACTATTTTCTTTGTGGTTAACATCCTAAAGTATGGTAACATTCCAAAGTTATAATACTCATTTAAATTTATACCAGCTTCACATGAAAAACATACAAAAACTGCCTCTTTATAATGTGTCCCACCCATTTTCATTGATGTCATAAAACCACATCTTTATATACTTTGTGCCTCAAAATGTAAACCTAACAATTTTTAAAAATTTATTAGTGTCTTAAATTATGTAGAAAACAAAACGTAAACTTACTAGCAAAAGTTACAAAAATACTAGCACTTATTCTTACAATTGCTTTTTAAAAAATGTAAAATATAAATTAAAAATGGAGTTACATATGGTTGTTGCAATAATACTAGCTGTTATAATTAGACATGTATTTACCTTTAATGAGCTCTTTACTTCTTCATAAGGCTTCAAGTTGTTGTCTAGCATCCTTTCTTTTTACTCTGCCTGACTCCCATGTCACCCAGACTGTTGTGCAGTGGCACAATCATGTCTCATGGCAACCTTGACCTCCCAGGCTCAAGTAATCCTCCCACTTCAGCATCCTGAGTAGCTGGGACTACAGGGGCATGCCACCATGCCTGGCTAATTTTTTTCTATTTTGTAGAAACAGGATTTCACTGCATTGCCAGGGCTAGTCTCAAACCCCTGGACTCAAATGATCCACCTGCCTCATATTCCCAAAGTGCCAGCACTACAGGTGTGAGCCACAATGCCCAATCTCCTTCTCACTTTTAGAGGACAGTTTTCCAAACAAGGGCTTCTTGGTTGACATTGTCTTTCTTTTAGCACTTTGAATATTTAAATCCACTGCCTTCTCGCCTCCAAAATTTCTGATCAGAAATCTGCTAATAATCTTACTGAAGATCACTTCTGCGTGATGAATCACTTCTCTCTTGCTGCCTCCAAGGTTCTTTTTTTTGTCTTTGAGTTTCAAATTTGATTGTAATGTGTTTTGGTGAAGTTTTCTTTAAATTAATCTTTTTTGAAATGTTTGAGTTCCTTGGATATTTATACTCGTGTTTCTCATGAAATTTAGGAAGTTTTCAATCATTATTTCTTCAAGTATTCATTCAGTTTCCTTTTCTATCCCTTCTTTTTTTGGACACTCTCACAATATTTATGTTTTTATGCTTGATTTGCATCCCTTAGGCCCTGTTCACTTTTCTTAACTCTTTTGTCTTTACTACAATAAAATATTGGAAAAAACTAACAGCAAGAAATTGAATTATCATTATAACAGACACTTGAGGCTTGTAACTTGATAATGCTTTTTTGTCTCCCACCAAATGAGTAACCCATTTCCCATTTTGTCAGTTCTGTGTGACATGCTTGCTCATATTCTCATCCTTCTTCTACCTATTGCATTTTCACCTGAGATATCAAGCTAAGTCCTAGCCTTAGCTTCTCTCTGCCCTAATTAACCCTGTATACAACACTGACAGATAATCTAAATGCAGCATTTCCTCCTGTCAGTCCTTTGCTCAGAATTCTTCACATACTTCTCACTGCTTACAATATTAAGTTCTTACACACTATACTACATTGTAAGCATGAGCCGAACATTCCAAGTTTTGTTTTCCACTAGTTTTTTAGACATTCTTCCAAGTAAAACATTGAAAGTGTCTTCATTAGGTCAAGGGTTCAATGTCTTGTCTACCACATTATATTTCCAGCCCCTAGGAATGTGTTGTGGATTCTCCATTTCCTTCTTTCTTTCCTTCCTTCCTCCCTCCCTCCTTCCCTTCCTTCCCTCCCTCCCTCTCTTTCTCCCTGTCTCCTTCCCTTTTTTCCCTCATTCCCTCCCTTTCTTTCTCCCTCCTTTCTTCCCTTCCTTCCTTCCTTCTTTCCTTTTTCTCTCCTTTCTTTCTTTCTGTCTCTCTTTCTCTCTTCCTTTTGACACAGTCCTGCTGTGTTGCCAAGGCTGGAGTGCAGTAATGGAATCATAGTTCATTGTAGCCTCAAATTCCTGAGCTTAAGGGATGCTGCAGTCTCAGCCTCCTGAGTAGCTGAGACTTCAGGTGTGTGTCAACAAGCCCTGCTAATTTTCTTTTGTTTTTCTTTTAAGAAATGGAACTTGCTACGTTGATCTAAAACTTCTGGCCTTAAGCAATCCTTTCACCTCAGTCTTCTGAGTTGCTGGGCTTACAGGTCAGAGCCACAGGACCCAGGTGTGTTGTGGATTTTTAATGATTGCATGTTAAGTTGATAAAATCAACTATCCTTCTAAATTCCATGTCTATTGTTTTCTTATTTATTTATTTATTTCTCACTCTGTTGCCTAGACTGGAGTGTAGTGGCACAATCTCAGCTCACTGTGATCTTCACCTCCCCGGTTCCAGCGATTCTCGTGCCTCAGCCTGCTGAGTGAGTAGCTGGGACTACAGGCGTGTGCCACTACACCCAGCTAATTTTTGTATTTTTAGTAGAGATGGGGTTTCACCATGTTGGCCAAGCTGGTCTTGAACTCCTGACCTCAAGTGATCCACCCATCTCAGCCTGCCCAAAGTGCTGGGATTACAAGTGTGAGCCACCGCACCCGGCCCTGGCCATTGTTTTCAAAACTAACTGTTTCCAAAATGCCTTCACCATTCTTGTCAAATTTCTGCACATCTCAGTGTCTTCTCCTTCCTCTCCACTGCCACCATTTTAAAACTAATCTTTCTCATTCTCCTTGATAACCTGAATCCTTCTGGTGTTTTTAGGTTTGACTAAAATCTTAACAACTGTAAAGACTTTTCTAGCTTCCCAGTGAATTGATATATCCTCCTCCTTTGAAAAGCTGTAATTTCTACTATACATTTCTTACATTTACAAAGGTAAATAAGATGCAGGTTTCACTATAAAACTGTTTGCAGTCTAGATGACATTTACCACATATATCCTCATATTATTTTAAGTATTATTTTTGCTTATACATCTTGTTTTTTCAGTTTTATGATGGAAAAGCAATTTTTAAACTTATTGGTTTCTCCTCTACCATAATGTTTATAAAAATCTTTTTGTTGCTTGCAACAGTAATCTGAATTAATTTTCTACCACAAAGATAAACAAATTTCTCATTATGTCATGAAATAGTTCTCATTATCTTTATTGTATAAAGGGGAAAGCTGAAGAAGGAATGGTGCAATAAATTGTTGCAGACTATTAGTGAATCATTGATGCTTTTCTTCATACAAATGTACTTTATTTTTAATTTTACTTAAAATGTAGATTGGTTTGGAAATAAAGATAGATATAATTTTTTTTTCTTTTTTTAAATTATATTTTAAGTTCTGGGATACATGTGCAGAACACACAGGTTTGTTACACAGGTATACATGTGCTATGGTCTTTTGCTGCACCCATCAACCTGTCATCTACATTAGGTATTTCTCCTAATGCTCTCCCTCCCCTGCCCCCACACTCTGACAGTCCCCAGTGTGGGATGTTCCCCTCTATGGGTCCATGTGTTCTCATTGTTCAAATCCCACTTATGAGTGAGAACATGCAGTGTTTGGTTTCATGTTTCTGTGTTAGTTTGCTGAGAATGATGATTTCCAGCTTCATACATGAAAGACAGACATAATTTTATGGTGCCATGTTTACATATCACTCTTAGGTGCTGTGATAAAATTATGTCTTATTATTACTTACATTCAAATTTTATCAAAATTACTAAAAAGTTACATTTTTTAAACACTTCTTGTTGTATTATAGATTAAGTTGTGTGAAAAAATTGATTTGAAATATTTTAAGAAAGGAGTACCAATTTGTGAATGGCAATATTTTCCCTTTTCTAAAGCAATTATTACAAGAAACAAAGCTCTGCTTACTTTTTCTATTTATAGCATAAAGTAACACATAAGTAAACATTATTTAAATTAAGGTTTATAGAAACAAACTTTCATTTAGTCTGCAAGTATTACAATCTGTCCAACCTAATACAGAAGAGAATGCAAATGAATGGACTGTTAATTATATTGAACCAACAAGTTGGGTGAAAGTTATTATTTTTTTTTTTTTTGAGACGGAGTCTCGCTCTGTCGCCCAGGCTGGAATAGGGTAGCGCGATCTCGGCTCACTGCAAACTCCGTCTCCCGGGTTCACGCCATTCTCCTGCCTCAGCCTCCGGAGTAGCTGGGACCACAGGCGCCTGCCACCGCGCCCGGCTAATTTTTTTGTATTTTTAGTAGAGATGGGGTTTCACCGTGGTCTCATCTCCTGATCTCGTGATCCGCCCGCCTCGGCCTCCCAAAGTAAAAATAGTTTCCGCTCTCAGTCAATATGTAACTGGCAGAAACAGTTGTGTACTATTACACATAATTTGAGACAGGTTAGCCTGTGCGCTATAAAGGACATATAAAATGGATTTCAAGAATTTATTGTTTCACCTCCAGCATGTAAAAAGCTTGGAAGTTGTCACTCCATCCTTTCAACAAGGAAAACGCCCCCAAAACCTGAAAATAAATGACTGTTCTCAATTTAGAAAACTAAGGTTGCAGGGCCAACTGTGATCCTAAAATCTGGAGCAATAGGCAAATGCAGGAAAATGTGACTGAGTTTAGTTTACTTCAAGCAGAAGCTACTGGAGCTATAAAATTGTAGAAACAATTAAATAAAAATTTTAATGAATTTTTGGAGAGTATGTCTAGACTAGCTTAAGAGTGGGAAACCTCCTGGAACTGTTGTCTTACAGTGAATGGGGTGGGGGAAAGTGGCTTTAATTTCATGGATTTTGGCCACAGAAATCCCATCAACTTTTAAAATTTAATAGCCCAGAAAAATGACCTCTTGATTTTGTCAAGAAAAATGGAAAAATACCCAGTACATTTTCCATCACAGAGATCTACTGTCTTGTGAAAAAACTAACAGAAACTTATTCTACTTAGGCAGAGGGCAATTACCAAAATCCAGTAGCCTTTAGTTTTCCTGTTTGGGTTTTTGAGTCATGGAATTTCTCTGTCACCCAGGCTGGAGTGCAGTGATGTGATCATATAACTCACTGCAGCCTTGACCTCCTGGTTTCAAGTGACCTTCCTGCCTTAGCCTCCTGAGTAGCTGGGACTACAGGTGCATGACATCATGACTGGTTAGTGGTTTTATTTGTTTTGTTTTTGTTTTTTTGTTTTTACTTTTTTTTTTCCTGAGAGACAGGGTCTGCTAGGAAGGCTAGTCTCAAAACTCCTCAGCTTCCCAAAGTGACAGGGATTACAGGCCTGAGCCACCATGCTGAATCATCCTTTAGCTGTTCTGTTTTATCTAAAGATGGAGAAAGAAAGAAAAGGAAAAATCAGCACTTGTATCCTCTAATTAAGAAGGAGCTACTGGGGAAATGCAAATATAAAAGGGCATAGAAAAACAGGATGCCAGAGGAAGCTCCTGATACCTAGAGCTACAGTAAACATTAAACATAGCCCAATCCTTACCCAGTTTAACATAAAACCTTACACTTGGCCCAGGTTTGGGCCTCAGTACTTTTAGAGGCTGAGTGAGGCAGATTGCTTGAGGCCAAGAGTTTGAGACCAGCCTGGCCAACATGCCGAAATCCCATCTCTACTAAAAATACAAAAAATTAGCCAGGCATGGTGGCGTGCACCTGTAGTCCCAGCTACTTGGGAGGCTAAGGCAGGAGAATAGCTTGATCTTAACACTTTGATCATGGATCAGAGTGCTGCAATGAACCGAGATTGTGCTGTTGGACTCCAGCCTGGGCGATGGCAAGACTCCGTCTCAAAAAAAAAAAAATTCTTGTCTTTAAGTACATTGACTATGGATCTACCAAGATACCTCTCCATTTTAAGGTCCTTAATCTAATCACACACGCAAAATTCTTTTAACACTGTAAGGTTAAACTCTCCCAGCTACCTGAGAGACTGAGGAGGGAAACTGCTTGAACCTGGGAGGTGGAGGTGGCAGTGAGCTAAGGTTGCATGACTGCACTCCAGCCTGGGCAACAGATCAAGACTCTGTCTCAAAAACAAAACCAAATAAAACCTTACACTTAAATGTCTAATTAACTCAGAACTTATCATCACATATAACATGTTTGGCTTTCAACCAAAAATTACAAAGCATGACAAGAAGCAAGAAAATACAGTCTGAGGAGACCAAGTAAGCATTAAAACTAGACTTAGATAAAACTCAAGATTTTTGGAACTATGAGACCTGGAATTTAAAATAAGAGTAATTAATATGTTACGAGACAGAACCTTCCCTTCATTAGGGGGCCTGGCCCAGGCACAACTATTATATGTTTTTTTTCCATGATCCCTCCATCTGCGGGACCTGGGGACCATACCATTCATGCAAAATTAAGTAATTAAAGGGGAAGAGCCATAGGTGACTAGGATGTTGTACAGATAACAGTAACTATTCCTGTTGACTAACTCTTCCAAATCCATGAGTGAAGGTCATGCGTGCATCCATGGGTGGCACCTGTAATGGTCGCCAGGACCCAGAGGCTGGGTGGAAAGGGGTGAAGGGGGATGCCATTTTGGCCTTTTCTCTCCACCCTGGGTCACTCCAAAAAGAAGGAAACTAATGAATGCCTTCTCCTTCTCTTTTCTAAATGTGTAACAAATCCTCTTCAGCCTGCACTCCTCTCACATGCATCCTGAGACACTGGGACTCCTTTGACTCTCACACCCTGAAGAAAAAGTAACTCATATTCTTTGTATAAGGGCATCGCCTTCTTACCAGTGCCAGGGTGGAATAGCCCAGCCTCTTTAGGGAAGTGTTAATTTTAATACTATCCAACAATTAGACCTGCTGTTTACCCACGCATTTTAAATTATGCCTGAAAGTCCCACTCCTTTGCTAGGCAGGGATATTTTTGTTTCTATGGGAGCCACCATCCTAATGGCTCCAGAATAAACTCTTTGCCTTCCCTTAATGGAAACCAATATTAACCCAGATGTATGGGCAATTCAGGGAAAGGCTGGCCAGGCTACAACAGTTATACCAGTCCAGATTCACCTTAAGGATCCCACTTCTTTTCCTATCCAGAAGTAATGTCCCTAAAGCCAGAAGCTAGAAAATTGCTGGAAGCCATCACTGATCATCTAAAAGTGCAAGGCCTCCTTATGCCCTGCAG